>NC_000002.12:110822951-111125981 GCF_000001405.40 Homo sapiens
ATACATTTAAGATTCACCTGGCTGGGTGCAGTGGCTCACACCTGTACACCCAGCACTTTGGGAGGCCGAAGCAGGTGGATCACCTGAGGTCAGTAGTTCGAGACCAGCCTGGCCTACCTGGTGAAACCCCATCTCTACTAAAAATACAAAAATTAGCTGGGCGTGGTGGCATGCACCTGTAATCCCAGCTACTCGGGAGGCTGAGGCAGGAGAATCACTTGAACCTGGGAGGTGGAGGTTGCAGTGAGCCAAGATGGTGCCATTGCACTCCAGCCTGGGTGACGGTAAGACTCCATCTCAAAAAAAAAAAAAAAAGATTCATCTATGTTTTTTCATGACTGGATAGCTCGTTCTTTTTGTTGCTGAATAGTATTCCACTGTATAGATGTACCACAGTTTGTCCATTCATCCATGGAAGGATATCTCGGTTGCTTCCAGTTTTTGGTGATTATGAATAAAGCTGCTATACACATTTGTATGCAGGTCTTTTGTGAACATAAGTTTTTAAAATCATTTGGGTAAATACCTAGGAGGACTATTGATGGATTATAAGATAAGACTATGTTTAGCTTTCTAAAAAACTGACAAACTGTCTTCTGCAGTGGCTGTATAATTTTGTGTTTTCACCAGCAATTAATGAGAGAGTGCTTGCCATTCTGGGTCCTTGCCAGTAATGGTATTGTCAGTGTTTGAGATTTTAGCCATTCAAATAGGTATGTAGTGGCACTGCATTGTTGTCCTAATTTGCATTTCCCTGATGACAAATGATGTTGAGCATCATTTCATGTGCATGTTTGCCCTCTGAATATATATTTTTGGCAAGTATCTGTTCAGATCTTTTTGCCCATTTTTATTTTCAGTTGAGTTGCTTGTTTTCTTATTGTTAGTTTTAAGAGTTATTTGTATGTTTTGGATATCAGTCCTTTGTTAGGTATGTGTTTTGCAGAGATTTTCTTCCAATCTCTGGCTTTTTATTGTCTTAACAGTGTCATAGGGCAGAAGTTTTTAATTTTAATAAAGTCTAATTTGTTTGTTTTTTCTTTCATGGATTGTGCTTTTGGTGCTATATCTAAAAATTCATCACAAACCCAAGGCCATATAGATTTTATCCTTTGTTTTATGGTTTTGCATTTTACATTTAGGTTCTTGACCAATTTAAGGGAATTTTGTTTAAGGTGTAAGGTCTGTGTCTATATACAAATATAGTCAACTCAGTTGATTATATTTATGTGGGGATATTTCTGAATTCTCTCTTCTGTTTCATTGACTTAGGTGTCTATTCTTTCTCCAATGCCTTGCTGTCTTGATTACTATCATCTTGAAATAATCTAATGTGAATCCTTCAACTTTGTCCTACTTCAATATTGTTTTGGCTTTTCTAGGTCTTTTGCATTTTTAAATAAATTTTAGAACCAGTTTGCCAATATCTAGAAAATAACTTGGTGGGAACTTGATTGGGATTCTGTTAGGGTCCCATAAAGTGACACCTTAACAACCTCGAATCCTCTAATTCATTGATATGGAATACCTTTTCATTTGTATCTTCTTTGATGTTCATTTTTAAGTCTCTTTTTCTCTCTCTTTTGGGTAATTTATATTAATGTCTTTTCAAGCTCACTGAATTT
The DNA here is from genome assembly GCF_000001405.40 of Homo sapiens. Classification (NCBI taxonomy): domain Eukaryota; kingdom Metazoa; phylum Chordata; class Mammalia; order Primates; family Hominidae; genus Homo; species Homo sapiens. The sequence continues at coordinate 110,824,577 of NC_000002.12, forward strand.
TTCCTTTTTCATTTCTATTTTGCTGTTATGCTTATTCAGTGAACTTTTATTTTCAGATACTGTATTTTTTCATTCTAAAATTTTTGCTTATTTCTTGTTTTTATCTTCCATTTCTCTGCTAAGATTCCCTATATTTTCATTAATTAGTGCATATTTTCCTTGACCTCATGGAGTATGGCAATAATATGTGCTTTAAAGCCCTTATCTAATAATTCCAACATCTGGATCATCTTTGGGTAGGCATTTACTGATTGTCTTTTATCTTGGGAATGGGTTACATTTTCCCGATTCTTTGTAAATGAGAAACTTTGGATTGTGTCTTGGACGTTATGATTGTTGTGTTTTGGAGACTCTGAATTACATAATACTCTTCTGAAGAAAGTTGATGGTTTGTTATAGCAGGCAATTAACCCAGACTCAAGGCCTGACCTTGACCTTTGTCTTTTGTGGGTTCAAGTCTCAGTTCAATTCTTTAAGCCTTTGCTACATTGCTTTGAGTTTGTCCCATGAATGCTAATTTAGTGGTCAGCCTGAGATTCATCCAGAGTTCATGCACAGAATTAGGGGATCTACTTCTTCTAACCTTTGTTCTCTTTGATTGCTCCTCACACTCCAGTGACCATGGTTGCCTTTGCTCAATTTTCCTGGTTCCTTCAAACAGAAAGACAACAGATTTTTTCACAGAGTTTTAGCCACTTATACTGAACTAGTTTTCAACTGTGTCCTGCTTTCAGGGCAAAAATCAGGAAATAACAATTAAAAAACCGGAAAGCTACCCTGTGCCACTCTCTACTTCAAATTTGGACTCCCCTCTATAATCTATCTGCTTGGTTCTACTCTCTAGAATCCTCAGTAGTCATTTTTCTTATTTTGCCCTGACTTTATCATTTTTATTCATGGGAGGGTTGGTCTGCAGGGGGCTCACACTGCCACACCAGAAGTGGACGTCCTCCGGCTTTTTTCACTGAACACTGTTTCTTGGAGATTTTTTTCCAAATTAGCATGTAGACAACATCCTTAATTTTTTCCCATGAATCAAACAGGGGATTTCAATATCCTTAATCTTTTTAATAGTACATAGTAGTCCACTATAAGCAGACCCCTCCTGGTGAGCATTTATGCCGTTTGCAAGGTTTTTTGTTTTAGAGACAGGCTGCATCAAATGTCCTTGTACCCCATGCAATGCTTTGAGGCCTTAGTGGATAAATGTCTTGGGCCCCCAGCCACAGTGGAGATTTTTCTTGGAATCCTGAAAAATATTCATTTATTTGGGAGTAGCATGGTTTCTTTGTCCTTCTGGTTGACTAGAGGCCTGGACCATGTTTCTGAGCACATCAGCAGGAGGAAGGTGTGGAGGAGAGAAAGATAATGAGGGGTGCTGAGTATTCAGAAGTCTCAGTGATTGCACCAGAGTGATCAGCTGAGAGGAGCTAGGCAAGTCTGATACAAAAGGACAGTGACAGCCACAACAACCCCCATCAAATTTCAGTGGCTTTATTTAATTGCCTGTTTCCAAATTAATTTTCTATCAGCAAATAATAAAAGGCCACTTTGGATAAAAATATAGCACATTAAAGGAAAGCTTCATCTTTTTGCTGCCCTCTCCTATAATTCCTCTTTTGCAAATAACTTTTCAGAATCATCACTGAGCGCCCCTTGTTCACACACCTTCGGCATCTCCCTATTGTCTCTAGGGTTAAAAGTTCCCAATATTTAATATTGTACTCAAGGCCTGCAAGATGCCAATCCCAAATATCCCCAGGTATTCAGTCACCTTCTAGCTGTGTGACCTTAGGCAAGATAGCATGTTCTCTGAACCTTTGTCACTCCATCCACAAAATGGGAAGAGTCATGCTTCCTTCTCAGAGTTGATGGGCTTAGGTACAGCACTTGGCACCATGTTTGACGTGTAGAAAGTGTCCAGTGGTTGCCACCCATAGGTGTGTTATTGCCCAGACCTCTTGCCTGACCCAGATTCTAATCTGAACCTTGTATTTCAGATGCATTAAATGGCCTGTTTCCACATACAGAGAAGCACACTTTGTTGTTGGTGGCCATTGATTCATAGCAATGCAATGGCCATATTGATGTTAAAAACATGTCATGTTAAAGTTAGAAGACATCCAGACATCCTTCTGAGATTTGGAGATGTTGTTTTGCTATTTTCTCTCTTTGCTTTTTTTTTTTTTTTCCTTTTTTTTTTGTTTTAAGGAGCAATTAGGATTTTTGGTGCACATTTCATCTGGTGTACAGTTTTGGTGCATAGTCCTTTTAGTGTACAGTTCACCTGTACACCAAAAGATCCTAGTCTCTTCTCAGCTGGTTGGAAAGCATTTCCCACAGTTGGGTGCTCTGTTCAGATGGGCTCGCTCTCCATGGTGAGATGTGGTGTGGTGGCACCAGAACATGGGCTTTGGCGATGGCTGTTCTGTTGGCTGCCCGAGCCCAGGGGACAAATACAGACTCCATGCAGCTTAATGTGCACAGACAACTGCATAACCACATTAAAGAAGAGAAATGAAAGAAATACAAACCTGCTAATTTTAACCAATCCTCCCTGAGCTCCTGCTGTGGGTCTGGCACTGGATGGAAGATGAACACACAGCCTCCAAAAGTTTGCAGGATGGTGGGAAAGGATCTATACACAGGCACTGACACCCACATATGCCCTGCAGGAGTAGCCAAAAGAGGGACGGATAAAAGCCAGGGTGGGGCATGGGCTCTCCCGGGTCATGATGACGTCTAGGGGTGGTTTCTAGGATGAAGAGGAATTTGAAAGGTGAATAAAGGTAGCAGGGCATGGCAGGTGAATGAGCTGGCATGTGGCGGGCCGTGGAACAGTGCACTGCATTTGGGGCCTGGGTCTGATGTGGTGCGCTGGGTAGCAGTGAGGAGGTGAGGTGGCTGGAAGGGGCAGGTGAGGTGGCCTTAGAGTCTTGGCTTCATTATGTGGCCACTGAGCACTGAGAGTCCCAGAGGGTTTCCAGTGGGATTCAGTGAGATCAGCTCTGAGTTCTTGGCTGGAGGAAGGCAGCTCCTTAAGAAGCTCTTGCTGAACTTCCTGTGAGAGAGAAGGCAACACTTTCAGGGTGGTATCAGTTGGGTTAGTGGAGAGGAGCAGAGTGGCTTAGCTGGAGACATCAGCTGACCCTGGAAAGGAAGGTGGTTGGGCATGGGGTGAGGATGAGGGGAGGAGAGGAGGGCAAGGGGAGTCACATGTTTTACTTTTGATGTGGCTATCACCTCCCTGCACAAATGCTGATTGCTTCTGTTCTGGCTTTCCCACATTAAATCCCAAGCATCTTTCTCATATTGCTAAATAATCTTCTTAACTGCGATTTTTAATGGCAACAAAATATTGAGTTAAAAGTCTTATTATTGACTTATTATTCTCCTATTATTATTATTATTTGAGACAGAATCTTGCTCTGTCGCCCAGGCTGGAGTGCAGTGGCATGATCTCAGCTCACTGTAACCTCCACCTCCCAGGTTCAAGTGATTCTCCTTCCTTAGCCTCCCAAGTAGCTTGGACTACAGGCACATGCCATCGCACCTGGCTAATTTTTGTGTTTTTTTGAAGAGACAGGGTCTTACTATGTTGCCCACGCTGGTCTCAAATTCCTGAGCTCAAGCAATCCACCTGCCTCGGCTTCTCCATGTGCTGGGATTACAGGCATGAGTCACTATGCTCAGCCTATTTTCCTATTGTTAGTAGATATTTACATTATTTCAATTTTTGCTTTTATACACAGGGTTCTAATGTGCATATTTGGATTTTCCTTTCCTTTAGATTATTTCCTTAGGGACAACCTAAGGGTGTCAATACTGTCATGACTCTTTAATACATGTCGTCAAATTGTCTTTCAAAAGAGCTGTGCTGATTTGTAATGCCAACAATAGTCTGTGAGTGCACTCTTCTTGCTTTCTGGCATTGACAATCGCCAGGCTGTTTTTTCTAGATTGAATTCCTGTAAATATCAACAATGACTAAGAGACAGAGTGTGAGCGTTGTACTATCCTTGTGCTGAGCACTTTGCGTACGTCATCTCATCAGCCTTCTCAACAAGCCTGTGAGTAAGGAGCCGTTGTAATCCCCAAGTTAGACCTGGGAAACTGAAGCACAGAGAAATTGAGTCATTTGCTCAAGATCACATGGTTATTCAGTGGTGGGCTGGGGGGTGGAATTAAGGATGCTTCTTTGGGGAGCTCTGAGGAATCACCCACTTGTACTATCTTGCTATTTTTTTTTTTTGAGATGGAGTTTTGTTCTTGTTGCCCAGGCTAGAGTGCAATGGCGCAATCTTGGCTCACCACAACCTCTGCTTTCCAGGTTCAAGTGATTCTCCTGCCTCAGCCTCCCGAGTAGCTGGGATTACAGGCATGCACCACCACGTCCAGCTAATTTTGTATTTTTAGTAGAGATAGGGTTTCTCCATGTTGGTCAGTCTGGTCTTGAATTTCCGACCTCAGGTGATCTGCCTGCATTGGCCTCCCAAAGTGCTGGGATTATAGGCGTGAGCCACCGTGCCCAGCCTATCTTGCTATTTAAATGTCTGTTTTGGGGGCTTTGGATGATGTTGAGTATTTTCCTGTATGTTTGATACTTGTTATATTTCGTTGTTTCGTGACTTTTCTTTTTGTGTCCTTTGTAGTTTTCTATCTGCTGAACAGTTCACACCCCATCCCCACCCCAGTTTGGAGTGCCAGTGCATGATAGTGTAAGTTCAGGTGGTGAGTTCGTTGGGTCCAGGTGGTGGTCAGCACTGGTCTCCTGCCTTACTGATAGCCGTGGGGCATGCTGATCTTCCCTTAGCTGTGTCTCTTGACTGGGTTACTCCTCGGGAAGTTGGTTCTTTCTCTTCTGAGGAAGAGAGAGCTCCTTGTAGAATTGTCCTAGAAATATTCAGAAAGCTCAGGATGTACTATCACCAATGTAGTGCCAGGTAGCACCAGGTCAGAGCAGTGTCTGTAAATGATCGAGGGTGCTTTTGCTCCAGTGTCTTTGTACGGTGGCTGTTTCTTCTCTGCGTCACAGTGACCACACTTCTGTGGTACTCTTGTCTAGTTGTGCCCTGCCAGAAGCCTGGTCTGAGGCAGGGGAAGAAGGAGGAAGGCGTCCTTGATTTCCCTTGCTGAGTGTGTGTGTATGTATCTGTTTTTGCCTCTATCACATCCATCACATTAGACAAACTCATTTCTCTCCCATCAAATCTGAAGTAACCACCTTTAGATTAAACTGACCTAAAGAATCAAACCATGAAATGGAGCCATCGTGAGCCTGTGTTTGGAGTGGGAGTGAGATAATTATTTACAGAGATTGCTTCCTTGTTCTTTCACTGCTTTCTTGAGCCCTACTTTTGAGTGTTTGTCCTTTTCATTCAGTGTGAATATGAGTGGAGGTGGCTGGTGTTTTAATATGTCCCTGACAAAGCACTCATGTTTCAGGCTGGTAAAGACAGCATCTTAAGAGAAAAATTGTGTTTGGGTACACAGAAAGTCAAACTGTGGTTCATAGCATTTTGCAATATAAGATTTCCTCCATATTTTTTCTTTAGTAGATTTTTAAAATAATTATTCACTAATATCAGCTTATCTTAAAGCACTTACATCAAACATTAGAGAAGAGAATAAAATATTAATGAGTGAAAGTCTTTTTCCACCTTATCTTCTCCTGTGCAACAATTTGGCATTCAGACTTCTCTCTATGTAATTATATAAATAATTACCTAACATCAGGTATTGACTCAACACATATTGTACGCATCTACATTGTGTCTGCAGTTCCTTCCTCCCTCCCTCCCTCTCTTTCTTTCTTTGCTTAAAAATACGTGTCTCTTTCCACAATAAATCTATTGCATTTTTTTTTAAACAGCTGTGATCATACTTCATAGAAAACTTCATCTTCGCTTGTATTCTATATTCCTGGTAGAAGGCTCAGGTTTTTTGGGTTTGTTTTGTATAATTTTTTTTTTTTTGAGACAGAGTCTTGGTTTGTGCCCCAGGCTGGAGTGCAGTGGCGCAATCTCGGCTCACTGCAAGCTCCGCCTCCCAGGCTCATGCCATTCTCCTGCCTCAGCCTCCCGAGTAGCTGGGACTACAGGCGCCCGCCACCACGCCTGGCTAAATTTTTGTATTTTTAGTTGAGACAGGGTTTCACTCTGTTAGCCAGGATGGTCTCAATTTCCTGACCTTGTGATCCCCCCACCTCGGCCTCCCAAAGTGCTGGGATTACAGGCGTGAGCCACCGCGCCTGGCCTGGTACAAATTTGTATTGGTAAAAACTAGATAGAGAAGAAGTTAAGAAATAGCTATAAAAAGGGTAAGTTGTTTTTCAGCAATATTTGACAAAATTCAGCACCAATTCATAATTAAAACTCTCAGATAAATAGGAATAGAAGGGAATTTCCTCAACTTCATAAAGAACATCTACAAAAAACCTACAGGTAACATTATATTTAAAGATAAAATACTGAATACTTTCCCCCCTACAACTGGGAACAAGGCAAGGATGTCTGCTGTCATCATTCTTAATCAACACAGTTCTGGGGGTACTAGCCAGGGAAATAAGGCAAGGAAAGGAAATAAGAGGCATAAAGATCAGAAAAAAGACATAAAACTGACCCTATTTGCAGATTACATGATTTCTTACATAGAAAGCCCGAGGAACCTACACCCCCACACACTTACCTCCTAGAACTAATAATTGAGTTTCAGAAGGTTGTAGATAAACATACAAGAATTAATTGCATTTCCAAATATTAGCAATGAACACAAGTTAAAAATATAATTGCTCAAAAAATACATATAATGAACTCTAGCAAAACATGTATAGAATTTGCATGCTGAAAATTATATGATGATGAAAGAAACCAAAGAAGATTCAAAGAAATGGAGACACGTACCATGTTTATACATTGGAAGACTCCACATGATAAAGTTGTCAATTCTCCTCAGATTTAATGCAATTCCTATCAAAATCTCAGCAAGGTTTTATGTAAATATATCCAGGGTTATTCTAAAATTTATATGGGAGGGCAAAAGAATAGATAAACAATTCTGAAAAAGAAGAATAAAGTAGGTAGAATCAGTCTACCCAATTTCAAGATATATAGCTACAGAAATCAAGACTGTGTGGTACTGGCAGGAAGATCTACAAGTAGATCAATGGAGCAGATTAGGCATCCCAGAAATAGAACCAAACCAATTGCCCGTTGATTCTTTACAAAGGTGGAAGAGTGATTCAATGGAGGAAAGATGGCCTTTTCCACAAACAGTGCTGGAGTAATTGAACATCCACACATGAAAAAACAAGCCTTATACAAGTCTTACACCTTATATAAAAATGACTCAAAAGGGGTCACAGACTTAAATGTAAAATTTAAAACCATAAAACTTTTAGAAAAAAAAATAGAAACCAGCCTGAGCAACATAGTGAGACCTCCTGTCTAAATAAATAAATAAATACATAAAATCATCCAGGTGAGAATGGACACACCTGTGGTCCCAGCTACTTGGGAGGAGTTTGCGGCTTCAGTGAGTTATGATCATGCCACTGGACTTACCCTGGGTGACAGAGCAAGACTGTCTCACTAAAAAGGAGAAACTCTTTGAGGTATAGGGCTAGACAAAGAATTCTTAGACGTATCACTAAGGCATGATCCTTTAAAGAACAAACTAGTAGGCCGGGCGCGGTGGCTCACGCCTGTAATCCCAGCACTTTGGGAGGCCGAGGCGGGTGGATCATGAGGTCAGGAGATCGAGACCATCCTGGCTAACAAGGTGAAACCCCGTCTCTACTAAAAATACAAAAAATTAGCCGGGTGCGGTGGCGGGCGCCTGTAGTCCCAGCTACTCGGGAGGCTGAGGCAGGAGAATGGCATGAACCCGGGAAGCGGAGCTTGCAGTGAGCCGAGATTGCGCCACTGCAGTCCGCAGTCCGGCCTGGGCGACAGAGCGAGACTCCATCTCAAAAAAAAAAAAAAAAAAAAAGAACAAACTAGTAAGTTGGACTTCATCAAAATACTCTTTCCCTCTGTGAATACCTTGTTACAAGGATGAAATGACAAGTGCAGACTGGGAGAAAATATTTACAAATCACATATCTGACAAAGGACTAGTATGTAGAATATGTTAAGAGCTCTCAAAACTCAACAATAAAAGCTGAACAATCCAATTATAAAATGGGTAAAAGAGATTAAGAGCTATTTATCTGAAAAAGACATACAGATGGCAAATAAGCACATGAAAAGATGTTTAACATCACTAGCTATTAGGGAAATGTAAATTAAACCTACAGTGAGATATCACTACATACCTATCAGAATAGCTCAGATTTATAAAGTGATAGCGCCAAATGCTGGTGAGGATGTAGAAAAACAGCATCACTGGTACATTTCTGGTGAGATCATCAAGACTTTGGAAAACAGGTTAGCAGTTTCTTATAAAACTAAATATGCAACTGCCATATAACTGAGCAATTGTACTCCTGGGGATTTTCCCAGAGAAATGAAACATATTTTTTTCCACAAATACCTGAAAATGAATGTTTATACCAACTTTATTCATAACTCATAACTCAACTGGAAATAACCCAGATATCTTTCAACAGGTGAAAGGTTGAAAGATGCACTGTGGTGCATCTATACCATGGAACACTGCTCAGCAATACGAAGGAATAAACTATTGATACACACTGCAACCTCGATGAATCTCTAGACAATTATTCTAAGAAAGTCCAATCCTAAAGGTTACATCCTGCATGGTTACATTTACATAACATTCCTGAAATGACAAAATTATGGAAACGGAGAGCAGATTAGCGGCTGCCAGGGGCTAAGGAGTGGGCTGGGGAGGCAGGAAAGTAGGTGTGGCTACACACGGTCACCATGAGGGATGCTTGCGGGGATGGAGATGTCCTGTGGCTTGACTCTATCAGGGGAGTATCCTGCTTGTGATATTGTGCTAAGTTTGTGAGCTCTTACCATTGTGAGATACTGGATAAAGGGTACCCGGGATCTCTCTGTATTACTTCTCCATATAATTTCTTAGACCTGCATGCGAATCTACAATTATCTCAAAATAAACAGCCTGATTTAAAAAAACTGTTTATTTTCCCTGCAACAGATCTCCTGCACTCTTTTTAGCAGTTGCTGTTGTATTTCATGGACTGCCTCATGTACTTGGGTGGAGGATTTTTTTTACTTGTTTTGTGAATTTTTGGAGGGTAAGAATTTGATCGAGGAAAAGGTAGCTGAAAGCTAAGGAGAAAAAGTGTTTTCCTGTCTTTCTTTGAATACCTTTAAACTCTCTGTGGTCTTACATTGAAAAGCGATGTCTTGGGTTTTGACTCTTGACTGTGACAGGGCCTGGGGGTGAGAGGGGTCCACAAGCTGAGATGAGGTCTCTGAGCTGCTGTGACAGCCCATCAATGGGCTTGCACTTTCCTGTATTTAATGTCCCCAAATCCACCTTGGAAATACCCTAACGTTTTTGTTAACTGACCATGTTTGCGGGTGTCACATTTTTTTCCCTCTTAGTCCTTTCATGGTTCCTTTTCTTCTCTTTGTCCTCTTCCTCCTCTTCTGGCTGATTCTCCTCTGACTTAATAATCAATAGTGGTATTTAACACGTAATAAGAATCACTTAAGTGATTATTTACCACTGAATGTTCCAGAGTGTGAGGTGTTCTGGGATGTAAGGGATGCACAGAATCCACAGCCATTGTCATGATAATTTCTTTTAAGGGACTTCAGCTTTCTAGGAAAACACCGTGTGTGGTTTATTCATATTATCCGTTAGCCAACCCTTCATTATCAAGAGAAGCAAAGGAACTAGAGTGCATAATTCTTTTGTTTGAAACGTAAGCCTAAGAAAAATGTATTCATTGACAAGCTGTAAACAGCAGAGAGGAACTACCTGGAGTGAATTCAGCGGTTCCGGAGTCTTGGTTAGCAGCCCTGGGTGTGGGGCACACACACACAAGTAAGCAGCTCTGTCCTGCCATAGTCCCAGTTCACTGTGACAGATGATAGTCACTTAATAGAAATGACAAAGGTGACAGCCAATGTTCCTAAAGCCCATAACCATTGCCAGGTTCTTGCTCGAGAGCTTCCTGCCTGCTCTCTCCTGGTTTGAGTTCCCTCTCTGGAGAGGAGGTTGAGAGCAGAGGTGGTTCTCTGACCACCAAAGTCCCCAGCTTATGGGACTCCATCCCTGAAAAACACCCAGCAGAAGGGACCCAAGGTGATGTTGCTGCAGAGATGGCAACTCAGGACTCACAACTTTTCAAGTCTGGGTAAATGAGAGACAAAGCAAGTCCTTGTGAAGTGATCTCCATGCTTTTCAAGCAGGGTTGTAACTTTCAGTCCAAAAGGTAGTGCCTGGGTCAGGCTCTTTGTGGGGAGCAGTGAGGAATGGCAGCATAATGGGTCTTAGATTTTCAGTCATTTGGGGCCTAAAGAGTTAAAAGCCACCTGTTTCCTTAGGTTAAACAAGCACCGCCTAGGTTTCAATGTTAGTTCTGTGTTGATTTCCATTGATTTAACAACTTGTCTTTTACATCAGCTTTTGAAAATTTCAGATATGAATTACTGGGTTTCCAGCAAATCTGGAAAGAGCCTACATATTATATTTATCTCTTCCTTTTTATTTTTAACTTAAGTGTGGCTTTTTCTTTAATTTCTTTAGGTTTTTTTTTTAAATTTAATTCCAAGGGATCAAGGAATGGTAACATCATAAAGTAAGCTCCATAGTGAACATAAGTTGCTGCTTTTCCTCCTCTTCCCTGTCTTGTTGTATTTTTCCTCTTTTGGTGGAATGACAGAAAGGAACACAGAAAGGGGAGGGTGCTGCAGCCTGGTGAGGCTCCAAGGCTTGCCCTTGGCCTTGAGGAAGCTGGCTGCATCCTTGCTTGTCAGCAGCACTGTGCATCTAAGCAGAGTGCAGACACCTCTCCCTGCTGGTCTCCCGTGAGCACCAGGAGGCCTCATCTCCTCCAGACCTGCCAGTGGGCCTGAACTCGTGGTGATCATCATGGTGCCTGAAGCTGAGTATAGAACATTGAAATGACATTAAGAGGACATAAAATGTGAAAGGCTTCACTTTGGGCTGCGTCATCATTATCTGGCAGCTAATAAAAGCTTTGTCAGTACCACGCAGGTTGCTCAGTTCTTTCTGTACATCATCTCATTCAGTGCCTCTCAAACTTGACGCTTGTAGAACCAGCTGAAATGCCCAAGTTTGTGACTCAGTAGGTCTGGGTTTGGGCCTGATAATTTGCATTTCTCACAAGTTCCCAGGGGAGACTGATACTGCTGGTCCTCGTTTTTGAGGTCAAAGTTAATCGGCCTAAAACAACCCTGTGGAGTAGGTAACATTATCCTCATTTCACAATGAAGAAACAGGCTGGAAAGGTCGGGGTTTGGCCACAAAGCTCACTGTTACTTCCACCAGCATCTCTAAGCATCATTAGCTTATCAGCAGAAGTAGCAAGTACCTAAGAAAGTTGTAGAAGACATCCGTGGCAGAGACCCAGTGAGCTGTGGTGGGTGTGATAGGGTTTGAGAGTCAGGCCCATGGAATCAGTAAGATCTGGGGTGGTGCCTGGGGACGACCAGCCCTGGAGGGGGCTGTTGGGGGTAGTGTGCTGGTCTTGCTTGTTATCATGAGAGAGCGGTGCTAGAAGGAGACCTGGGAAGGGGTTACAGAAATCTGTCCTGTGGATCACTTTCTTCCAGTCCTCATGTCCTTGCTGCCAGCATCTCATGACCCTGTTTGAGTGGTATTCTGTGTGTCCATGGCTCTCTTTGAGTGGTATTCTGTGCCTGCCTGGCCCTGTTTGAGTGGTATTCTGTGTGTCCATGGCTCTCTTTGAGTGGTATTCTGTGCCTGCCTGGCCCTGTTTGGTATTCTGTGCATGCCAAGGCCCTGTTTGAGTGGTATTATGTGGGTGCCGTGGCCCTGTCTGAGTGGTATTCTGTGGGTGCCATGGCCCTGTTTGCATGGTATTCTGCCCATGTCATGCCTCTTCTTCCCTTCACGTTTCTTTTTCCATATTTTCTGTGAAAAGGGGACAGGAACAGTAAAACCATACAGAAGAAAAACAAATACCAATTTCTTTTAGTGTTTGTTTTGTGATGTACAATTCTTTAGGCCTTTGAAATGAAAAAAGGAAAAGTAAAGAAAAAGCTTCCCACAAGTATGGGAAAGGGAGGGAAGCCTTGGAAGAAATAGGCAGGCTCTTTCCAGATTTGTCGCCTATGCGTAGATTCAGATCTGCAGACCCGGGTATAAGCTTGGCAGCAGGCAGGGTGCAAGGCAGGTTGCAGGCGGGCGGCCTCCTCGCCAAATCCTGTTGACATGTTTTGTTTGGCTTGAATCGTATTTGAAAAATATTCAAATTAGTTTAAAACGTGGAAATTTTCATAATAAAAAACCCCATTATCCAGCTTTTGTTGAAGAATTGGGAGTGCTGGCATCAGGCTGCTGGTGGGTTGGTGGCCTCCTCTGTGAAAAGACCTGGCTCCTAGGTCATGGCCCCTCCAGCATGGGACAGGGGCCCTGGAGTGTGCCACTGTCCCAGGCCTAGAAAGTTCTGGACTTGGACTTGGAGCTGGGAGACTGGAGCCGGTGCTTCCTGGTCTCTCCTTTTCACCTGCTCTTGGCAGCCATGTGTGAGAGAGCACATCTTCACCATGAGGTCCAGGGTACCTTCAAAAGATCGGATTCCCAGTGACATAGGGACACAGGGACCCTTGGTCAAGTGGGCATTTGGGAAGTGGCGCTTAGTAGCAATCGTGAACATGTAAGGGAATCTCTTTGCTGCCTTCTAAGATAGTGTAAACCATTCCTTTCTTTAAAAAAATTATAATGTGTTTAAAAAATGTGTTTTTAAAAATTATTATTATTTTACAAGATCCATGAAATCTACGTGGTGCTTTATAGGGCGTATCTGGCTACAGCTGGTGTACTTCTGGGTGTTTTATGGCAAATTATTCTCAGATTACCCTTTAATGCAGGAAGGTCTGCCTGTTGTCTGAGCTCGCTGGGTCATATGGAAACCCCTCCAACTTGATGCAAAACAGCTGCCTCAGTCAGCTGTTCCAAAAAAGGAGCATTTTCAAGCTGAAGTGGCAGGAAAATTTTTGAAATGTTGAATTACTCTTTCCTTGCCATTAAAATGTGATTTAATTTTGATACTAACAAATTGTGTAAATCTAAAATGAAGTACTCAGAATGGAGTTTGTTTAGTGTGTTCTGGCAATACTTACAGTATGTCCTCAGTAGGGGGTGTTCCCCAGGGAGGGCAGCACAAAATCCCTCTGACCTCCGTGTCCCAGGACCTCAGCCTGGCTGGGCCAGGGTCAGGGGCCAACCCACGGGCCTCCCTCCCCTCTCTCTTCTGGATCCCTGCTGAGACCAGCAACAAAGGGGTCAATTGTCTGAGGCCTCCTTTTGTCTAAGGGGCTCCATGAGCCTCTCTGAATGCCAAAGTGTATCCATGCATGTGGATGAGTGTGTGTATGCACCTATATATGAGTGTGCATGTGTGCACATGCGGTGGTACACGTGTGTGCATGTATGTGTACTTGCATATGCATGCATGTATGCACATGTGAATAAACACATGCACACAAGCACTAAAAGACTGCATGTGTGCGTGTGCATGTCTGAATGTGGACGAGTGTATGTGTGTGTGCCTGCATGTGTGCACACGTGTGAATGTGCATATGTGCACTAGTGTGCATATGTGTGTGTGCAGTGTACATGTGCTGTGTGTGTGTGCGTGTGTGTGCGCACACACAGGCAGTGGTGAGACTTGCTTAAAGCGTTTCTGAGTTGCTGATGCATCAGAGCAGGGCGAGGGGCTTTGGAAAGGCCTGACTAGATGATGGAGGTTCCTAAGGCCTAGGAGGAAAAGCATCTCATCTCTCAGCAGATCACACAGTTGCCTCTACCTGGCATTTGCTATGGTACAGAAACCCCAGAGACTCTTCTACCTCCCCTGCTTTCTCTGTAGGAATGAGGAAGAGCAGGCATACATATGGAAGCTTCTTACACAGCTCATTTGCCTCATTGGTCTGTTCCAACCTGGGGTTTCAAGGGAAGACCCACAAGAACTTTTCTACACTGTTCCAGCCTTTGTTCAGGCCTTCCTCATTGGACCCAGTGTATTCTGTGTGACATTTCAGCCATGTTTCCAGAATGACTGTGAAATACCCTGTTCCCATCCACCCTGGAAGTGGGTTCCCACATAGCACGGAGGCTTTCCCCCCTCCCCAGTTGTCGTGTGCCCTTGCAGGTCCTGTTCATGCAGAGGCCTGCCAGGAGCCCTGGCTGCTGTGTCGTTTGGTTTGAGCCCTCCCTGTCCACTGGAGTTTCCTTGATTCACACCTTCTTCCTTAACAAGGTGTCCTTTTAAGAATGACAATAAAACATATTTTATTCAGAAGCCAGGAAAAGACTCATAAAAACACTTCATTGAAATTCACCTTTGTGAAAGATTCATCTCCCAGCCCCCTTTAACCAGCACAGCTGTCATGAACAACTTTTTCTGTGTTTTTTTTTTTTCTTCTTGTCCCTCCCACCCCATTTCCTCTCCCTACTCCAGCAAGGGCTTATCTTTCAACTGTGGAAAAGCCACCAATTAAACTGTACTCCAAAGCTTATCAAAATATTCAGTCAGTAAAATTATCTTATAATTAGCCTCACTGTAAGCCAGAACGTTTTAATCCCAGGAAATGTAAAGTTATCCGGCATGTGAAATCTGTAAATTGCTCATCCTGACCTTCTGTCTACAGTTTCTACTTTTATTTCTTTCCCAAAGTAATTTCTTCCTTGTTCTTCAAATTCTTGATTGTCTCTGAGGCATCTTCCTCTTCTGTTTGCTTAAGTTTCAAAGAAAATTTACTCCTAGTTGAGATAGAGAATTGAAAAATTCAGGTGATTGTGATGTGCAATCAACCTGATTTTATATATTTCATACCTTCACTTTGAACTGTTCTTTTTGCAAACGTAAGTCTCTGATTGCTGATGGCTTGCCCTCGTTGGTCCTGTACTTTGGATGCCTGCAGTGGTATGCATGGCTGAATTATTCTGGAACCAAGCTATTCAAACAGTATCTGGGGGATTCTGCAGGACGTCGAGCTGGGCAGTGGCGTTGGACTTTTTAATTTCAACCATTTCTCTTCTCATAGCTCTCCCTCCCCTTTCACCCTCCCACAGCCTGGGGATCCTCCTATCATCTTGCACCACCTGGGACAGCACCATGAATGTTACTTCCCCACCCCATCCTATTTGGACCAACATCAAGGGAACCATAAGTGATGTTTGGGGATCTTAAGCTTAAGGTGCAACTTAGACTTTGGCTACAGAAATGATATTCAGATGATGCTTAGGTTTGTTGTTGTTGTTGTTTGTTGTTGTTGTTGTTTTTGACGGAGTCTCACTCTGTCACCCAGGCTGGAGTGCGGTGGCGCAATCTCAGCTCACTGCAAGCTCCACCTCCCCAGGTTCAA
Source organism: Homo sapiens (assembly GCF_000001405.40). NCBI lineage: Eukaryota > Metazoa > Chordata > Mammalia > Primates > Hominidae > Homo > Homo sapiens. The sequence goes on from NC_000002.12 coordinate 110,840,092, forward strand.
TCGATTCTCCTGCCTCAGCCTCCTGAGTAGCCGGGATTACAGGTGCCCGCCACCGCACCTGGCTAATTTTTTGTATTTTAGTAGAAATGGGGTTTCACCATCTTGGCCAGGCTGGTCTTGATCTCCTGACCTCGTGAATGGGCTAGTGAAACTTACATAGGCATGTTTGACCTGGTCATCACTTGTTGTATGATGAAATATTTTCAAAGTTCCCAGAACTCATTGAAAAATTAAATTTTGGAATGTACTAACATTTCAATAAATGGAGTATTGCCTGTATATAGTGCTATTAGTGGTAGTTATTATTTATAGAATTTTTCCTATCACACAATAGGCACACGCATACACACACAGAGATAAGAACACACAAATACATAAAAATTGCTTCATCCTTACATTAATTCTGTGAGAAAGTAATAAATTTGCCCATTTTACAGTTGGGAAAATTAAGGCTCTGACAGTTTCAATAACTTGCTGATGCAGCTGAACTTGACTGGCTGGCCTGACCCTTGTAATCCCTTCTGTGAACTAGCCAGGGCCCCTGTCATATGATTTGACCCCCACTTATGCCTGAGAGATTTCCTCATCATCCCTGCAGAGTAAAGAGGAAATCACAGCTTCACCTCAACCTCCACTTGTTGCTGTGCCCAGCAATTGCATGCACCATATCTTGATGTCACACATGAATTTCAGGCTTGATTTATTTGCTGACCTCAGAGCTCAGAGCTGAGGCTTGCCCGCCTTGAGCTTATGGGATCAGTGTGAAGGCTGTGATGATCCGCATAGGGAGACTCTGGCCCAGGTGGCCTGGGCTCCACTTGGTGCTCCTAGGGTAGGAGATAGAGGGGGGACCAGCTCCCAGGATCCCACCATGTGTGGGCGTGTTCTCCTAATGCCAACCTTGGAATCAGCTACATGCGTGTTCTCCTAATGCCAACCTTGGAATCAGCTACATGCTGCAATCCCATCCTTTCACAACTGTGTCTTGGAGCTAAAAGACCCCTATTTTGGAAGCCATTCCTATTGAGAGACACCTCCTGTCTAATCCACAACTAAATATTTTACGCCTCTGTAAGACTCTTTCAAAATACAAATTATCTGTAAGAGCTAAGTTGAAACTAAATATCTGTCATTAAAATGTGTTATTTTTGAAGCATTAGCTGTAGGGCATTTTAGAAAATCTTTAAAACGTAATTGGCCGTATCAAGTTAATTTTCTTGTGTGAATTCTGCATACTCTTGATATTACTTAATTTGTTTTTCTCTCTTTTTAATTACAGCTTGGGTTGACGATAGCCATTCGCTATAGCCACAGGTAAATGTTTACATTTTTGTTTCTTTTAAGAATTATCCTTACCAGTTTATAGCTCTTGGTTTGCTTATGTCTCAGATTTTGAGCTTTTTTTTGGTGGTTGCTTTCCTGTGATGTCCGTGTCGCAGATGGAATTGTTCTAGTTGCTTGATTGGCAAGAGCACATTGCTATTTAGAGGAACGAGGTCTTTGTGAAAACATGGTGGTAGATAGCACATTTATTTCAAAACAAACAAAAAAAGGGATATTCTAGGGCATGACACAGAAGCACTATCTGGGTAATGTTCTCACTCTTAAAGAGTGCCTGAAAACGGGGATGCCCTGCATGAGAGGTGAGTCCCAGCAGAGAGAAACCCAGCAAGGGCTTGTCTGTGAAGCCCTTGCCACCTTCCATGCCAGGCCTCTCTCTCTGTGTCTTAGGATGCCTGACAGTGGCAAAAAGCCCTATTTTTGTCTTGCTTCATGATTTCTGTCTTGGTCTCTACTGTATTACACTTGTGAAAAATGTTTGTTTCTTGTGTTGATATCAACATTTTCCCCTTTGCATGTGTCAAAATGCGTTGAGATGTTAAAGTAAGATCCAGCTCCAGTGGAGGGGTAATAAGCAGTCCTGTCCTTACAAAAACTGTGCTCACAGCCTCCCAAAGTGCCACCCTGTGGTCATAGGCTTCGGGCTTGGGGATGTCTGCTCAGCTGCCCACAGACAACCTAAAGTCACCTGATTTCGAAAGAAGTTTGCCTCCTAAAAATGCTCATAACAAGTGTATACATGGTTTCAATATACACGTGAATTGGGCAATCATAGGCAATACCTGAGAGCTAGAAAGCTGGGGGGGAGCCATGTAGGTTACAGCAGGAAGAGGGCAGGAGAGGACTCAAGCCCTTGGAATGAGCCTGTGGGAAGAAAGGTTCTCATGTGGGACATTTCTGGAGACCTATGAAAGAAACTGCTCCAGAGAGGCTCAAGATCATGGAGGGGAAAGAAATACATTTTCCTGGCCCATTGCTAGGTGCATGGCTGAGTCTCCATACAAAAGACAGATTAACTAGAGAAAGCATGCACATTTATTTAATATAAGTTTTATATAACATGGGAGCTCTCACAAGGAAATAAAGACCCAAAGTAACAGAGAAACCTGTATGTTTTTAATGTTAGTTTGATGGAGAAGTGCACAGTTGTAGAGATGGATAATTGGACAAAGAGGGTATGATCTAATGGTGATAAACTGGGTGGGGGATTGGGGACTTAACAAACTTAGCCTGTTTGTTCAGATTCTGTGGTCCTGTGTCTTCAGAGATAAGTATGTTTCTTTTCTCTGGGTATATGGAGGCTACCTCTCAAATGAGAATTTTATGGCCTGTATCAGGGGCGGAGGGGAAGGGGAAGGTGAGAGTGACCTTCCTGCTTCTGCTGTTTTCTCAAATGCCAAGGTGCCGTTTTTTAGTGTATTGTGTCCTGAACCCCATCAATTGTTTGTATGTTTCCGGTCCTATGAGTGCATGATGCATGCCCACGACAAAAGTGTGGTGTCCTGCAGACGGGTGCTCTTCCCTTGTAACCCCAGCCAGGCTGCTGCAGCTGCTGAGGCACACAGCTATGGCACACTTAGGAAGAAGCATGGTGCGCACACGGACCCCTAACCCTAAAACCAACTGTGTGGTATGGTGGGGTGCGGTGGGTATGGAAGTGCTCTCTCCAGAACTTGCAGGAGCCTCTTTTTCTAGAATGTTCTCAAGGTGGACTGCTCCAGAATGAGGACAGCTAAGATCTTGCTCTAGTTCAGTGACAAGCTTGCCCTTCCCCATGATGTCTCACTATGTTGCAAGGGCTGGTTTTGAACTCCTAGACTCAAGCAGTGCTTCTGCCTTGGCCTCCCAAATTGCTGGGATTACAGGAGTGAGCCACCATGCCTGGCCAATGTAGGCTTCTAAGAGGAAGGAAATCTTAAACCATCCTCATTCCTCCAAACTGTGAAAGTGGCAGGGAAGCCCAGCTGACTCAGGCAGATGCCCCTGGTAGGCTGATAACATGGGTCTCTCAGAACAAATAGTCTTTAAATTGCTGTCTGGCATTGCTGTGGAGGAGAGGCAGAGTTTGGGGAGAGTGTGGAGGTGTGGGGTGGATCCTGGCGGCTTCAGATTGCTTCTGTAGTTCTACTAGTTCAGCCTTGACCCCAAACTTAGAACCTACTCCTCAAACAAGCCCTGCAGAGAGTTGGACAAAATGCAAGGAGGAAGTTAGCAGCTGTCTGTTGTACATGAGCTTGCCTCTTTAGGCTCCAGCCCCCACGTTCTGTGCTCTGCTCTCCCCAGGAGACATCCTAGCACATGTGGTTTCCCCCTGCTGTGTTTCCAGAGATGTTTGTCTCCAGGCTGTCCTTATAACCTTTAAGGTGTTAAGTGCAGAGCAATTAACAAATATCATGGATATTTACATAAGTGCAACAATAAACAAACAAAAATCTCAGTAAGTGGGAGAAGTGACAACTGAAAGTGATGAGATTGAGGGAAGGAAAGTGAAGACATCTCCTGAGGCTGCCTTGCAAGGTCCAAGGTCCTTCACCATCGACCTTGGGATCTGGGGACCAGGGAGCGAGTGGTAGCCCAGTGAAGCCGGTATTCACAAAAGGCTGCCTGCAGCAGCTGGTGTCATCTGTAGAGGAGTCTGAAGACTTTGGGAGCAGAAAGAATGGTTAGAAAGTGATTGCAGTAACTCAGAGACAGCATGAGGGCTTTCTAGGCTTGGCTGGGCCTCTCACAAAATATGAATGTCTGATTCACACAAGCCAAGCTGGGAAGACTTACCGAGGAGCATGTGACCTGCTCACGGACTGACATCTTCAATACTGTGGAAACGGAGAAGGGATGATCAAAGGGTTGTGTTTTCCAAAAATTACTTCTGAAATCTAAGGAATTCTGATTTTAACATTCTGGAAAGTACAACAACATTTGTAAATTTGTGCTGGGGACAAACCTACCTTCTGGGAAATCCCCATTTTCCCAGAATTGATGACACTTCACGAGGTGTCTCTGAAGAGCTGTTTGCAGGTCAGGGCTTTTCTTCCCCTCGGCCACAGGAGGACCTGATCTTTTCTCTTAGAAGCCTGCAGGTCACCCTTTGACTCTTCTTTTTTTTTCTTTTCTTTTCTTTTTTTTTTTTTTTGAGACAGAGTCTTGCTCTGTCATCCAGGCTGGAATGCAGTGGCATGATCTTGGCTCACTGTAACCTCTGCCACCTAGGTTCAAGCAATTCTCATACCTCAGCCTCCCGAATAGCTGGGATTACAGGCACCTGCCATCACGCCCAGCTAATTTTTTATTTTTAGTAGAGACAGGGTTTCACCATGTTGGCCAGGCTGGTCTCGAACTCCTGACCTCAAGGGATCCGCCCACTTTTGCCTCCCAAAGTGCTGGGATTACAGGTGTGAGCCACCACGCCCGGCCACCGTGACTCTTCTGCTCCCTCTTACACCTAGCCTGGCCACCTACCTCTCCCCTCATCCAGCAGGAGGAAGATGAGGGATGTAGGTTTCTGGTTGAGTTCCCTCTTTAAAAATCCTATTTGCTTGTTTGGATTGGCTGAAACTTCTATCCTTTAGTCGATTACTTTTTTCCTGTGTGGTGAAATATGCCTAACATAAAATCAGCCATTTGTTTTAGTCTGTTTGTGCTGCTATAACAAAATACCATAGACTGGGTACTTTATAAAGAACAGAAATTTATTTTCTCACAGTCCTGGGAGGGCCAAGATGAAGGCGCCAGCAGGTTCAGTTGTCTGGTGAGGGCCTGGTCTCTGCTTCCAAGATGGTGCCTTGTTGCTGCAGCCATGGGCAGGGAGGAGTGCTGTGTTGTCACGTGGCAGAAGGGAGAGGAGCAAGAGGGGAAGGCTTCATGAAGCCTCTTTATAAGGGTCTTCTTCTCATTCGTGAGGGAGGAGCCCTCATGGCTTAATCACCTTTTAAAGGCCCCACCTCTTAATATCATCACGTTGGCCGTTAAGTTTCAACACCTGAATTTTTGAGGGAACACATGCAAACCCTAGCACCATTTTAACCATTTTTAAGTGTATAGTTTAGTGGCATTAAATACATTCCCACTGCTGTGCAATCAACACCACTGTCCATCTCCAGAGCGTTTTCAACATTGCAAACTGTAACTCCATACCCATTAAACAATACATTTCCTTCCTCAACTCCTCTTCACTTCCTGACAACCACCATTTTACTTTTTGTCTCTATAAATTTGACTATTCTAGGGACTTTATATTAGTGGAATAATACAGCATTTGCCTTTTCGTGACTACCTTATTTAACTTAGCATAATTCTTCAAGATTCATGCATATTGTAGAATGTACCAGAATTTCATTCCCTTCTGTGGGATAATATTCCATAGCATGTATAGGCCACGTTCTGTTTCTCCATTCATCCATCAGTAGACACTTGGGTCGCTTCCACCTCTTCGCCACTGTGAATAATGCTGCTATGAATTTGGATGTACAAATATCTCTTTGACACCCTGCTTTCAATTCTTTTGGGTACATGCCCAGAAGTGGAATTCCTGAATCCTATGGTAACTCTAAGTTTAAGTTTTTGAGGAGGGGCCATACTGTTTTCCTATCGATTACCATTTTCCTTGTCATGTTGACCCCAAACCCAGATGCCAGAGTTGAGGGAAGGGGTCCTCTTTGTGTGGGTAGGGATACCTTTGGCATCAAGATTTGAGACTTTAGATTCTAAATCTAAGACCAGATTTGGAATTTGGAAGCAGATCAGATCTGCTTCCAAAATTCTAACATGGGCGTCAGGACCAAGAGAGATGGTGGGGAAAGCCCCAGCAGACTCCTTTAGTAGACAGAAGAGGGGATGAAGGAAAGGGGGACAGGAAAACGTGGTTCCAAAATGACAATACTGGGAGGATGGGTTCACTCTTGAAGAAGAATGGATTTGGGGACCTTAAAGGCGATGAATGTGCAGAGGAGGGAAAGAAGTCACTAAAATCCTGTACCCTTGGCCAGCCAGCAGTGCCTCTCAGGCTGCTGCAGACACAGAGGGGGCAGGATTGCCTCAGAGCCGGAGGGGCTCTTGTGTGGCAACAGAGGACTTGAGGCCCAAAGGAGGCCTGATTTTGTTTGCATGCATATGCAGTGGTGCTTCAGCTGTTAGCTCTCCTTTATTCAAATGAACAGCGTTCAGGGTGAGACCATCCTCCCGCATGTGAGCATGCAAGTATGCATACACGCACACACACACACACACACACACACACACACACAGTGTAACACATGCCCACCCCAACCACTTCCACTGCTGACCCCAGACACCTCTAACTCTTGCTAGACCAGTTATTCCAGATCTGTCTGTGGTATAGAGGGGTGTGTGTGTGTTGGGGGGGGTGTATGTGTTTGTGTGTGTCTTCATATGAGCATGTGGGTAGGGAGCTGAGGGGTCAGGAAGCAGAGAAAGAATCATCATATTTCGATGGTGTAAATGTACCAAGCAAGGAGAGCCTCTGCCATGACTGCCTGCGCGCTTAACAACAGGTCCTGCTCATGTTTCGTTTATTATCATGGCGCTTTAATTTATTTTTGTAAAGTCAAGCCATTTTCACAGAGTGGAAAATTGTCTCTTGATGTTCATTCCCCACTGTTTGGCTTGAGGTTTTTGGGTGGAATCCACACAGTGGTGACAGCTGGGTAACCCCCAGAAGTGCCCTTTGCAGATAACAGCTCTCGGGGCCCCATCACCCACACAGTGGGGAACAATTTCCCCACTGTGTGGGTGTTTTGTTTTTTTCTCTTTCTGCAAGATTGAAAGAGAGTTTAGATGTTCTTCCTGCCTGACGCAGTGCAGCAGAGTGAAGAAGGCTGCTCCCTCCTGGTGAGTGCCCCTGGGCCAAGATAAAAGAGGAAACAGGCTCAGAGGTGAGCATCACCCCTTTGGCTCTCACTTGTCTGATACTGGAGAGAACACGTGAACTAATGCGTGGAATCTGTGCACATGTCACTTATGCTTGTATTTCTAAGAAGAGCTCGTGAAAGTGGAGGATGAGAGCAGTGAACTAATTCCTAACACAACGATTTTGCTTTGTTTTTTCATTAGTTATGTTTCTTTAATAAACGAAGAAGGAAGCAAATTTTCCATTTGGTTCTGTGATAGTTAAATGGAGGTCCACAGAGTTGTGACTCTTAAGCAAAGTCTAAATGCAGTTCTTTCCCACAACTGACTTCTTTCTATTGGCTTCTCACCTAAGAAAGGCTAAATCTGGCATCCTGTTCAGGCCTGTGCCCAAACCTAATATGGGAGTTATAGTCACCGGCCCCGTAAGAGGCCCTGGCACCCCTCGAGGGCTGGACGGGGAAAGAGAGAGTTGGGGAACCTGCGTGTGATCGAACTGCTCACAGTGTGACCGTCCTGAGCTAGACTATTGGAGGCCTGCCTTTACAACAAAGTACAGACCCGGGGTGATTAAGCACTCATTCTGAGACTGTGCTCGTGTTTTTGTTTAGAATGAGCCCAGATGGCCTAGAAGAAGTGAAGGGGTTGTGTACTTTTGTGTTCTGATTTAGATTAGAAGCAGAGTTTGAAGTTCATAGATGAATCAGAATGCTTATTGAATGAAAAAGCAGCATCAATGAGCAAATGAAATTGCCATCTTGAAATACAAAAGGGAGGAAAAGACCAGAACCACAGCCATCAGGCCTATTGGATTTTGATTTCAAGTGTTGGCAAATACCTAGCAACTCCCATTTGGGGCTGGTTTGATCTTGTGGAGACAGCTGAGGAGACCGTTTTCCTCCAAATTTTGTAAAAATAAACAAAAATGCCTTTCTGCCCTTTTTTCCCCTTCCAGGGAATAGTTGTTTCTGTCACTGAGGCTCTCTGGTAGACTGTTCCATCTGTCTCTTTTTCAGACTTCACAGTGAGGCTCCAACCAGATATACACAGGGTTGCCAAGAAATTATTCAACCCCAATGGTATAATCTTAAAACAAAGCCATCTTTTGGATGGTTGCGTTTTTGATGGCCTTAACACAAAATATTGCCCCTAAATGGCAGCCTATGAATATTCACGGAGTGCCCAAGTCATATGCTTTTCCTTAGTGAGACTCTTGAGGGCCGAGGGTGGTTGTCAGCATCTCATGGCAGAGCGTGGCATGGGGCTGTGGATTTGCTAGGAGAAGGGTAAATGCCCTTCGGGGTCCAGAGGTTAATGTAGCAGATGGATGTGTCTTTTCTGTGCCTCTCCTATACCCCTTTAGTCCCCTGTCTCCTTTGGGTTGGTGGCCTTGTGCTTTTGGTGCCTTCTGCTCTGACCACGTGACCATTTCCCAGTCAAACCTGCTCATGACATGTATGCTGCCACACCTACACAGTGGTCTCCGGGGAGCCTTCTGCCTGCTGACCAGTGACCAGAGGATCTTTCGCAAACACAGATCTGACCACGCCCCTCCCACTAAGAAGGCCCCTTGGGCTTCCCCGTGTAGACAGCAGAATCCTGACCTTTAGCACGGGATTCAGACCTCACTCCTCACGCTGCTGTCTCCTCACGCTGAGCTTCCTGCCACATCCACCCCTTGCTTTTGCTATTTCCCATGGAGGATTAACTTCCCTTGTCTCTCGCCGACCAGTGAACTCACCCTCCAACAGCCCCCCTTTATCGTCTCCTTTTCAGATCTATCAAGGAACCATGCTCCATGCTCTTTTCTGTTGTTGGGTCTCAGGGCAGCTTCTCAGGTCAGAGCCTAGCTCTATTTCTTCTCCTTCCTGTCTGCCTCAGGCAACAGGTGGGAAAGGCAGGCGGCATCCCTGTTCCCTCCACAAGTGCCCCTCTATGTCCTTACAGCCAAGGCCATTTAACAAAGCCCTACTGTGTCCACAGGTCTGGGAGGAACTGGTTAGTCTTTCTTGAATGATATCCCCCTGGAAAATGACCCCTCCCTTACTTTCAAAGACTAAGACATCCACATGAAATTGATCAGGAGATTCAACACAGCTCAAATTAAAATCCCAGTAAGATTTTGTGTAGAAATTGGCAAGATAATTCAAAAAATTTTATGGAAAGGCAAAAGACCTAGGCTGCGTGCCGTGGTTCACGCCTGTAATCCCAGCACTTTGGGAGGCTGAGGCAGGTGGATCACCTGAGGTCGGGAGTTCGAGACCAGCCTGGCCAACATGGTGAAACCTTGTCTCTACTAAAAGTACAAAAATTAGCCAGGCGTGGTGGCACGTGCTTGTAATCCCAGCTACTCAAGAGGCTGAGGCAGGAGAATTGCTTGAACCCGGGAGGTGGAGGTTGCAGTGAGCCGCGATTGCACTACTGCACTCCAGACTGGGTGACAGAGTGAGAAAAACAAACAAACAAACAAACAAACAAACAAAAAACAGAACTAGACCAGCCAAGCAATTTTGAAAAAGAACAGAGCTGGAAGACTTCCAGTACCTCATTTTCAGAATCGCTGTAAAGCTGCAGTAATCAAGAGCAGACTATAGGACATGTAGGCAAAAGGACAGACTTGTAGTCCAATGGGACATAGGAAGAAGTCAGGAGCAGACCCCACATGAATGATCAATGGATTTTCAACAAAGGCGCCAAAATGATTCAGTGGAGAAAGGATAATCTTTTAAATAAATGGAGCAATTGGACATCCATATAAAAATTCAAAAACCAAGAAAAACCCATACCACATACCTTGTAGCATGTACAAGCAACAAAGATGGATCATGAACCTAAATGTAAAGCCTAAAACCGTAAACCTTCTGGAAGAAAACATAGAAGAAAATCTTTGTGGTCTTGGCTTAGAGAAAACTTTCTTCAGACACAGAAAGTATGAACTGTCAAGGAAAAAGTTGGCAAAAATGGATTTTATCAAAATTAAAAACAGCTGCTCTTTGAAAAACACTGCAAAGAAATAAAAAGACAAGCCACACATGGGGACAAAATATTTGTAAAACACATATCTGATAAAGAAGTTGTATCCAGAGTATGTAGAACTCTTACAGCCCCTTCACAAGAAAATGAAACAACTCAATGTAATAAATGGGCAAAAAATACTCGAACTGATTATTCACCAAACAAGATGCATAGATGGCAAATAAGACCATGAAGGGATGCTCACCCTCATTAGTCATTAAGGAAATGCAAATTAAGGTAGAATGAGATACCATTACATATATGTTAGGATGGCTTAAAACTTCAATACCATCAAATTGACCCTCATCAAAACTTCCCAACACAAACACAAACAAAAAAACCACGCTGATAATATGAAGTGATGATGAGGATGTGGAGAAACTGCAACTCTGATACATTGCTGGTGGAAGGCGAAATGGTACGGCCACTTTGGAAAAACACTTTGGAAGTTTCTTATGATGTTAAACATACCTTTACCATAGACCCAGAGATTACACTCCCGGATACTTAAAGGAGAGAAATGAAAACGTTAGTGCACACCAAGACGTGTATGCATGGCTTCTCCATTCATAATAGCCTCAAACTGAAGACAATTCCAAATGTCCTTCCATTGGGAAGTGGGTAAACAGACTGTGTCACTTCCATACAGTGAGATACTACTCAGCAATAAAAAGACATTCTGCTGAGTGGAAAAAGCCAGACTCAAAAGTGCCCTTACTGTGTGATTCTTTTTGCATGACATTCTGGAAAAGAGCAAACTATAGGGAAGAAAGCAGACCCGTACTCACCAGGTGGGTGGAGGAGTTGACTAGAAAGCAAAGTGAGGGATTTTTGGGGGTTGACGGACAGATTCTAAATCTTGATTGTGGTGGTGACACGACTGTATATATTTTCCAAAATTCATAGTACTGTGACACCTAAATCAGGTGAATTTTATTGTAATTAAATTATGCTCAGTGAACTTGAATTAAAGAGAGTTAAGATAGGGGAGTCTCTGGATCACTTTTTTGAGGTGAGAACACTGTGTCTGAGGCCGTGTTGACACTTTTTCCAAGTGCTTCTGGGTATGGTTTGAGGGGGTTCTTTATGTGGAATTACTTGTTTTACGTGCCCAGGGTGAGGCCTTTGAGTTCACATTGAGCCACATTGTCATTTTCAATGAAGGCAGGTTGCAAGCTGTGTGACTGCACTCAGTTTAGCCCATTCCTCTTTCTAAGGCGTTCCACGACAACACAGGTGCAGTCAGGTCTTCCATCAGCTCTGGACGCCCTAGACTGTGTGGTGCTTCAGTGAGGCCCTCGTGGTGGGGTGGTGCAGCCCGAGGCACCACCTTGTTTTTCACTGCAAGGTGGCTGCAGAGCAGAACCAGTGCTCTGGTCTGTGGTCCTGAGAGCCCTCAGGGCGCTGGGATGACATCCCTCCGTGAAATACAGGTGCCTGAGGCCATGTTCCTGAAGGCATTGCTCATCTCAACCACCTGGAAAACTCTCTGGTCCGCGGGCCTCTCCCAGAGATCCGGGAAATGGGGGGCAGCTGTTTCCAGACCTCACCAGTGAGAAAGGCGCTCCATGTTCTGTCCTGGCCGCAGAGGTGAACATAGCCGGGGTCACTCCAGCTCCCACTGGGTTGAATGTCGCTGAGTGCAGGGCAGAGAGCAGGACGGAGAGAGAATGAGCTTGGAGGAAGCCCCCAGCATATTTCCTGGATTACTGAGAGGAGCTGCCCTTCTGCCAGGGCCAGGGGAGGCCAGCTCTGTCAGTGGGAGACCCCTATGGACGACTGTCCAGGCTGGTGTTTGTGGCAGGTCTGCTGGGTGTGGGGAGGCACAGGGTTAACTACTGCAGGGCTAGAGCCCATTGCTGACTTCTGTATATTCCCTTGACTGGCACCGTGTCGCCCTGGCCTGGTGGATCGCTTGACAGTAAGCCTGAGGCTGGTGCCTACCCATTTCATGGCGTGGTGGAGGGGGGCTACCAAGGTCTTGCTCGTATTTCTGTTGAGAGGGACACCGGGGAGCTCTCTGGTCAGGCTGCGCGTGGGGGCCCTGGCTCCCTGGCTCATATTCTGTGGCCTGACCTGCAAGCCCAGCTTCAGGCTCTCGACTTCCTCCTGAAGGGCGTTTCTCAAGTTTGAATGAACGGCTTAAATTGGCAAGACGTAATCCAGGGCTCTGTTAAACTAGCCACAGAGAGTTCTAAATCTGCCTCCCTCAGTCACCAAGATGCTGCATTTATAGGCAATTTTTGCTGTATGAATCACATTTTGGCCTCTTATGTGGCTCAAACTACTTACAAATCAAGAACATTCTATAGCCTCTACATCACATGGGGGACTGGGCCTGTAGGGGTGCTGGGACATCCCCTGGAGGGGCAGCACAAACCCTGTTCGCTGTGGCCAATGCAGAAGGAGTTGTGATGAGGCAGCTTTTTTTTCTTTTTCCTGAGGTGGTTTGTCACTCAGATTCTGCTTCCTGTTGAGGTTGGTAGAGCCTCAAGTGCCATGCAGAGAAGTCCACCTATAAACTGCCATTCCCTGGTCTTTCATGAGGCAGACTTGACTGCTCGTCCAAGTGCTCTATTCTGTTGTATAAGGCAATCTCCACCCTCATTAGAGCCCATGGTGGGTGAAGATGGTATGTGGGTGCTTGGAGCGGAAGGAGAGTCACATTTATACACTCACATGTCAGCAGCCGTGGGTCCATACAATGTTCCTCCTCCAGAGAACAAGCTTCTTTGTCTGCATCCCCTCCACTGCCAGCATGTGCTGGGTCCAGAGTGCCGGGCCTCGGGCGGGGTGGTCCATCTTGGTGGCTGTTTACTTAATCTCCTCCTCCTATACCTGTGGTTCTAAACTATGGTGATTTTGCCTCCAGAGACATTCAGTGACATTTTTGGTTGTCCAAACTTGGGGAGGTTACTACTGACTGGCAGCTACGGTGGAGAGGCCAGGGATGCTGTTAACCATCCCAAAATGCTTGGTTCGGCTGCTCACAACAAAGAATTATCTGGCCCAAAATGGGAAAAGTGCCTGGGTAGAGAAACTGCCCTCGACTGAGAGCTCCTGACGGTAAGCACAGTGTTGATTCCTCTTTCCATCTTCAGAGCCTGGCAGGTATCATGTGCTCAGTTGGCATAGGCTGAATCAAATCTGTGATTAAAAGGCTCACATGCATGTTGGTTTTTGTGTTGATAAAATACTTTCAATATTCCGTGATAATTTTTGTTCTATTTGTTTGTTTGTTTGTCTAAGCATAGAAATTAAATCAGCTTTCAATTAGTCATACTAATGGGTGGGAGAGAAGAGTAGTCCCTCCAAAACGGAAGATCCCCCAGAATCCACTTTTACGGTTGTCTGTGCAATGATACAGAGACACAAATGCACAGTAGGACTCACTGTTGCCCTCTAGAGCCAGCCCGAGGCCCTTTCTTGTTTGGTTTACAGGCATGGGGGAAGGCCCTGCCTTGTTGATAATCTACAAAGTGCAACAGATAATTGGAAAGGAACTAATTATTTTACCTTGACTGTACTATTCCCCATCTTCCTCTCTCCTCTCCTTTTTTTTAATCTTAAAAGGAAAACGAAGTGAAATCTAGGACACTTGTTTTTTTTTTTTTTTTAATTTCAATTGAATATAGATTAATTTGTTCATTCAACAGATACTTACTGAGCTTCTTCCATGGACTAAATGAGGGTAAAAGCACACCATGTCTGCCTTTGGTGACCCTGGTGGGAGTACTATCACAACCTAAGGGTGATAAAGGAAGCACTCGATGCTCCAAGGCATGTGTGTGCATGTCTGTGTGCGTGTGCATGTGTGTGTGTGTCTGTTTGCATGTGTGGGGAGGGTGTGCCCTGCCCTTCAGGCTGTGCAGCATGGGCTGGCAGCAACTTCTGAGGGGAAGAAGAGAGGGGGAAGAAGAGATTTGCAGGCACACAGTGGGTAGAGGATATGATTAGCATTGTTGGTACAATTTCCAGGCATCTTCTGCCTGTACCTCTTTGTGATCGTCCAGGCAGAACCTACCACATCTCCATGAAGGAGGCAGGATGTGGAGGTTCCACACCAGGTGGACTTGGGGATTCAAACTCAGGCCTCTGACTCCCAGCAGAAGACTTTTCCCCAAAGTGTGTCACCAACACCACCCAGGGTGCTGGGATGGTTCCCTAGGGCTCAGAGCCTTGATTCAGCCCCAGCCCCCAAGGAGGGTGTTTGTTTGCTCTCCACCAGCAGGGGGATAAAGTGCTGTTTGGAGAGTGTCAGGGCTGGAAGGGCAGGCCATGCTCATGGAAAATTTCCCTATTTAAGTAATGACTGAGTAGGTTTATGGAAGAGCATTAAGGAGACTTCAGGTGCAGGGATGATGTGGCAGAGGCCATTGAGGGCCACCACCTGGCAGAGATCTGGAAAGCTCTTGCTTAACCCAAGGGAGAGGTGGCCCTTCTCAAGCAGAGGGACCAGTTTCTATTTTCTCCCTTGAAAACAAGAAGGAGACAGTGGCCCCTGTCCTCTGGCATGGGGTCAAGGATGCAGAGATTACTGCTCTGCTCAGCCTAGCACCCCACCTCCACCTTCCCTGGAATCTGTCCCACCTGATGGCCAGCAGATGGCCCTGGGGAGGAAGCTACCAACTCTTGCTTTAAGAAACTGTCCCAGTTGAGAGAATTGACCTACCCCATGGGACTTGTCTTGTTTGAAAGGAAACCTTTGAGAGTCTTCTTTTAAATCACATGTCTTCTGTGATGAGTGTAGGTAGGAAAAAAGGAAACATTAGGTGTTGGAGGCAAAACTGCTCATATGGAGGAAAATCGTTTCATCTTTTATACTTCTTACATCTTTTTTGTATACCTGAAAGCAAGTGTAGAAGAAAAAAACTGATTCTGCCAGTTGGCAACAGTTATTCCTGACCTTAAAACTAGTCTTGATGTGGAGGAGACATCAGTGTGCAATGCTATAGATGACATATTGCTTAAACGCTTCCTCATTTAACTGTCATAGCCCCTAAAATGGGTGTTACTAATTTTGTTTTAGAGATAAGGGCACTAATGCTCAGAGAGGTTGAGGAGTTTGTCCGAGGCCACATAGCCATTCAATAAAGACTGTGTTCTTTCTAGTGTATTAGGAATCTCTGCTGACCTGGGCAGAGCTGTGAATATGAGATACGATTTGAGAAAATGCACCAAACAAATCAAAAAGCAACTTTACAGGAGAAGATACAAGGATGTACCTGATTGCTTGTCAAAGAAATAAAAATATATGATATGTACTGTGAAATGCAGTAATTTCCCTTTACCCAATGCTTCACTTTCTGTGGTTTCAGTTACCTGTGGTCAATTTTGTTCTGAAAATATTAAATGGAAAATTTCAGAAACAATTTATTAGTTTTAAATTGTGTGCCATCCTGAGTAATGTTGTGTCCGGAGTTGGTTTCTGCTGGTGGGTTTGTGGTCTCTCTGACTTCAAGAATGAAGCCGCGGACCTTCGCAGTGAGTGTTACAGCTCTTAAAGATGGCTTGGACCCAAAGAGTGAGCAGTAGCAAGGTTTATTGTGAAGAGCAAAAGGACAAAGTTTCCACAGGGTGGAAGGGGACCCCAGCGGGTTGCCGCTGCTGGCTGGGGTGGCCAGCTTTTATTCCCTTATTTGACCTCTCTGATGTTCTGTTTCTGTCCTATCAGAATGCCCTTTTTTCAATCCTCCCTGTGATTGGCTACTTTTAGGATTCTGCTGATTGGTGCATTTTACAGAGCGTTGATTGGCGCATTTTACAAAGCACTGATTGGTGCATTTTACAATCCTCTTGCTAGCTACAGAGCGCTGATTGGTGCATTTTACAATCCGAGCTACAGAATGCTAATTGGTGCATTTTACAATCCTCTCCTAAGACAGAAAAGTTCTCCAAGTCCCCACTCGACCCAGGAAATCCAGCTGGCTTCACCTCTCAATATGATGAAATCTGAAGCCATCCTGCTCCATCCCATCCTGAATGGAATCCTCCCCTTGTCCAGGTTACCCACCCGTTAGTCACTTAGTAGCTGTCTCAGTGATCAGATGGCTTGTCATGGTGTCACAGTGCTTGTGTTTAAGTCATCTTTATTTGACTTCATATGTCCCCAAAACACAAGAGTCGTGATGCTGGCAATTGGGATATGCCAAAGAGAAGCCATAAAGTGTTTCCTTTAGGTAAAAAAGTGAAAGTTCTCGACTTCATAAGAAAAGAAAAGCAATCATATGCTGCGGTTGCTAAGATCTACAGAAAGAAGGAGTCTTCTACCTGTGAAATTGTGAAGAAGGAAAAAGAAATTTGTGCTAGTTTTGCTGTCACACCTCAAATTGTAAAAGGTACAGCCACAGGGGTGATAAGCACTTAATTAAGATGGAAATTAAATTTGTGGGTGGAAGACATGGACAGGAATATGTCTGGTTGGCAGTGGGGTTCAGTACTCTCCCTGGTTTTAAACATTTAGTGGAGTTTTGGAATGTATCCCCGGTACAGAAGGGGGACCTACTGTAAAAGCCAGAAGACCCTGTGTGCAAAGAGAATATACAATGTAAATCCCAACTCTTGTATGGGATTCCAAGGACATTGATTTTTCTAAGACTCAGATGATGCTGTTAAGACTCTCTGACAATTCTTTGTGCTTTGGAGTCTTATTCATTCTTCATTCATCAAACAGTTATTTCGTATCAGGTAGGATGCCTTTAGCTATGACCCTGGCTTAACTATTTTAGATAGGAAGTGGATTGTTTTCTCTCTTAATGATTCCTGAAGTGGGGCAGTTTCAGGGTGGTTATTTCAGGGGCTCCGTGACACCTCAAGGACCAGAGTGGCTTTGATCTTTCTTCTCTGCAACTCAACATGTCAGTTTTGTCTTTGACCGACTCACTCATGGTCACAATATGGCTGCTGAGGTTCTTGCTCTCACATATAGATGTAGAAGATTGAGAAAAGGGGGACCCGTGTTTTCCCATATGTCATTTTTTAGCAGCATGGAAACTTTTTTTCCGGAAACCCTTCAAGAGACTTTCCTTCATCTCTCATTGGCCAGATAAACCCATCCGTCCATTCCTAAGGCCATCAAAGGCAAGAAGCATTGGGGTGACTGTGATTGGGTTAGTTAGTGGCTCCATAGAGAAGAGTAGGTTACATGAGCAGACTTAGGACTTTATTACCAAGGATGGGAGGAAGAGGGTTTGGGCCAACAACTGGAAATCTTGCTACACGTTTAAAAAATATTTTTATTATGGAAAATTTTAAACACGAGGGAGAGTAGCATAGTGGATTCCCTATTATTTGTCTCTTAGTTTCTACAATTATCAACATTTTGACAGTTTTAGTTCACCCTATCCTCCCTTTTATCTCTGGCTAGAGTATTTTATTTATTTATTTATTTTTAACATAGTTTTTGTTGATTAATTGATTGATTGATTGATTGAGACAGGGCCTGGCTCTGTTGCCCAGGCTGGAGTTCGGTGGCCTGATCTCGGCTCACTGCAACCTCTGCTTCCCAGGCTCAAGCCATCCTCTCACCTCAGCCTCCCGAGCAGATGGAAGCATAGGCGTGTACCACCACGCCCAGCTCATTTTTGTATTTTTTGTAGAGACAGGATTTTGCCATGTTGCCCAGGCTGGTCTTGAACTCCTGGCCTCAAGCAATCCACCCACCTCGGCCTCCCAAAGTGCTGGGATTACAGATGTGAGCCACTGTGCCTGGATGCTGGCTAGGGTACCTTAAAGTGCATCTCAGATATATATCATTTTTTAGGTGCTCTGGACATATATCGAGTACCTGCTATCTGCCTAGTTACAGCCAAAGAAGATATCTGTTTCGGGGACAAGAAATTAGTGAAAACTCACTGGTATTAGCTACTTTTTGCTGCAAAAGACAAAATTCCCTGAAACAAAGGAAAAAGGCAATATCCAGGAAATGGAGTTTTCTCCAAAGCTTTTGTTTGTTCTGGCTGCATCTGACATCCTTTCGATGTTAGAGAACAGGTGTCCTGGGAAGTCCGGGTGGGGAACAGGGGATCCTTCCTACTCCCCGAGACAGACGTGGAGCTGAGTGGAAGTTCCGCATCTCGTTTGTCATTTCCCTTCTCACGCTGATGAGGCCAATGCTTTCTAAGAGTGGGTTTTGGTTGGGTGACACTTGTTTCTGCATGTTAATAGATTTCTGGGGTAAGATAAAGCTCGGTGATGTCACCTGCAGGTGTGTGAGCCTGTGGTAGCAGTCTGCTGCCTGACATTTGCTTCACAAGGCGTTGCTAGCCACATCTGTCCTCAGCTGTGAGAGTGTCTGTATGCACCAGCAGGCTGAACAGAGAGATGTTTGTAACCAGAACAGAGAGTCAGATGTAACAAGCTGACTCTGGGCTGCGTTGCAAACACATGTACTTTCCCTATGGCGTTAGCTGATTCGATTTAGTTATGGAACAAAATACAAATGTTATTTCTTTAAAATATCACGGTGCCAGGCAGAGTATATTTCCTTACACCTTTTTCTGAGTTTCTTAAGCCCACCTGTTTTATTACAGGTTTAAAAGACCCCTCTTCCTCTGTGTGTCTCAAACAGGAAGCCTGCCTTCTCATTTTCCTTCAGTTTTGAAATATTTAATCCTTTGAAGAGAGTTTGCATGCTTCGTGCGAGGCGGTACCTTTGTATATAACACAATAAAATTCGCCACTCATCTACATGCGTTTCTCCATTTCTATATGACAATTAAAGGTCAAATTGCAAAGTTGAATCAGTTATAGCTCTGCGTTTAGGATACGTTCAACCTGAGCTGATTTTATCTGCCTGGGCTTTGTAAAATGTTAGTATTTGCATAGTGAGTTTAAAAACAGAAACCTTTTGCATAACCATATTTGAAAAATCCAAAACAAAGAGAAAGAGAATGGACTGATGATATGAAAAGATGCCATTTGACCGGACGCTGTGTAGTCTGGGTGGCTTTTGTGGCAGTTGTGCTGCTTCTGAGCGTAGCTTTCTAGAGTGTGCGAGTGGTGGCTAGATGTGCTTTGTTTCGTGTGCTGTGCATTTCAGTGCTATGTGAGGATCCATCTGACCCCAATACATTTTATTTGACATGCACAGCTGGGTTGCTGGAGGATAGTTCAGGCCATTAACAAGAAGGCAAAAGAAAACACAGACAATCTATTCATCAGAACACTATGAAAGGGAGACTTATTGGGGCAAGCTCTGGCAAGAGCACACCTGGAGGAAGGAGAAGGAGGAAAACCAACTGGGTGCCTAGGGAGAAGGGCGGAGGAAATGCAGCTGCTGTTGACGGCAGCCGGCTGCATGGAGAGGGGCTTTGCCAGTGGTGAAACCCGATTCCATTTCCAACTTGTGGAATCGTATTTTAGGATGCTCTGCAAACAAGAGGGTTGGATGGCAGACATAAGGTCTTATTTGCTGAGGGGTCTTTGCTCACCAGGCGCTTGGCACCCCAGCAGGACCCCAGGCTAAGGAGTGTGATGCTCACCTTGCATCTGAGGGTGGCAACCAAGTTCCTGGCCTGTGGGATCAATGCTAGGACTCCCCAGGCATCCCTCAGACTCACCGAAGAGGGAAGAGAGGAGGCGGCTTCTAGAATCCTTGGAAAGCCATTTCCTTGCCCTTCTTCAGCCACAGAGATGCCCCAGTAACCTCAGCCCGGTTCTCACAACCTGCCTACTCCCAACCCTGTCTTTCCCTTCCTGCTTCCTATCTGTGACTTTGCAGCACTGGTTTCACATTTTGTGCTTTTATCCAGTATAAGATTTCCATTTGTGTGTGCTGTGGGGTTGTCGCCTAAATAGCCTTTTTGTTTTTGTTTTGAGGTGGAGTCTTGCTCTGTTGCCCAGGCTGGAGTGCAATGGTGCCATCTCAGCTCACTGCAACCTCTACCTCCTGGGATCAAGCAATTCTCCTGCCTCAGCCTCCCAAGTAGCTGGGACTACAGGCACCTGCCACCACACCTGGTTAACTTTTGTATTTTTAGTAGAGACGAGGTTTCACCATGTTGGCCAGGCTGGTCTTGAACTCCCGACCTCAAGTGATCCATTCGCCTTGGCCTCCCAAAGTGCTGGGATTACAGGATTACAGGCATGAGCCACCGCGCCCAGCCTTGAATAGCCATTTTCTAATCCTGTGTAGAGACCCAGGAAAAGGCTCCACCGCAGCTGCAGTAAGAGGCTGGGGTGTCTGTGCATCACCTTGGTCATTTGGACCTTTTCGGAGTGGCCACTCTGAGCCTGGCCTGGGCTGAGACATTGCTTGCTGTCCCCAACTTGCTTACTGGTCTTCGGGAAAAGATCAGTGTGTGTACTTAATTCACCACGATGAATCTTGGTGCAGAAGATGGAGTGCCTGGGGTACCCAAGAGCCTTCCTTTCTGGCCAGAACTCTATCCAGATCTTCAGTGCAGAGACCAGGAGCTTTGGAGAGAGAGACTCGAGTTCATGTCTAGGTGATCTGCTGCAAGTCAAGCACATGTGTAGAAGAGCACTCAGGAAGTGGCAGCCGGGCTTATCTGCATCTGGGGACCACAGAGGGAGCTGGTTGTTTAACACGGCCCCCTGTTATCCACTGGTTCCCCTGTTCTCACAGATCGGAGTCCTGCTGGAAGCGAGTGTTACTCTATTGAGCTGAAGTCCACAATAAATCCTACAAGAGCTTCTAGGAGTAACAAGGCATACGCCTGTAATCCCAGCTACTCGAGAGGCTGAGGCATGAGAAGAGCTGAGGCACGAGAGTCACCTGAACCCTGGAGGCGGAGGTTGCAGTGAGTCGAGATCATGCCACTGCACTCCTGCCTGGGCAACAGAGTGAGACCCTATCTCAACAACAACATCAACAATAACAACGGTTTTATTTCAGTATTGATTTTTACAGAATCCTGACTCCCAAATCAAACCAGTTTCCACACTCATCAGGCATTTTCAGAAACCTCTGACTTTCTTTTTGCTTGATTATAAAGCTCAATGTAAATTCTACATCATTAAAAAAAATACCAAAACAACAAAATCTTGACAAATACCACTTGACAAGACTGACTTACAGACAACCAGTACTAAAAACCCAAACCACTGGAAATGCATATGGCTTTTCCCGGTGGGACAGAAAATTCAGGTGCCCATTTAGTTAACTGAGCTCTGGGAAGGCCTGAATGAACACTGCTCCCTGGCTGCTTTCAGGGCTTTATTTGTCCTATTCCCCCCACTTCCCCTCACATAGGTTCTGCTTCTTGACCTGGAACGGAGAAACTCAAAATCTAACCCCGGCTATGTTGTTAAATGGTGAACCTTTAAATTCACACAGGGTAGTTGATGGGAATTTCAAAACACGGGGTTAAATTCTGCTCCTACAAAGATGGAACAAAAGCTCTCTGTCTTTTGGAGGTCGCTAATCCGGTGTTTGCACCTTATTGTCACTACGTAATGTCTGAAAAACTTGGAATTATTTCCAATTAGTGGGTTTCAGTGGATCTTGCTCTCTGAGCTGTTGACCCCTTGTGTTTGTTTAGCAGGATTTTCTCACCGGGCTGCACCTTGCCCAGCATTGTTTTGCTGTCAAAGCCTCTGAACGGCTCCGGGTGACCCCCGCAGAATTGTCCATGTAGTGTCGTGAGACTGGGGGAGCTGTTGTGAATTTTGTGATGACAGATGGCGGAAGCATAAAAGGCACCTCCACGGGCTTTGTGAAAGGGGATTTGCTCTCTCAGAACCTTTTTTCCTCTCTCCGTTCTGGAGGCACTTCTGTGGTTGCTGACATAGCTGCAATGCTGCCCTTTTAGAATAGTGAGGCCTTCGAACCGAGAACCCTCACGCTTTGGCATACACCTGCTCACTGGGCCACTTCGTCCCTCCCAGTCCCCACAGCCAAGCCTCAGACAACCTGAAGGTCTCAGCCACATGCGACATTGGGAAAGCTGGTGCTTCCCTGGAAGCTTGGCACCCTGGAACACTAGAGTTTAATTTGATTAGGATTTCACCTGATTTCTGGAGATTACAGGGCCAGAGTTATCAAGAGGGAGAGCACGGAGCTGAGTGCAGTGGTTCACACCTGTAATCCCAGCGACTCAAGGCAGAGGAGGGCTTGGAAGCTGAGGCAGGAGGATCGCTTAAAGACAGGAGTTCAAGACCAGCCTGGGCAACTTAGCAAGCTCTTGTCTCTAAAACAATAATAAAAAAATTAAAAAGAAACAGAGAGAGAGAGCAAAAAGGGGGCCTCTTTGGTGCTGCTTGTGAAATGGGCATTTGTGATTAGCTGCCTTCTGGGCTCTAGCTGAGACGCAGAGGTTGGTAGAAGGTCATTTGCATGTGTTGGGCGGAAGCCCAGAGGGATACAAAAAGAAGGAAAAACGGAGTTTTAAATTTGGCGCAAATGGCTAAATTCTGTGTGTGCCCCGGCGAATCACCCCCTGGACACTCATAGCCCCCTCAGCACCCCAGTGAGGACCCTCCTCCTGGCCGAGTGAAACCCCAAAGGCTCCCAGAAAAGAGTTGCCCTCTGTGAAGGGGCCGTGGCCAATATTAGAAATCCTGGATTTCCAGCTTGTTTGGAAAACTGGGCAGTCCAGCGGCACCCGGGGCCCTTATCCCACAGGCAACCACCACCTAGGGCCCCGCAGCAGCTACCACCTTCAATGCACCCACATTCACTAGGTTTTTTATTTTTCTTATACCTTGCCTGCCTACTCATTTCCCTGAGTAACCGAGTAGGTGTTTGAGTTTGCAAATTTCTGATTTGCTCTAATTCTCTCAGAGAAAATGAAATGTAAATACATAAAAAGGACCTTTAGAATCCATTCCAATAAAATAACCCAAGATGCAGAAAACATTTCATGCAACAAAGATGTTCCTCTCCATTATTCATAATATACAAAATTGGAAACAACACAAGAATGGGAGAGGCTTAGCTACATTATGATGTGTTCTTATGATGGAATATTATATAACCATGAAAGTATTGCTCATGTAGAGTTTTTAATAACATGGAGAGATGCTCATGATATAATGTTGAGTTAATTTTAAAAAGCTCCACATCAGGTTGCGTGTGCAATATGCTCTGTTTTCCAAAATATGAAGGCAATATGCATAGAATAAGACTGGAACGAAATTTGCCAAAATATTAGCAGTGATTGTTTTTTGATGATGAAAATATCTATGATTATTTTCTTTATTTTACTCCAGGGTTTTCTCCTCTTCTACAATGAATGTGCATAGCTTCCATATTCAGGAAAAAAAATTAAAAATAAGGAAGAAACAGAAGCCCTGAAGGTTATGTGATTTCCCTGAGCACCCCCCCCAACTGGTTGGTAACAGGGCAGGACTAAAACCCAAGTTCCCTGATTCTGAGATGGGTGGGACACATTCCATTCCTTAGGGCCAGA
The DNA here is from genome assembly GCF_000001405.40 of Homo sapiens. Lineage (NCBI taxonomy): Eukaryota > Metazoa > Chordata > Mammalia > Primates > Hominidae > Homo > Homo sapiens. The sequence goes on from NC_000002.12 coordinate 110,863,686, forward strand.
CTGCCCTAAGGAGCACCTGGGGTTTATGGCCTCCAGAGTTCTCATTCACAGCCCATGTACTTTATGTGAGTGTGGTTTCTCTGTGGGGGGAGGGTGCATATATTATTTGGGTCCTTCGTTTTGCCTTTAATTTCACTGTCATGAGGAATCTTTAAGAACCAGACAGCTGAGCCTCTTGCATAGAAATCAAAGCAAATACAGGCATTACTGCTAGTTTCACAACTCATGTGACTTGTGGGTGTGTTTCCCTGGGGGTGCACCTAGGCTAGAGCTTCTCCAATTTCTGTTTTTCCTCCCTCTTCTGCTTCTTCTTCACTAGTGAGGACAAGCTAAAGCCACTCAGATCCCTTCACTCAGGCACAGAAGTGACACTATGCTTAGAAGAGCCCCTGAGTATATATACCCTGTTGACTCTGCACCAAAGATGATCAACGTTTCAGCAGGCGCCATGAGAGCCAAAGACCCAAGTGCCCTTTCTGACTCCTGTCACTCACTGTGTTGGTGACTTTGGTCAAATCTGTTCTTTCCCAGAGCATCTCCCATAGTGGGAGATGGGAAAGGGAACATTTTCTGCTGAATGACGTTCTGTAGAGCATGTGGAACAGGGCTGATGGGAGACACTCAGTAAAGGTCCTCATGGTCCTTGAAGGGGAGGAGTTCTCAAAACTGAACACCAGGGGCTCTCCATCCACAAAGGGTAGACTCAGGCTTCACCAAGCCCACAGAAACCCGAAGCCATTTGTTTCTCTACAACCAGAAACTCAACCATCCAGTGATCCACCCTGGGAGACATGTTCTTGGGAGGTCAAATGCTCTTTAAGACTTGCTGAGTTATGGGATATTCAGAAGTGCCTCTTGGCTAAGGGCGTATAAGCTTTCTTGTATGTTATATCTTACCTCTTATATTCTTGCATGGCGATAGCCTTTCCAAGGAGACCAAATGCTCCCTCATTTTAGCCATGACGGTCTCTCCCAAGAAGAGAGAGCATTGCTAACATATGCCTCCAAGATTCAGCCTTGCCTGTGTTTTTGGGGCTCTGTCGAATTAACCAGGCTTTCACTAACTGTAATACAGTCCACTTTTTGGCCCTGTGCCTTGTGAATAATCCAGCTCACCCCATTGGATCTCTGAGGTATATGGGCTGCTGGTTTCATCCTGAGCAGCCTCGTATCCAGGCTGTCAGGCTGTTGTCTCCCTGGAGCGTCCTGGCCAGCCAGCCTCACTGTGATCAGGCACCTGTTGGCCCAGGTTTTCTAGCAAGTGGGTTGATGTGCAGGTGGGGACCCGGGACAGTTGGGGCATGGGAAGTGACAGGAAGGCCGTTGCCTTCCAACTCTGCTGAGTTTCTTATGTATTTCTGTGTGGTGGATGATTTCCGTTTTTCCATGCTTCTGAAAGGACTTAAAAAATCAGGGCCTTCAGGAGAATTTCTAGTTGCTGTGAAAATGCATGCCAACTGGAAATGTAGGTATCAATATCGAAAAGCCTAAGTTTGCCTGTTACAAAAAGTGCAACTGCATGTTTTCACTTGCAAATGTTGAAGGAAGAGATGGACCCCTTTGCCTGGGGTCCCTGTCACCTGGCTGCCCTGGGTTGGAGTGGAGCACACGGCAGGTGCGTAGGGTGGGGTTGGGCTGGAGCCAGCCCTGAGAGCTGCCTCCTCAGATCTGCCTCTCAAACCCTTTCGTTTTTACTTTGCCTTAACTTTGCATTTCTCGATCTTTGAACTATGGCCTGATTTCACATTCTGAAACTATGCATGGGTCTCAATTCTGTGAAGAATAGGATGTTTCGAAGGAGTGATGAGTCACCTTTTATTTCAAGCCAATGAGAAGCAGCCAACCTAAGGGGTATTGAAGAAAGGAGCATTTGTGATATTTCAGGATAATTATATCTATTTTTAAATTTTGTTTTTAATTTTACAAGTGATAGATGGAGCACATTCTTATTATAAACCTCAGAGCCCACCTTGTCCCCTCCACTCTGCCCCTTGCAGAGGCCAGCACTGCCATGGATTTAATGTGTGTGTTTCCAGACGATTTACATGCATTTATGTGTGTGTTTGCAAGGAGAGAAATATGTAGTTTTATTTGCATTTTTATTTTTGCATGTAAATGATAGCATAATCTATCCATTGTCCTACAACTTGTTTTTTTTTTCCTACAAAACTAAAAGGATTTGCCTTATTTTTAACTGCTGACACCTACCATGGTAGGTTTATTTAGCTTTATTTACTCCTCTTGATAGACAGAAAATAGATTGCATTTCTCGGTGTATCTCAGTGAAGCTCTGTTTCAATGACAAAATAAAATACACTTTTATTTCCTCCCCAGAGTGGTAAATACTATTTTAAGACAGAAGAAAACACAAAAGGAAGAATGATTCGGAAGGCGGGGAGGTCAGGCAGCTTGCCCACTGCTGGAGCGTCCAGGCCTGTGGCGTGCCGTGTGCCTCATTTGTGGCCAGCAGGATGTGGGGGCCTGGGGACAGCAGTGTCAGGAAGGGGCCATGGGGCAAGCCAGGCATGGGATGGGAGAAGCACTGCTGTGGGAAGTCCCATAGCTGGAGGCAGGAGAGGAGGGGCAGAGGGCGGGAGAAGATCTGGGGCAGTGGTGTTGGAAGAGTGTGTGGACTGACACCTGCTCTCAAAGGCAGGGAGGGGAGCTCTAGGGAGAAGACGGGCTTTGGAAGGGCTTCTCAGGGTGATGAAGTAGGATTAGTTCAGACTCAGTTAAGTGAGTCATTTAGAATGAAGACATGAATAGCCAGAGCCGAATGCCCAGGGAGGAGGTGGGCCAAGCAAGGCAACGTGGAGCCAGGATCAATATTTGAATCAGGAAGATCAGAGAAGAGGAAGGATCCAGAGGTCTTGATGGAGACAAAAGAGCCGCTTTGGAAGAGGGGAAATACAGGGGAGGCGCCAGTGGAGGGAGCCAGGGGCAGAGTCGTGGCTTTGCTTTGGGTGACTCAAGCAGAGGTGAAAGTCTTTGAATGGAGGCAGAAGCTTGAGGCACCCCCAGGTCCCTTTGTCTGTCTCTGTATTCACTTGCTCACCCGTTCACGAAATCACTCACCAGCTCACCCACCGCCCCATCTCCCCACTCACTCATCCACTGACTCACTGAGCATAAACGATGCCCCAAGCACAGCCTGGATGCTAGGGAACCCACTGTGCTAGAGACGAGGCTCCTATCCTTTGGAGCCTCCTGTCTGGTCTGGTCAGGGAGAAAGATGCACAAAGATGAGGTGCAGAAAGTGCTGCCCCAGAGGCTGGCCAGGGTGCAAGGGGCCACAGGGCTTCCCCCTTGGGCTGCCTGATGCATCAGGGTAGGAACGCCCTGCAGACCTTGGTCTGGCCTTGAAGGATAGACCGTGCTTTGCTGAATGGAGGAGGGAAGGGACAGCATTCCTATAAGAGGGCCCAGCAGAGTGTCCTGGGTGCTGGGAAGTTAGGTGCGACTGGAGAATAAGGCCCTGTGGGGATCCGGGGGATGAGGGAGGCAAGGAAGGGAGTGGACAGGAGTGAAGCTTGGAAGGGCATGGAGCTGGGCTTCTGTCTCTAGCAGATGTCAGCAAGTTAGCAGGGGAGGACTAGTGCCTGATTCATTTCTGGAGGAAGAGGCCTGGGGGTGTGGTAATGGGTGTGCTGGAGACAAGAGGTTGAGGCAGGCACTGACTAGGGGCATAGATCCTTCTGCATCTCTCTGTGTCCATCCATCATTCTGTGCACACTTTGGCACTTCTGGAGAACTTGTTCTCTTCCAGACTCTGAAAGTCAGTGACTAATAAGATGTGGCCCCCTGATCACTGGCATCTGTAGACTGCTGAATGGTGTCTTGGATAAAGTATGTGCCCATTTATTTTTCTTGCATGATGAATAATCGGTCTGAAAGGAAACAAAGTCCTGTTTGGACAGGGCTCAGGAAGGTGAGAAGGTCTGGGTGGGGACTGGAGGGCCAATAAGGACTTCTTTTGAATTCCAGGTGTCAAAGGAGTCTTTGCGTTTTAGAAATTAGGAGATCAATATTAAATACCTTTTGGTGTGTAGCAAAAAGTTGACATGAAAAAGCAACTCAAAAATTGCTTTTTTTTTTGAGATGGAGTTTTGCTCTGTCACCCAAGCTGGAGTGCAGTGGCATGATCTCGGCTCACTGCAAGCTCTGCCTCTTGGGCTCACGCCATTCTCCTACCTCAGCCTCCCGAGTAGCTGGGATTACAGGTGCCCACCACCACGCTCAGCTAATTTTTGTATTTTTAGTAGAGACAGGGTTTAACCATCTTGGCTAGGCTGGTCTTGAACTCCTGACCTCGTGATCCACCCGCCTCAGCCTCCCAAAGTGCTGGGATTACAGGTGCAAGCCACCACGCCCGGCCAAAAATTGCTATTCTTGATAGAAATGCAGGGGAACTGATTTATTTACACTTGTATATTTTTTGCAGACTACATTTTTGTGTAACGAATTTCATGTAGTCAATGGAGAAAAGGTAGCTAAGCTTTGGAAACATCTCAAGTATAAATAAAGTGAGAACCACACTATGAAGCGAGTTTCTAAATGAAACTTACTTTACAAGTTTGATTTTTTGGGGCTGCTCTGTCTGGTGTTATCATTTTCCTTAATTCCTGCAGGGATTGTCATTTGTGGCACCAGAGTCTTTTCTCTGGATCTGGGTGCTCTGGTTTCTGGCTCAGGATTGGCTGATGCACCTTTTCTTCTTGGGAAAAGGAGCCTGCCATCAACAGTGCATGTGAGCAATTGATTCCTTTGGCAGGAACGCTCTTCTCTATCGACCCACGTGAATCTATTGGTTTTCAGATCACAACCAGCTGGCCTGGTCTTTGTTTTCCATTCTCTTCTTCTAGTACACACATCTTATTCATTTTTCTCAGCATTGCTCCACTAGAATTTCTTTTCTTTTTTCAAAACAGTGCCTCACTCTGTTTCCCAGGCTGGAGTGCACTGGTGCAACCCCAGCTCACTGCAGCCTCAACTTCCCAGGCTCAGGTGATTCTTTCACCTCAGCCTCCCGAGTAGCTGGTACTACAGCCATGTGCCACCATGCCCAGCTAAATGTTTTGTATTTTTAGTAGAGATGGGGTTTCACCATGTTGCCCAGGCTGGTCATGAATTCCTGGGCTCAAGTGATCCTCCCACCTCAGCCTCTCAATGTGTTGGGATTGCAGGCGTGAGCCACTGCTTCCAGCCTGGAGTTTCTTATGTTGCTAATATATAGGCAAGGCTGATGTATTTTCCAAAATGCTCCCTCTGGAAAATGCACCCTCATGTTCATGGGGGTGACATTGTGACAGTGGCAGCTAACATTTCTTGGGTGGTTGCCATGGTCCAGATGCTACTCTGAGCACCTTAACTACATTACTTACTTTTATCGTCACAATTCTGGGAGTAGGTACTGTTTGCCCTCTTTGTAGCTGAAGTGTCTGAAGCACAGAGAGGGTAGGCCACATGGCCGATGTCACACAGCTAGGAGATGGTAAGCTTCTCCCCTATTTGTGCTCTCACTCTCAACCCTGGGGCCCACCGGCATTGTGAATACTCAGCATTTCAAGTCTCATCCCTGGGGAAGGCTGTGTGTATTGTAAATCCCGTATCAATGCAGTCGTTGTTGGCATTGTTTAGGCATGTATCAGAGCCACACACACTTCCAGACTGTGTGTCAAAAGGTCCCAGAAAACTGCATTTCTGTGTTCTGTCACCCCAAAGGCCTTGCTGAGTATGTAGTTTCACCTTTTGTTTAACCTTCTGTTTGGAGGCTCACTGGCCACAATGGCAAATGTGTGGTGGGTGAGCTTCCTGGCGGGGATGTATTCTCTCCTGCTCCCAGGGGCACATGCCAGCACTCTCCAGCGCTGGGGCTCGCATCTCTTCCAGCAAGGCCAGGCCAGGCTCTGAGTGCATCTGTGTCATGCTGGAGTCCCTGCAAGCCCTGTGCTTGCCCAGGTGACCCTCCCCTTATTCATTGGCCACAAGAGGCAAAGTAGCCAGTGAGTCATTCGAGCCCATAGCATCTGTCTCCAGAGCCCACACCCTGAGCCACTGTGCTCTCTTGGCCCTCAGCCACCTTGGAGAGCTGCCACTGCCCCTTGCCGTCCTCCTGGCCACAGAAGACTCCTCCTCCAGAGGCAAGGCAGCTGGTGCCCCTTCCTGTGTGAACCTAGCCACTGCCAGCCCCTACCCAGATACCCTCCATTGTCAGATGGGCCTAACCTTCTAATCAAAGGTCTGGATGGGACTGCTCAGGGCCACCTTCAGGCAAGTGGCTTGTAATGGATTCACCGAGCATGTGGGTCTCACAGAGCCTTTTAGAAAACGTGGGTGATTCCTTCACAGCCTATTTAAACCCATGGGGGAGTGGGGAGGGCGGAGGACTAGTTATCTTATGGCTGGGGGAAAATTAGGGCTGTTCCCTTGGTTTTCTGGGTATTTAGGGCTGAGTCTGCTCCACAGGGTGTTTCCCAGAGTCCCACCTGAGGTGCTTCAAGGGTTCAGCAGCCACTCAGGCCACTGCCTACCTGCTGGACAGCACAGAGCATCCCATCTTTGTGGAAGACTCTTTAGGCAGCACTGCCCTAGTCAGCTGTCGCTGGGCAGGCCTTGTGTAGTGCCATCGACTTCCTTTTCAAGGGAAGCCCTAGACTTTTTTTTTTTTTTAAAGAAGTAAAATCTTCTAAATCTTAACTTTTTGTGACATATTCAAATGTTAAACAATTGGGGTATAGGTTGAACAGAACACAGAAGTGGACTGAATTCCAGGGGCAGGAGGGGAGGGCATTTATCTATGTTGTGACAAACCTTCTAGGTGGTTCTGGTGCAGGATAAAGTTTAAATAACATCAGCCCAAACCATTTAGTTTGCCCACAGTTATGCCAGGGACAGTCAGAGCTAGAACCCAGGCATTCTGATTTGCAGCCAACATCACCCTCATGGGCAAGGCCAAGTCTTTAGGGATGTTCCATACCGTGTACACCTGGTCACCACCCACCCCACACCTGGACTCTCACCTGCCACCTGTGGGTGACTCTGAAATTTTTCTAGATATGATGTTTTCCTCTTCCTTTGTAATTTCTGATCAAAATCAGTTTCCTGTCTCAGGGTGCAGGATTTCTCCTTGGCTCCCTGGAAATGGTGGGGGGAGGAACCCATATAGGGGTCACCAAGCCTGCTGACTGTGACACGTGGAGTTTTGGTTTGAATGAGGTCAAAGTAGTGGGCAGAATCAAGGGAGAGGTCAGGCCTGCTCAGGAGGGACCCCTGACTCATGGCTTAAATCGTCCCAGTGTTGGAAAATCTGTTATTTACTGCGTGGGACCCATTTCCTAGAGACAGACTAATAATGACCTTATTACCTACTTTTCAGAATTTGAAATTAGTATTTCTTACATGTTGGAGAATGTGGTACCAAGCAGGTACTGCTTATCGAAACTTTACGGGATGTCATTTGATAGGAGACGTTTTGCATTCCTGGAATGCAAAACATGTTGGAAAAATCCCTTTCGGTGTGCCTGCCTGGACAAGGCAACCCATGGGGATCTGGCTTTGTTTAGTAGTCTGGGGAAGGTCTCCAGTGGTTTCTGTTGTGAAAGAGGCACACTGTCCATTTTGGGCTGAGAAATATTTGGAAATAGGACCATGATACTCCACAGACCTTGCTGATACTCCACTTCCAGGACAGAAGTAGGAAATAATATGGAAGCATTAGCCACTGGTCCCAGCCCAGTGGAGAAACAAATACCCTGAAGCTTGTACAATGAAGCACTTAAAACTGAGAGAGGTATTAATGCCATTCGTCTCGGGGGACTGCAGATTTCATTCATCACATCCTTGCCGTAATCTTACTGGTTGGGGATGTGGCTCAACAGGAATCTTCAGTTAACTGTGTGGAAGAATGAAAGGGGTCTTACATCACTGCTACTAAGGTGAAGTTCAAGTTCAAGGTCAAAATCACTGGTGGTAAGATGAAAGTCAAGAAAAGCAGCATCTCTGCCTCCCCGGGAACCAGGAGCAGCAGTCTCCACTTAACCTGTGGTCAGAGATGAGAGCGCCATAGCACGCTGAGACGTCTCCCCTGACCTCAGCTCCAGGCACTGTTTGGAGACCAACACTCATAGTGACCTGGGAGCAAGGGGACGCTTCCTTTGGTTGCCTGCATCCTGCCCACTCATTCTGAGACTCACTCCTCCCACAGGCTTGTTCTGCCTCCTGTTTGTTTCACATGACCTGGTGTTTCAGTAATCCACCTCTGCGTAACAAACCACTCCAAAACTTAATGCATTCAACTGTAATGATTGTCATTGCTCACAAAATATATGCCAGAAACTTGGAATGTTGTCATTAGGGGTTGTTCACACAAGCTGCATGGCAGCTGGGAGCTCAACTGAGGCTGAAACATCTGAGTTGACCTCTTGTCCTTTAGGGCCTCTCTGCTGGCCTCAAACCATCACATCATTGAGGCTGGACTTCCTGGCACTGTAGTCCCTGGGTGCCAAGAAGGAGTACATGGAAGCTGCCAGACACCCTGAAGGATAAGCCTGGAACTGGTGTAGGATCATTTGTTCTGCCTTCTTTTGGTTAAAGCAAGCCTGAGGCCCGTCAGGATTCAAGAGGAGGGGACATAGAGGGCATCTCTAGATGGCTGGAGTGCCAGAAATTTGTGGCTCCCTTGAATTCACCACCTTCAGTTTGTAGCGGGTGCAATACCTGGGCCTGACTGAGGCTAGTGCGTATATATAGGGTGGTGCCCAACCAGGAGAGCCTCCTTATGGGCCAGGTGTCCGTCTCCTGGGGGTCTCCCAACCTTCACAAAACTGGCCAGAGACCATTCTTGCTGGCTTTAGGTCACGTTGATGGGAGAGTAGCCTCTCCCAGGTTCTCATGCCCAGAGGAGAGCTGTCACTTCCAGCAAGGCCATGCCAGGCTTTGAGTGCATCTGAGCTGTGTGTCACTGGCCACCTGCACCCAGCTCCAGGAGGCTGCAGGGCGTGGCCGGCCGCCCTCTGCATTAAGGTCTAGTTGGAGGCCCAGGTTTCAGTTCTTAAGAGTGATGCTTGACTGTAATGTTTCTGTTAACCTGGATTTTGGAATCCTTTGGTGTGTGAGTGCTGGGGGATAGGGTCTAGAGGGAGGGGCTGCTTGTTAGCAAACCCCTAAGCCTCCTGAAGGGCTTGTTCCTGGCTTGACTCCAGTGAAATGTCTCCAAGGAGAGAAGAGAGTGACACCTCACGGGGCTGCGGGAGCAGCACTAGGTTGTCAGTTATGCTCAAAATATATTTTGTAGTAAAAACTTGTGTAGCATTTCTATTTTGTTTTTTCTGCCTGCATTTGTTTTAACATAAAACAAATGTTTTATGAGTCACATTGACACTGTAGGCAAATGTGCTGGGTTCCTCCGTCACACAAAAACCCCAGGCGGCCCTGTCCCTGAAGAGGGTGACAAAACTGGGGAAGTTCTTGTCATAAAACTGTGTTGTGCACACCATGGGTCACTGGTGGTGGCATTCTCCCAGAACCCTGGCTGTGGCTAATGGGAGGATCCTCGGGCAACAGGGGGCTGGTGGATTGGGCGCCCAGGCACGCCATCGTTTGATGCCTGGGAGTCCAGTGGGAGATCTGGGAGGAGGCTCGGTGGCAGCCAGAAGGCCTGGCCCCAGCTGGGGCCCAGTGTGGACTCAACCTCAGCTCTAGGGAAGCAGTGTGTCAGGCGGTTGGGGGATGGTCCACAGGATGCCGTGAGCCCCAGGTAGCAGGATGTTTGCTGAGCCTGCTCTTACAAGTTTTAAAGTATTATCTTATGTATGCCTCTCAGCAACCCTGTGGCAGAGGTACTGGAATTATTCCTGTCTCTCTTTTGGGCACCTGGTGGGTGGGAAGGGGGCTGCAATTTGCCCCAGGTGCCTCCTTGACCACTGTCCCCACTGCTCAGCTTCAGAGCAGATGGAGTAGAGCCAGGGGAGGCTGTGAGCCTCCCTGCTCATCCCTCAAATTGCCCTGCCTCCTGCCATGGGAGAGGGTAAAAGGGCCCCCGTTGGGAGGGGCCAGGAGGGGCCCGGGCCTCCCAGAGTGTATCTGTTCAATTGCGTTTTCTACGTCTGTCCAGTAGGGCAGGTTTATATACAGGGAGACAGGCTCTCCAAGAAAACAATGGGGCCACCCCAGGTTTTGAGATGTTCTTGAGGAAGGTCATGCAGCCCTTCCCTCACCAGTGTATGAGGCTGAGGATGAGGCACAGGGTAGCTCTGTGGTCTTGGCATCCACCGTGTGGCATCGGCCAGCCCTAGGGCCCTATCCATGTCCTGGCCCTCTGGGTACAAGACCTGAGGCCCAGAGCACTGTGCTGGGTGGAAAACAGAAAACCCACCCCAGAGCAAGAGCCGGGGAGGATGCCCAGAGGGCAGGTGGGCGCTGCTTGCCTTGGGAGAGAGGGCAGCAAAAGGGAGACCAGCCCCCACCCTCAGCAGCCTGGGGGGCTCTGCAAGGCAGCAGGGGACAACGGAACCGAACAGAATGCTTTTGGGGGGGTGGTGAGGGGCTGCCCCGCTGCAGGGAGAGTGGGCACGACATTTGCGTGCCCCACGTTGGTTGGCATCAGCATGACAAGAAATTGTTTAGTTCTGTGGTTTCAGGCTCACTGCAAAATACGTCTCTCCCACCCCCACCCCAGCCCCTGGTTTCCCTTCCAGCCACACCTGACATCCCTCGGTCAGAGCTGGGCCTAGAGGCTGGAGGGCGAAGCAAGGCAGACAAAGGCAGGTCCCTGGGAAGCGGAATGAGCAGAAAAATTGGAGTTGAGAGGCCCCAAGAGCCCCTCTGCCATTCAGCCTGACCTTGAGCAAACCCATCACTGTCCTCATTAGAAGGCAAGAGAGGACGAGATTAGCATTTCTGCACATGACTCTGGATGGCCTCCTTCAGCACAGGGGAGGGGAGTGGTTGCTAAAATAGTAATAATGGTGCTACCACATGACAGTGCCCACCTCCTCTGGGTGTTGCGAGGGTTTAACAAGTTAGAGCAGAGCAGAGCTCACGGTGGAGGCCGTGAGGGCTGTGCTGCTTGTGTTTTAGAATGATTGGGTTTATTATTCGCATCATTTTCTGAATTTCAGGAGGATTCTTGGGCTCCATCCCGGATCTCGTGAACCAGCATCCCTCGGGGTGGGAGGCAGGAATCTGCCTTTTATGAAACACGTGCTTCAGGCCCCAGAGCCCTGAACTGGGAGGTCGCCGAGGTCTCTCTCTCCTGTGTTATCTGGGAGCGGGATTCTCACTGACCTTGTTCCCTTGTCCTGCCACCGGCAGGATTTTAAGCTGTGATCAGGTGCAGCTCTAAACCCAAGCACTGACACTAGCTTGCCACGTGGCTCCGCTCCGTAACCTGAAGGCAGCCTCTGAGCCGGTCCCTTGTCTGCACGCAGGCCAATGACGCAGCACAGTTAGAGTGAGGCCGACTTCCCACGTGCCTACCTAAGCCAGGATGTACACTTTGTTTCACAGGGACAAAGGATGGCCGTTCATGTGTAAATCTCATAAGTGGAAACTGCCACCTTTGAGAATATTTTTCTTGACTCTTGAAGAGGGAAGGACCGTGGAGAGCATTATTTCAGGGTTCTGTGAGTCACCACACACTTCTGCTTTCTTTATTAAGTGTATTTTTTGGACAAAGAAGAATGCAGCTTTGAACACTGTGTCACCGCAAGCCACACAATTCTAAGACTCTCCTCTTTACGCCTTTGACATGCAAGACCCTTGTAGATATGGGGAGGTGTGGAGCGTGGAGCCCCAGAAGTCACCGACCCAGCAGACAGGCTCAGGCTGTGCACATGGGTGTGGGCTTGGGGCTGTGAGTGTGTGGTCCTGGTGTTTGGGTGCACAAGTGTGCTTTCTGGCTGCATTTTTCTGGCTCGTCTCCTCTGGGAGCCCCTTGCTGCTCACCTCGATCCTATCATTCCAAAGGGAAAGCTACTTTTCTAGCACCCAGGTGGAATTGCATCCTGCAGTGGGCCCAGCTCTGCCTGATCCTGGTGCTGTGGGATTCAGGGAAGGCCGCCTGACCTCTGTGAGCCTTGGGTTCCTCATTTGTCAAATGAGGATTGTAAATTCCACCCTTATGGCACCTAAGTGAAGCTGTTGAAAGGCATTTGTAACCTCTACAATGGATGAGGAGGTTAAGGCACACAGACTCACCTGCAGGTGAGTCCCTGGCTCAAGGACATGCAGGAAAGAAACAGTAGAACCACTTCTGGGGCCCTGGAGTCTGTGTAAATCCACTCTACTGTATTTTATAAAGCACCAGCTGGAATCCTCAAAGAAAAGTGGGGAGCCTGGATGCCTCTGCTTTCAAGGAGACTGGACACATCATCATATCTAGCTTCTTTCCACTGACTGCACGGTACTTTATAAATGTCCCTCTCAAAGTCAGAAGGCTTGGACGCATCCTCTGTGATAGTGTGCCTTGGCCCCAGAACTGTGTTTCTAGAACTTGAAAGCCATCTTGTAATGCTCCATCTTGGAATCTAGACCCAGGCAACTCCAGCGTGGCAGGTTTTTTCTTGAGGAGGGGCACCACAGGATACCCACACCCAGAGAGAGGCAGGCAGAGAAATGAGGTGGGCCAGCCACGGTGCCAGGGAGGGTTCTGGGCTGTGCAGGTAGAGGGAGCTCCCCCGAGGTGCCTGTGGTGTGCCATGCCCAGGGGCCGGGTCAGCAGACTGGGTCAGAGAGGCTGGGGTGCTTCCAGCCCAGGCTGAGGCCCGTCCCTCTGGGAGGGAGGGAGCAGGCTGGGCAGACGGGCCAGGCCTGTTCCAGGAGCCCGTCTGGGGTAGATTGCATCACACTGTGTGCAGCTTGTCACTCCAGCTTGCCCAGGACCCCTGTCTTCTGTGGCTCGTGGCTGACAAGTGCTTCTCCGCAGGCACCGTGGGGCCTCTACAGCCAGGAGTCAGGACAGAGTAATGGCGGCTCGGGGTCAGGTCTCACTATGTGATGGCATGGCGACGAATTTAACACACTGGCACAGACGGGTCGGAATCAATGAAATGATTCTAAAAGTATTTTTGGTCCATTTGTTTATTCTTTCAGCAATGTTTGTTTGAGCGCCCCCTAGGTGCCAAACCCTGCTCTAGGCATTATAGGGATACCATGGTGAACAAAACTGATGAAAATCTCACCTTTGTGGAGCTGACAGTCTAGTGGAGGAAACAGAGAGGAAAAAGATAAATCAATAAAATATGAATTATATCAGTGATATTGAAACTGAGCCTGGTAGGCCGGAGCTTAAGTCTCTCTACTACTCCCCATCCATGCTCTGGTGGCTTATTGCAACCTCCCTGGGCTGTGCCTGGTGGTGGCCCTGTTGCCCCCCATATCACAGAACCTCAGGAGGTGCCCAGTAGGTGACAGCTGAATGAAAGCAGAATGCTCAGGAAAGTTTCCTGTTTGCTGCGAGGGACCCTCCTTCTCCAGCACAGCCAGCAGCAGTGGGTGTGGCTGTCTCACAGTTCCTGCCGTCTTTGAGGCGGCACGCAGAGGGTCGTGCTGGCTGCCTGGGAGCTTCTGCCACCCTCCGCCTCATGGACTATCTTCTGCCTGCCCTCTGCTCTGCAGGCAGCAGGGCGTCTCTAGTCTTGATGCAAGCTGCCCTTGACTCTTCAACAGCCCCGAATCACCAACAGCAGACCAAGCTTCTGCTGCGGCCCGTGTGCTTGCTTTCTAGATGTTTTTAGAAAGATCTGTAACTTCTGTCTTAATTTATGTTGGTTTAACAAGAAATCACATTTCTGTGGGATCTCGCAAATAGGGTTTTGTTCGGTTGTTTTTTCAAACACTGTAGATACAGCTGAAAACAGAACTTAACCCTTTGAACGTAGCCACTGGGTTGATGCAGCTCACAAACCCACAGGATTTCCTTTTCCTACAGAGACTCCGCTCTACTTGGGTCACCACGGAGAGTCCATGTCACCATGTTATCTCAAAGTTACAAAGGTCAGACCCTCTACTGACATTGAGCCTGTGCATTACCGGAAACCCTGGAGACCAGAAAGGCCCACTGGGATGAGATTGGTCACCTGGAGGGTGAAGACAGAGAGGAAGGGAGGGAAGCAGTGCCCGGCTTCACTGCCTGCTGGCGTCTCACCCACTGGTAATAATGACTCTGCACCTGAGGGCCATGATGCGTTGCATCTGGGGAGAGCACTGCATCCCGCAGCCGTGCAGCAATCCTTCTTCCTGAGCAGGTGCTTTGTACCCTGGATCTGGAGGGGCACAGGCACTGGAAGGTTGGGTGTGTGAGCCTCAGGAAGCACTCTTGGATTATTTCTCAACGTTTTTAAGCAAGCTCATTTTGAAGGTTATCAATCTCATGTCAAAATTTAAAACAATCCCCATCCTTTCTGAAAATCACAGGCCTTTCCTGAGTCTGTGAATAAAACAATAAAAGCCGTGGGTTTTATGAACAGTTTCAGTTTGGATTTTCAAGAAGCAAAAGAAGGTGTCAAAAGAACGACCAAGGAATAAGAGGCTTTCAGAAATAACCAAGAACATCAAAAATAAAGAGGACTTTTACAAGTGAAAAATGCAGTAATCAAAAATGAACTCAAAAGAGAGATTAAATAGATTAGACACAACTGAAGAGAAACTTAGTAAGTGAGAAGCTCTATCAGAAGAAATTATGCCTAATACATGGAGACAAAGAAATGGAAAATATTCAAGAGGAGTTAGGAAACGTGTAGGAAAGAATGAACAGCTTTAATGTATGTTGAATTGATATGCAAGAAATAGGAAATGCAGGCCCGGTGCAATGGCTCATGCCTGTAATTCTAGCACTTTGGGAAGCTGAGGTGGGTGGATCACTTAAGGTCAGGAGTTCAAGACTAGCCTCGCCAACATGGTGAAACCCTATCTCTACTAAAAATACAAAAAAATTAGCTGGGCACGGTGGTGCAAGCCTGTAATTCCAGCTACTCAAGAGGCTGAGGCAGGAGAATCCCTTGAACCTGGAAGGCAGAGGTTGTAGTGAGCCAGGATCATGCCACTGCTCTCCAGCCTGGGCAACAGAGCGAGACTCCATCTCAAAAAATCAAAACAGGCTGGCACGGTGGCTCACACCTGTAATCTCAGCACTTTGGGAGGCTGAGGCGGGTGGATCACGAGGTCAGGAGTTCAAGACCAGCCTGGCAAAGATGGTTAAACCCCGTCTCTACTAAAAACACAAAAATTAGCCAGGCATGGTGGTGGGTGCCTGTAATTCCAGCTACTCGGGAGGCTGAGGCAGAGAATTGCTTCATCCCGGGAGGCGGAGGTTGCGGTGAGCTGAGATCACGCCACTACCCTCCAGCCTGGGCGACAGGGCGAGGCTCCGTTAAAAAAAAAAAAAAAGTCAAAACAAAACAAAAATAAAGTAATAGGAAATGCAGATAAATAAGAGGAGGAACCACTAAAAGAAATATTGGTTGAGAATGTTTCAGAATTGATAAAGGACACAATTTTTGAGTCAGAAGCCCAATCAAATCCAAAGAAAATGAATTTAAGAAGCCCACATCCAATCCCATTGTATTGAACTGAAGAGCAGGTTGCCCAAGAGAGATGATAGATTTCCCACACCAGGACAGCAGCTGGACTGAGAGGCTGTCTTCAGCAACAGCTCAAGGCAGATGTCCGTGCCATGGAACCTTCAAACCGTTGAAGGAAAAATGATGTAGCCTAGGATTTCTACTTAAGGAAATCCTCTTTTGAGAAAGCAAAATGAAGACACTTCAGAGTACAAACTGAGAACATATATTACCAACAATCTCTCCCGGAAAAGAACTGAAGAATATTCTTCAGGAATAAAGAAAATAATCTTCGAAGAATGAGATGGGTTGCAAGAAGACATGAACAGATAAATTGATTAACATGTATTTAATCTACACTGCCATCAAATGTTGAAATCAGTAACGGTATTGACTGATTTGTGGGAGGGTAGAACTTAAACGCTCCAGAACAGTTGTGTGAGGTGCATGTCTGGAGCCAAGCACTTAGGGCGTTTTTTTGCTCAGTAACAAGGGCAACTGAGGTTCCACCGGGTTAAATATGCATGCTGAAATGTCTATGGTGGCCACTAGAAGAATAGAAACAGACTATATAATTTCCAAATGAATAGAGGAAAAGACATAGATTGAAAGGAAAAAAGGGCTGGGCGTGGTGGGTCATGCCTGTAACCCCAGCACTTTGGGAGGCTGAGGGCAGGTGGATCACCTAAGGTCAGGAGTTCAAGACCACCCTGGCCAACATGGTGAAACCCCGTCTCTACTAAAAATACAAAAATTAGCCAAGCATGGTGGCAGGTGCCTGTAATCCCAGCTACTCAGGAGGCTGAGGCAGGAGAATTGCTTGAACCTGGGAGGTGGAGGTTGCAGTGACCGAGTTTGTACCACTGCACTGCATTCCAGCCTGGGCGACAGAGTGAGACTCTGTCACAAACAAAAAAAAAAAAAAAAAAAGAAAAGAAAAGAAAGGAAAAAAGAATGGATGTTGTAAAAGATACAAGAAATGCAGACATAGACATAGAGTGAAGAGTGCCCTCCCTGTCCCCTCTCAGTCCCCATTCACCTTCCCAGCGTGCTAGTCCTAGTCACAGGGAGCAAGTATCCTTCTCACCTACAATGCATTTAATTCGAACTGTATGAATTGTTCTGCCAGTTTCTTTTTTAAACTTAGCAGTGTGTCTTAGAAATCTTTCAATAGGGTTTATGTTATTGTGCCATTGTTTAGATAGACCAGAATTTATGTAACAATCCTTCTACTGACACACACTTCTGTTTTTATGCTTTTTGTTCCACCATTACACAAACAAGGCTGTGGTGAGTGACTTTGTACATGTGTATCTGTGTCCATATGTGACTGTTTCTGTAGGATGGGTTCTTGGAGCTAGAGTTGTTACATACAACTGTGGCAATTTAAACATTGCCAAACTGCTCTGCAAAAGACTCTACTGGCCGAGCACAGTGGCTCATGTCTGTAATCCCAGCACTTTGGGAGGCTGAGGTGAGAGGATTACTCGAGCCTGGGAGGCCAAGATTGGAGTGAGCTGTGATGGCACCATTGCACTCCAACCTAGGCAACAGAGTGAGACCCTGTCTCAATGATAACAACAACAACAAGACTCCATCAATGAAACTCCTGAGATTGAGGAGGCTCCTTTCTCCCACCTTCACTGACATTGGGTATGGCAAATCTGGTTTAGTTTTGTTTTCCTCATTGTTTCTGGATTTTTAATCTCTTAGGAAGAACTTCCTCATGTGGGACTACACAAATATCTCCGAATTTTTCTTTCTAAAATTTTTTATACTTTTTACTACATTTCACTTTTGAGATCATTAGAAGATTATTTTTAAGTTTCTAATATATTTTTTCCAAGTAGATAGCCAGTTTTCCCTACACCATTTTATTGAACAGTTCATATATATATATTTATATGTATATGTATGTGTGTATATATACACACATATATATTACATATCACATACATATCATATATGTAGATATACAGGAGGTTGCTTCAGGGTTTTCTAGTGAATTCCACAGATCTAAGACTCTTCCTGTAAAACATGAATTACTTCTCTCTTGAGGTTTTCTAGATTCACTTGTGAAATTATTAAATTATTTGTGTCTGATGCTCTTTAGGGATAAATCTCTGGTAACTTAAAAATTATATCATAAATTGCTTTCCAAAAATTATTTTGTTAACTCTTTTAATATAACCTGTTTTCTTTGTAATCATATATATATATATGCTTTATTAAGGTATAATTAACATACAATAAACTGTGCGTGTTTAAAATGTACGATTGATAGTTTTCACATTCATGGCATGGCACCATCGCCACAATCAAAATAATCAACATATTCATCACCCTCAAAAGTTTCCTTATGTCTCTCCATAATCTCTCTCTCCCGTCCTCTCGCTTTTCTCTCCCATCGCCAGGTAACCAATAATCTGCTTTCCATAACTATCAGTTACCTTGCATTTTCTAGAGTTTTATGTGGGTGGAAGAATACAGTATATACTCATTTCAGTCTGATTGATTCTTCTTTTAATCAGTGTAATTATTTTGAGATCCATTCATGTATCAGTAGTTAATTCCTTTTCATTGTAGATTCATATTCAGTTGCATGGATGTATCACAGTTAGTTTACCCCTTTACCTGAGGGACATTGGGTTTTTTTTTTATTGGGGAGCTGTTTCCAATAATGCTGCTATGAACATTTGCATATAAGTCTTTTTTAGGGACATATGCTATCTTTTCTCTCAGGCAAATAAGAATAGAATGGTTAGATCATGTAGTCGGTGTATGTTTAACTTTCTGAGAAACCACAACAGTTTTAAGTGGTGTACCATGTTACTTTCCCGACAGCGGCGTATGAGAGTTCCAGTTGCTCCACACTCTCAACAATCCTTAGCGTGGTCAGTCTTTTCAATTTGAGTGATTCCAATAGTGTGTAGTGGTATCTCATTGTGGGTTTCATTTTCATTTCCCTGAGACAAATGACACTGAACATCTTTTATTTGCCTACGCTTGTTTGCTATCCATTTATTTTCTTTAGTTATCTGTTCAAATCTTTCACCATTTAAAAAAAATTGGCTTTGTTTCATATTGGTGAGTTTTAAGAGTTCTTTATATATTTTGAATACAAGTGCTTTATCAGATATGCCTTTTGCAAATATTTTCTGCCAGCATGTGGCTTGTCTTTTTGTTCTCTTAATAGTGTTTTTCAAAGGGCAGAAGTTTTTAATTTTCATAAAACCCAACATATTATTTTTTTTCTTTTATGGATCATAAAAGGTCTTTTGGTTTTGTATCTAAGAAATGTCTTTCTAACCCAAAGCCACAAAGATTATCTTTTGTTTATTTTCTAGAATTTATATAGTTTTAGGTTTTACATTTAAGTTAATGGCTGATTTTTTTCCTTAATTTTTGCATATAGTGTAAGGTATGGGTCAAAATTCACTTTGTTGCATGTGGGTATCCAACTGTTCCAGGTCCCTTTATTGAAAAGACCATCATTCCTCCATGGAATGGCCTATGCTCCTTTTTGATGACCTTTTCAGGCCTTTTATTGATCATTGATCTAATCAGTTTTCTCTTTGTTTTAGGTCAATTTTGATAGTGCATATTTCTCAGAATATCATTCAGCAATCCCCAGCTATTGGAGTAAAAGACCCATGTTAACAAAGTTGTTTGCATGTATTTCAAAGATTGTTTCTCATATTAAGGTTCATTTACCAGTTTCTGGCTCAGCTTTTTCTGGGTAGACCCCCACTGATGTAATAGTGCCTTTTCCACAACAACTTTGTGCCAGTTTCCAGTGTCCCATCCCTCCATTCACTCTGTGTGAGTCTCTGCAGAAGGCATTCCATGCCCTTTTTGTCACTGGTTTTTTTTTTTTTTTTTTTTTTGAGACGATCTCACTCTGTTGCCCAGGCTGGAGTACAGTGACACCATCTCGGCTCATTGCAAACTCCACTTCCTGGGTTCAAGCAATTCTTGTGCCTTAGCCTCCCAAGAAACTGGGATTACAGGCATATGCCACCATGCCTAGCTAATTTTTGTATTTTTAGTGGAGACGGGGTTTCATCATGTTGGCCAGGCTGGTCTCAAACTCGTAGCCCCAAGCAATCCACCCGCCTCAGCATCCCAAAGTACTGGGAATACAGGCATGAGCCACTACGCCTGGCCCCCTTTCATCACTCTTAATAATCAGTCCTAAACTCAGGGCACACATTTGTCTGGTGTGCATAGGATAGTCCTGGTTTGCTCCTGTTGGCGAGAATACTTTTTAATAGCATCCTTTTTAGTTAAGTGTCCTAACTTTGGACAGTAAAATTCTTTCTCAGAAGGTCTTTCATTATCTGGCCTCTGCCTGCCTCTCCAGCATCATCTTGGGTTACTTTCCTAAGCAGTCCATTCCAGCCATACCAGCCTTCTTAACACACACAACTCTAAGTGCTATTTTATGTTTAGGAATGAGTAATACTTCCTATCTGATTTAAATGTATTTTATTATTACTTCAATAACCTTGATTTTCAATATTTATGAAAATTGTTCATACATGCTGCCTTTGAACTAGAAATTTCTTTTCTAGAAATGTACTTAAAGACATACTCCATCCTTTGTATGAGAGAAAAAAGTATGTATATTAAAGAATTGCATTATTTATCATAGACACATATAGTACACACTTAAATATTAGGGGAGGTTGGTTAAAGAAAAAGTAGTTAATTCATGTGATGGAGTACAACGTGGTGTTACAAAAAGTGAAAGGATGGGTAATAGGCACTGTAGAGGAGGCAAAATTTTACCTCTACCATCTTAAGGTTTTTCAGCTGGGCCTGAGAATTATATTGACATAAGACAGATTAACAGGAGCAAAGCATGCACATTTATGTAAGTTTTAAGTAATATGGGAACTCTTATAAGGAGAAGAAGACCCAAAAAAGTGGCAAAACCCAAATGTTTTTATACTAGGTCGAACAAAGAGAAGCAGTTGTGGAAAATTAAACTATGTAAGGAAGCTAAAGAAGATGAGAACTATCTTAACAAGGTGTGTTTGTCCAGAATTCTCTGAGTTCGTACTCCTCGTTAAAGAATGTTTCCTTTTTCCTGGTACAGGGAGGGTATCTTTCAAATGAGAGTTTAATCTCCTGTTTTCAGAAAGAAAAGGGGGAGACTAGGATTCCCTTCTTACATCTTTTGTTTTTCCAGTGCCTTTTACTCAATATAATACTTTTACCAAAGTTGCATATTTAGGGGTTACATATCCTGCCACCCTTAAGCACTGACATAAAAGGAGCTCAGAGAGATGTTATTAAGTGAAAAAAACTGAGCTACAGAAGAGTAGGTACTGCATGATTCTATTTGTGTAAAGAGGTTGGATGGATACAAATATATGTTGCCGATTATTATCCCAAAAGACAATCCCAAATGCTGTAACCCCAGATGCTGAAATCTTTAAAGATCAAAATTCCTGAAGTCTAAATCTCTGAAGTCTAAAATGCCCAATATCTAATTGAATCCCCATGCCATAATGACAGATTTGGAGTTAGGTTCAATAAAGGCTTCTAAAAGTGAATTTCAAGGTGTTACCGATAAAGTTGGTTTTTTCCGTTCAGCCCAATGCATTTGGCAGAAAATTCAGATCAGTAGATTGGCCACGAGATACAGCAACAATTGAAACTTCAGTTTAAAAATGTCTCCTTTATCTGCATTGGCATTCTTTCTAGCTGATGAAATTTCCAGGGCTTTTAATGAATTAGAGCCACATTTGCCTGAAGAAGCCATGGAAGTTACTGACTGGTTCAAAAATAATTATGTGTGTGGTAGGATAGGAAGGTACGCAAAAGTGTTGCTTCTGCCAAATTTGTGGTCTGTATATGAGTGCGTGGGGAATGGATTTCTCCTTACCCAAAACAACATAGAAGCATGGCAAAGGAGATGGGAACATTTAACAGGGATGCTCACATCAGTGTATATTGAATTATAAAAGAATTCCAAAAAGAGCAAGGCCAAGTAGGAAATGAATGTGAAATTGTCCTCTGAGGAGAACCAGGCCCTTAAAACAACAAAAAAAGCAGCTATTCCTCTTGATGAAAGACTTCAAAATATACTTAATGATTATGTAAGTTGGCCAGCTCTTAATCCCTGCGCTTTCCCATAATTAATCCCTGTAATACACATTTTCATGTATCAGAATTTCTTTTTAGTTGTTTTTGTTTAGTCACCACTATTTTAAATTGTCAGCATTATTATTATTATTATTTTTTTACAATTTGTTATGCTTCGTATTTCATATTTGCATCATTTTAAGACTGGAGGTATAAAGTATGTAAAGGCTTTTGGAGAGCTTTAATCTGCTTTATGCATTTTTTGCAAATTCGACTCCACGAAAGCCCATTATCACAACATTAGCTTTGTGTGTAACATTGTGTATGTACATAAAAATGTTCAAACTTCCTTAGTAAGTGAAGCGATGTCCTTTTTATACCTCTGTATTTTGGGTGTTTTGGTGACCCATGGAGGTTTTTGATCAATCTCATCAAAAAACTTGGGTTGTCTGTCACAATATTTCAGATGTATGCAGTTATATAAGCTATTTCTTTTGGAATATGGCTCAGCTGCTCGTAGCTGTTACACCCTTGCAAATGTTGTTAGTATATCTGAGTGTCTATACAGAAATATGTATGTTATTATTGCCTATTTTATTGTGTAAAGTGGCCTATGAAGTGTTCTGTCATGTTTTTATATGTTTCTCAAATCAATCCCCCTTTAAAAATGTAAATCAATGTCTTTTAAATAATTTTAAAAATTATTTTGTCCAGAAGTATATTTTTGGGATTTTTATCTTTTGGGATTATGGCCCAAACCCATATATATACATGCACGTGCTTGTGGATATGTGCGTGTGCACACGAAGGCACATGTGCTACCTGGTAGGATGTATAATATAGGGAGTTAGCAGGGGTGGAGAAGTAGGGTGTCTCTTCTTTTCATGTCAATTTTTAAACCATACACATATATTATTTTAATGTTAAAAACTAGTTTGGCATTTTTAACCATGGGTCGGCCACATTGCACAGGCATTTTCTCTGATGGTCACAGCATTCTTCCCCACTGGCTTGGACTCTGGACTTTACCCTATCCTTCTTTTTCTTTTTTTTTTTTTTTTTAATGGATTCTCACTCTGTTGCGCAGGCTGGAGTGAGTGGCATGATGTTGGCTCACTGCAGCCTCCACATCCTGGGTTTAAGCGATTCTCCTGCCTCAGCCTCCTGAGTAGCTGGAATTACTGGCATGCACCACCACGCTTGGCTAGTATTTTTGTATTTCTAGTAGAGATGGGGTTTCACCATGTTGGCCAGGCTGGTCTTGAATTCCTAACCTCAGGTGATCCACCCACCTCGGCTTCTCAAAATGCTGGGATTACAGGCTTGAGCCACTGCGTCTGTCCCTCCCCTATCCTTCTGAATGCCAAGTTTCACCCTTTGACTGGAGTTAGCCTTGCGGAAGAACTGAATTTGTTGCCATCTCACTTTTCTGTCCCTTTTTCTAGGTCCAGAATCATCTCCCAGAACTGCTGTTCAGCTCCAGCTGGTCTTTATTGAGCCCCTCTTGTGGACCAGGCTAATTTCCTGAAAACTGGTTTTTGCTAACGTTTCTTACGCTTGCTCGTGAAATCAGCCACTTAACTGTTCTGGGTTTTCCCGTGGCAGATCCCTATAGGCTTCTCACTGCACTATCCCAAACTTTTTATCTGAGAATGTTGTGTGGCAAGATGTCTGCAGAGTGCCGCTTAGGAGATGCTGGCCTGGCGTCCACGGGTCTGCTGTGTATGTCTCTCCAGGCAGATGGCCTGTCTCTGCCTGGCAAGGACGATCTGGGGTGGAAAAACTCTGATCTGAAAGTGAAATCATTGACTCCGTTACCATGTTCTGAATTCCCAGATCTCCCTGATATGGAAAGTGAAAATTGGCTTCTATTACACAATGCATCAAAATTCTTTTGTATAGGACCAGACCACTGATATCAAGGGCAGTGCACTGACTTTCAGTTCCTCTGCATCCCTTGGTCATGTTCCCACCTTTCAATGGGAACAGAGAATAAAAATTCCAGCTCTAGGGCCCAGCCTAGTGGCCACCTCTCACGGACAGGCACCCGGCTGCTCAGTGTTATCCAATTACTAGAGGCCATTCCTAGCATTTCAACTTGGGGAATTAATTTACTATTACTTTATTTTTATCTTTAGAGACAGAGTCTTGCTCTGTCACCCAGACTAGAGTGTAGTGGCATGATCATAGCTCACTGCAGCCTTGAACTCCTGAGCTCAGGCAATCCTCCTGCCACAGCCACCTGAGTAGCTGGAACTATAGGCATGTGCCATCATGCCCAACTAATTTTATTTTTATTTCAGTTGTAGAGATGGAGCCTTACCCTGTTGCCCAGGCTGGTCTCTGACTCCTGGTCTCTAGTGATCCTCCTGCCTTGGCCTCCCAAAGTGCTAGGATTATAGGTGTGAGCCAACATGCTGTCCCCATTATTGACTGTTACCCTAAAGTGTGTGTTGCCTTTCTAGTTTGAGTAGAAAGTCCAGCATTATCTTTTTGGATAATATCCAGGTTTTGCTGTTTCTTTCTTTATTTTTCATAATGAGAACATTTGCTCTCTTGCTGACATTGGAGGGCGTCTGTTTACCTCTCCTGTAGGCACACAAAATTCCCAACGTTTATTTGAAGAAAAAGACAATTATTTGAGTAATTTGAATAAATAAACATTTTAAGTGATTCCCAAAAGACTTTCTCTGCTGATAAATATTTAGTGTAGTTTTAATGATTAGTCTCCATTTGTTTTCTTTCTTTTGTAGCTGGGGCTTCTATAGTCAATACAATCTCAGGCATTTGCTTTCTTTTAGAGTAAATGGCTCAAGGAAGACCCAAACCCAACCCCTATCACCCTGGGCACTGCTCAGTGGGTCGTATACCATCACGAAATTACCCCAGTATGGAACTGGAAGGGACGGGAAGTGTTTAGGATCAAGTTCCAACATGACCTAGGCTTGTCCTGGGACTTCATGCAAATGATTTGGCTTTACTGGGACTTGGTTTCTGCTATAATAGAAATTTGGGTTTACTAATACCTCCCTCAAAGGATTATTTACTGCTGTACCCCGTGGATGCACCCAGCAGAGGCCCCACATGTGGCAGATAGAGTGTTGCTCCATAAATCCTCATTTCCTTTCTTTATCTCAGGTACACTTAAACACAACACTCCATGATAACCAGAATCTTCTTCACTCCTCCCTTCCTATATCCCAAGAAAAAGTCAATGGACCCTGACTAATAGGGCCCATATTCTCATAGGATACTGCACGAATGTCCTTCTGATTTATTTTGCCCCATTTGTCTTGACAGTAGTGCTAGAGGTTGGTGGCATGGATTTCAATCTGTGTGAGTCTTAAATCCTTCTACTTTCCCATTACTTGGGCTGGTGATTATCTAAAGTCATGGCTACGCCTGGAGGACAGGGAGGAAAAGCAAAGATCTCATTTGAACTTAAGGTACTTTTGTGGTTTGCTTAGGAGGAGGAAATTGCAGATTCAAATTATAATGGAACTTGAAAGAAGTTTTTAGTGTCTGGGGTAAAACTGTGACAGAAGGTGCCATTTAAAACTTATGAATAATGTACAAGCAAAAGAAAATTCATAGTTAGGAGAGCAAACCTGTCTGTCTAAAGAGAATTGCAGGAAAAACCAAAGACGCCAGACCAGTAGCTTTTGTTCAAGAAATTAGTTTAATAACACAGCCAAATTTAGAATACCTTCTGCATGGAGTGTTCCTGAAGTGAGTTTTGTCTTGCATTTCAGAAGTCTTCTACTTTATCATCAAAATGAACATCCGAGGACATTTTAATTGCTATTTTGCACTCAACTGTATAGAACCTACTAGCACTCTGTGCATTTACCACACGAGTGCACAAAGTGCCACATGGATGTCTAAACACCTATGATGAGATGCAGGCAGTGCCTCATCAGTAGCAGCAAGTGGAAATTCAAGAGCCCATGGTGAAGTAAAATTAACCACCCCAACTAATTTTTTTTAAAACAACAGCTTTATTGATATATCATCCACATTGTGTAAAATTGTTTCATTTAAGGTATGCCATATGATGGCTTTTAGTGTCTTCAATGTGTTGTGCAGCCATCACCACAATCTAATTTTACATTTCTATCAACCCTTGAAAGAAACCCTGTATTCTTTAGTAGTCACTCCCAATTACCCCTCCCTGCAGCCTTAGACAAGAACAAATCCACTTTCTGTCTCTATAGATTTACCTATTCTGGCCATTTCATTTTAATAAAATCATATAATAGGTGGTCTTTTGGAACTGATGTCATTCACTTGGCCTACAGTTTTCCAGATTCAAGTGTGTCACAGCATGTATTGGAATTTCATTTCTTTTTATATTCCAAATAGTATTCCTTTGTATACCTATACCACATTTTATTAACCCATTCATCAACTGATGGACATTGGGTTGCTTCCACTTTTTGGCTAGTGTGAATATGCTCCTATCAACAGTCATGCATGTTTTTATTTCTCTACCTTGTAATGGAATTGCTATGTCAAATGGTAACTCTATGTTTAACATTTTGAGGAACTACCAAATATTTTTTCAGTGTAGCTGCACCATTATATATTCTCACCAAGCAGTATGTATTTCAATTTCTCCACATACTAGCCATACTTGCTATTATCTGCCTTTTATAACCATTCTAATGGATGTGCAGTAGTATCTGATTAGGATTTTGATTTACATTTGCCTAATGACTAATTATATTGAACATCTTTTTATGTGCTTATTAGCCATTTGTATACCTTCTCTGGAGAAAGGTCTGTTCAGATTCTTTATCCATGTTTAAAATTTTGTTATTGATCTTTTTATTAGTGAGTTGGATGAGTTCTTTATATATTCCAGATATCATTCCATGATGAGAGATATGATTTGCAAATATCTTCTCCCATTCTGTAGATTGTCTTTTCACTTTCTTGATGATTTTCTTTAACTTTCTTGATGACGACATCCTTGGAAGCACAGAAGTTTTTAATTTTAATGAAGTCCAGCTTATCTTTGCTTTTGGTATCATACCTAAGGAACCATTGCCTAATCCAAGGTCATGAGGATTTGCTGCTATGCTATCTTCTAAGAGTGTTATAGTTTTAACTCCTGCATTAGGTCTGTGATCCATTTTGAGTTAATTTTGTGTATGGTGTGAGGAAGGGCTCAAACTTCTTTCTTTTTCATGTGAATATCCAGTTATTTCAGTACTATTCATTGAAAAGACTATTCTTTCACCATTTGTTTATCTTGGCACTCTTGAGGAAAAATCAATGGAAATAAATATAAGGATATATTTCTAGACTCTCAATTCTATTCCATTGATCTATATGTCTATCCTATGCCAGTATCACCTTTTCTCAATTACTGTAGCTGTGTATCAAGTTTTCCAATTGAGAAGTGTGAGTCTTTCAACATTATTCTTTTTTTTCAAGATTGCTCTGGCTCTCCTGGGCCCCTTCTAATTCCCATGTGAATTTCGGTACATCTTGTTGATATCTGAAAAATGAGGAAACTTGGATTCTGATGGAGATTACATTGAACTTGCAGCTCAGTTTGGGAAGTATTGCCATTTTCATAAAATGTCTTTCCATTTATTTAGACCTTCTTTAATTTCTTTCAACTTTTTTTTTGTTTTCAGTACACAAGTGTTATATTTCTTTTGTTAATTTGTTCTGAGTCTTTTACTTAGCAGCTATTATAAATGGAATTGCTTTTTAATTTTTGGATTGTTCATTATTAGTATATAGAAATACAATTAATTTTTGTATATTTATCTTGTATCCTACAACCTTGCTGAACTTGTTTTTTAATTCTAACTGATTTCAGTGGATTCCTTTGGATTTTCTATATACAAGATCATGTTATCTGCAAGTAGAGATAGAGTTACTTCTTTTCAAATAGAAATAGCTTTCTGGATACCTAAAGGATAATTATACACTCTTCCTCATTATAGTTATAAGTATTTAAAAAGTCTATCTTGTACAATATTAATATATTCACCTCATCTCTTATGGTTGCTATTTATAGATCTTTTTTTCCATCATTTTACTTTCAACTTATTTGTATCTTTGAATCTAAAATATGTCTTTTATCTAGAGAATTAGGTGAAACTTGTTTTTAAAATCTAGTATGACAATACCTGCCTTTCTATTTGATGCTTAATTCACCTACCCAGAGAAGACCTTTTGTCACACTGAGCTATTGGGGTAAGGTGGGGAGTGTAATATAAGTGGATTGTGGCTCAAATACTACAGACTCTCATTGTTTTTACTGAAATTTAGATCTTCCTCCATTTGCTGTATGCCTTAGAGCAGTTTCCAGAGACTTTAAATGTTTTAGAAATCAATTTCAGCAATTAAATGGAAAGTGCTTTGGTATCAGTACCATCTTATACAGGTCAGCAAAAGCAGTGGAACTAGGCATGAAATTGGGTTTTGTTTTTGAGCAAAGTTCAGAAGTGAGCTGCTATGTCAGGTCCAGTCCATGACAGGGGTGGTACAAGGACCTTGGCCTCCTGACTCTTGGCAGGTTCTCTGTGGTCCAGCTTCCACTTGCCTCCCGAAGCCTTTTTGAAATGCATTCACTCAGGCTGTCATCTTGTGTTGCATTCTTTGACATTCCATGATTTGGATAATTTCTAGTATCCAAAGATCTTACACAAAAACTCAGATGACCTTGTGGAAGTTTATTCCCAGGCCATATCTCTGCAAATCAGATAAATTGCTTTTGTCACAGGCATAATACATTGTTAATTTTGGAAATGCTTTTTGTAAAAATAACAAGAGTCAGGTTATTTTCTTTTTAATTTTCAATTATGTGCAAGGATACATCAATACCAAGAAATGAAATGGGCTTATCATAACCCAGATGATGGTGCTGACCTTTGGGATGGAGCCAGGTAATAGATTAGGCAGACAACAGATGGTGGTGAAATCTGGGTGGCAAAGGAAGAACGCCCTGAAATGAAGTCCTGGGAAACCTGCAGCTGTATTAGGTACCATGCAGATTAATCTGTGGCTGAGGGGTAGCAAACCAGTCAGGGGTCTGTTGGCTGGCTCCAGCTGAGGGGATTTCTCATTGCTGTGCTCTGGGCCTTGATGACAGATGTGTTCATCCAACACCTGACATCCAGATGTTGGACATAAATGGCGCTCAACCACTGGGTCACCAGAAAGTTTTCAATGGAGGATGAAGTGTTTAGTTTTTGCTCGGAGGGGTGGTTATTATAATAGACCCACCCCAGGATTTTTTTTCTCTTAGGAAAATATTCCTGTGCACTGAAGACACATATTCTGTTGCCAGCAAAACAGTAAAGTTTGCTTTTACTTATTTTTTCAATTGTAAAATCAAAGATGAAAAAGGGATGCCTGAAAAAAGCTATATCCAGGGAGGCTCAGGACTTGTATTAACTTCCTGGCAGATTAGAAAATAAAGTGGGAGAGAGGTTAAAGCAAGGACTTGTCTGTCAAGTCAGTTGGAAGGAGGAAGATCAAGGGAATTGTCTGGGAAGAGGGAATGGCTATTTTAAGCAGGTATAAACAGGAGCCTGTTCACCTTCATAGATCTTTCTTGGATCAGCCTAGTGGCACTTGCTGCAGTTAACTATGTTGGTAGATTTTTTCCCATATCCCACTGGGGTAGACCTACATCTCTCACCTCTGCTCATCTTTAAAAGTTAAAACAAACCACAGAGTAACATAGGCAAAGTACAATAAGTGACCCAACATTTCATACAGTTAAAAAATGCTTCTAATAGGAAAAAATCCCAAAGCAAAAGTATTAGGTTAAATTGTTTATATAAAAATTAAAAGTGTACATATTTCAAAAGCAAAGCTAAAACTATGTCACAGTAGAGACATCCAAACAAATATGACTACCAATGGTTTAATTTTTTTAATATATAAAGAGCTTCTATAAATAAGTAAGAAAAATGCTAATACCACAGTATATAAAAGGGCAAGCTATGGACGATTTGAAGAAGACATATACATAGCTAATAATTAATATGCATATAAGATAGAAAAATTATTAATAATCAAAAAAAGGCAAATTAAAATGAGATAATATTTTACTTTGTTGAATTAGCAAAGTCATTTGAAAGGAAAAATACTCAGCTTTGGTAGGAATGTATTAAGATAGGCAAGTTATACACTGGGAGAAGGAATAAAAATTGATATAATCTTTCTGGAGAGTGAGTTGGTGATGTGTGTCAAGGGCTTTAAAAAAAGTTTGCATGTTTTGATACAGTAATAGTTTTCTATAAATTTACCCTAAGGAAATAATCATGAAAATTATGCCTTCAAGTATAGTTAATGACAAGAGGAATTGCATACAACGGAATATTAGGTAAATAGAAAAGCAGGATATATACCTCTTCATGATATAGCCCTAATTGAATATGTTAATATATGTTGAAGATATTCATTATCCCTTGATTGTAGCATATATACCTGTCTGTTTTTTTATTTTGACATTGAGATGTCTGTAATTGTGCACACATTTACCATGTAATATTTTCTTATTCCTCATAGATTATTATTAAATTAGTAGTACATCTTTGAGAGATATTTTTTAAAGGGAGAAAATATGACATATGTGTTACGTATTAACATCTGTGCATGGCCTCTCTTTCTCTCTCTTTGTCTCTGTTGTTTATCGCTCTTTATATGGAAGCTAAATAAATTTAACATTATCAGTCAATTTTCACACTTCTGCCAGGTGAACTTTCTAAAAGTCGTATCTAAATATGTCATATTTGAAACCTGCAATAGAACTTACTTCCAGGAAAATGTAGTGGGTATACTTTTCTCTATTCCTCCCACAACAACTAAAAAGCCTGGACATCATAAATAGAACAGATCTAAGAAGACTTTGAAAGGTGGAGACAAGAATGATGCAATAGAGAGCTCTCTGGTTTTCTTTTTGTCTTATTTTTCCTAGACAAGGTACTGGTGAAGCTGACCACCCAGAATCACCAGTAGGAACAGACCAAAAAAAAAAAAAAGCCCAAATGAGCCTGCTTTCTCTAGCCAGAGGACCAGAAATGGGACACCCACCAAGACAGAAAACTTTTAGCCAAATGTTCTACTTCAGTCAAACACCACCAAAAAAACTGGTGTCCCACCCCATCCATGCCAACAAAAGCTGAGTGGGGAGTATAGACTTCTGCCCTCCCCAGGCTGTAATGAGGTTCCGTAACTCCATTATCAGGGTGGTGTCAAATAAAAGCCAAACAGGGATCTGGGACTGGTATCCCTGCCCTGCTAGGAAGTAACAGGCCCTAGCACCTGTGGCTTCAGGAGAGACCATGTGGGGATCCTGGACACCTACCTCAACCTAGACAACTCCTGCCACCTCCTGCAGTGGTGGTGTTACAGGAGGCCAACTAGAGTTAGAACTGTCACTGCTCTTCAGCAATTATGACACTACACCCACTGCTGTGCCAGTAAAGACTATATGGGGAGCCAGAACTCCTGCCCCTCCCTAGCAGTAATGAGGAGCCCAGCACCATCACTTGGGTAATAGAGAACAAGTGGGGAACCTGGACTTCTACCTCTGCCTGTCAGTAATGACTCCTTTCCCTGCCACAATACAGTCAGACCAGATGCTTAAATAAGATCTAGAGTCTCACAATATAACATGAAAATATACAGTTTCAAATGAAAATCACTCACTATATCAAGAATCAGGTATATCTCAAACTGAATGAGTAAAGAAAATCAATAGGTGCTAACACCAAAATAACAGAGATGTTAGAGTAACCTGAAAAATATTTTAAAGCAGCCATCATAAAAATGTTTCAAAAAGAGAAATGACAAACATGCTGAAACATGAAAAAATCTCAGCAGAAAATATAAAGTCTAAGCAAACAAATAGAAGATATAAAGCAGAACCAAGTGAAAATTTTCAAATGGAAAAATATATTAACCTAAAGGAAAAACTAATTGGATGGTCTCAACAGAAAAATAAAGAGGACAGAGGAAAGAATCAGTAAACTAGAAGATAGAACTATAGAAATTACCAAATCTAAACAGAATATAGCCTGGAAAAAAAGGAAATAAAGAAAAAGTCTCAGGAACTTGTGGAACTTTAACAAAAGATCTAACATTTGTGTCTTTCAAGTCTCAGAAAAAAGAATGAAATAGGAGGGCTGAAAAAGTGCTCAAAGAAATAATGGCTGACTTCCCAAATTTGACAAAAGACATATCTATCGATGAAAGAAGCTAAGCAAACCTCAAACAGGATAACCCAGAGCAATTCACACCAACAGCCATCATAGTGAAACATCCAAAAACTAAAGACAAAGAAAAAATCTTGAAAACAATAGAGAGAGAGAGAGAGAGAAACAATTGGAATCATAGCAAATTTTACATCAAAAACCATGGAGGCCAGAAAAAAAGTGGCATGACATTTTTCAGGCACTGAAAGAACTATCGAGCCAGAATTCTATATCCAGTAAAAATGTCATTCAGGAATGAAAAGGAAATCAAGGCACTTTCAGATGAAGGGAAACTAAAAGAATCCTAAAAGAATTGCTAAGGAAATTTTTCTAAACAGAAAGGAAACAATAAAAGAAAGAACCTTGGAACCACAAAATTCTATAGTAAGCAAAACAAACAAAAAACACACAAATACAATAGACTTTCCATCTCCTCTTGAGTTCTCTAAATTATGTTTGGCAGTAAGCAAAAGTTAATACACTGCCTGATGTGGTTCTAAATTAATAGAAGAAATATTTAAGACAATTATACACAGGGGAAAGAAACGAGATATAAAAGAGTTAAGTTTTCTGTACTTGGTTTGAACTGGTAAAATTCTGCCCCAAGTAGGCTGTAATGAGTTATGTATATAACATTGTAATAGTTAGAGCAACCAGGAAAAAAACCTATACAAAGAGATATACTCACAAACACTATAGGTGCATCAAAATGGAATTTTAGAAAATATTCAAGTAACCTAAAGAAAGGCAAGAAAAATAAAACAGAAATGAAAAACAGAGAAAACATTTTAAAAAGTCGGACTTAAGCCCTAACATATCAATAATTACATTAAATGTAAATGGTCAAATAATTCAGTTAAAAAATAGAGCTTGACAAAGTGTATTTAAAAACGTAACTGAACTCTATGCTGTCTATAAGAAACTCACTTCAAATGTAACAATATAGGCAGGTTAAATGTCAAAGAATGAAAAAAGACATATCGTGCAAAGATTTGCCAAAAAAAGAAGGAGTGGCTACTTAAATTTCATATAAAGTAGACTTTGGGGAAAAGTAAATTTTCAGAGATAATAAAAGGACTTTCAGTAATGATTAAAAGGGTCAATCCATCAAGAAGATACAGTAATCTTAAATGTCTATGTAAAACACAGCACAGCCTGCAAAATACGTGAAGTGAAAACTAACAGAACTGAAAGGACTATAGACCAATCTACAGTTGTAGTAGGAGACTTCAACAGTCCTTTCTCAACAATTGATGGAACTAGGCAGAAAGTCAGCATGAATATAGAAAAACTCAACAATACTATCAGCCAATAGGATCTAATTGACATTTATAGAACACTTCGTCCACCAAAAGTAGAGTACACCTTCTTTTAAAGTGCTTACCTAACATTACCAAGATACACCATATCTTATCCAGAAAAAAAAAACTGCAACAAATTTTTAAAAATTGAAGTCATACAGAGTGAGTTCTCTGACCATGATGTATTCAAACTAGAACTTTGTAACAAAGATAACAGGAAAACTCGCCATCACTTCCTAAATAAACAACACAATTCTAAATAACTAATAGTAAAAAGAGGAACTCTCAGGAAAATTTTTAAAAAATATGTTGAACTAGATGGAACTGAAAATATATATCAAAAATTGTAGGGCACAGCTAAAGCAGTGCTGAGAGGAAAATTTTGTAACACTAAATGTGCTAAATGCATATATTAGAAATGAGGAAAAGTCTCAAATCAATATCTAAGCTCTCACTTAAAGAATGGTCTTTTTAGTCCATTTTGTGCTGTTATAACAATACCACAGAAATTTATTTCTTATAGTTCTGGAGACTGGGAAGTCCAGGATCAAGGCCCTGGCATCTTTTAAGGGCCCTCCTGCTATGTCCTCTAAAGAACAAGAATGCTGAGTCCTCACATGGCAGAAGGCAGAAGAGCAAGAGAGGTCAAAATAGAGTGCACTCCTCTCATCAATCCCTTTACAACAGCATTAGCCTATTATGAGGGCCGAGCCCTTATGACCTAAACACCTCTCGTTAGGCCTCACCTCCCAACACTGTTGCATTGGGGATTACATTTCCAACACATGAATTTTGGGGGTACATATTCAAACTATAGCAAGAACCTAGAAAAAGAAGAACAAAATACGTGGAAAGGAAGCAAAAAGAATAAAGTAATAAAGACAAGCGCAGAAATCAATGAAATGGAAAACAGAACAATAGAGAATATCAGTGAACAAAGAAATGGTCCTTTGAAAAGATTAATAAAATTGACAAACGTTTTGACAGTGAGACTGTCAAAGAAAAAAGAGACTACACAAATTACTAACATCAGGAATGATACAGGGGATATTATTGTAGACACTGAGAACATCAAAAGAATAATAAGAGAATACTAGGAACAACTCTGTAAACATAAAATTGAAAACTTAGAGTAAAGAATAAATTCGTTAAAAAACCCACAAAATATCACAACTCCCCCAATGTGTAAGATAATTTGAATAACCTTTTAACTGCTAAGGAAATTGAACTCATGATTTTAAAACTCCTAAGAAAATCTCCAGGCCAGATGTTTTCACTGGAAAATCCTGAATGTTTCCAGAAGAATTATTAATAGCAACAGTCTATACAACTCTTTTAGAAAACAGAAGCAGAAAGAACACTTTCCAAGTCATTTTTTTTGAAAGTTAGCCATATACTGATCCCGGAACCAAATAAAGAAAATATAATAAAAGGAGAATGCAGGACAATATTCTTCATGAATATAGATACAAAAAATTTTAGCAAAATATTAGGAAATGGAATTTAGCAATATAAAAAAACTATATATCACAGCCAAGTGTGATTTATTCCAGAGATGGAATGCTGGTTTAATATTTAAAAACCAGTCAATTTGATCTACCATATTAACATGCTAAAGAAGAAAAATCTCATAATCATTTTAATGGATACAGAAAAAAGTGTTTGAAAAATTCAGTATACATTCATGTGAAAACACTCATTCAAGGAAGACTAAAGAGGAACATCCTCAACTGAATAAAGAGCACCTACGAAAATTGTACAGCCAACATTACACGTTATGGTAAAGGACTGAATTATTTCCCTTTAAAATCAGGAGTAAGGCAACGATGTCTGCTCTTGCTACTGCTATTCAGTGTAGTGCTGGAAGTTGTAGCCAGTGCAATAGGCAAGAAAAGGAAATGAAAAGCATATAGATTGGAAAAGGAGTAATAAAACTGTTTCTATATTCAGATGACATGCTTATTTATGTAGAAAACCCCAAGATATCTACAAAAAAATCCTAGAACTAAGAGATGAATTCAGCAAAGTCATAGGGTGCAAAAATAAACATGCAAAAATCAATTATATTTGTATATACCGGTGATGAACATAAGGGTATCAGAATTAAAAATATAATATAATTTATAATTGCTCAAAAAGTTGAGAACTTAGGTGAAAATTTAATAAAAGCATGTGTAAGACTCCTGAGAACAACACAACACTGATGAAAGAAATCAAAGATCTAAATAAATGGAGAGACATACCATGTTTATGGATTGAAAGATTCTGCTGTTGTTTTAAGAGCCTATGGGCACCCTTTACCTTTGAGACTGTGGATTGAGAGGGGAAGTGGAGGCTTCAGCTCTTAAGCTGCTCGGGCAATTTCCATTGCCAAGAGCAGTCTAAGGTCAACTTGGAGCATTAAGAAATGGATGCACACTCTGAAGTGCATTTGATTACCTATTGACTCATGATGTTCAACCTCAGTGACGGGAACCTGGAGAATGTTGGGGTTCTGCATTTATCTCCTTGCTCACACATGGTGGTCAGACTTGCTACCTCCAAGATGACAGCAGGTTCTGGATGGCTTTTGGGGCAGACAGGATGGACAGAGACTCTGCATCTGCCATGAAATGGAAGGGAAAGAGGAGAGAAGGCCTGGATCCAGAGAGGATTGGCCCTCTTTCTTCCTTACTTTTATGGCCAAGGTGCTGGGGCTTCTGCAAGATCTCTGCAGTGGTGCTGATGACGGAAGGTGTTTCTTCATGCAATTTTTTAAAATATGAAATTAATACAACAGTGAAATAATTAGCTCACCCCAGGCAGCCTCAGCTATAATTTATGGCTCCATGTCTCCCATTTTAACTTTGTTTTGCATTCATTAGTATACAATTTTAAAAAAAATCTCAAGGAATCACAGTTCTGACGACTAACATTAACCACTCTGTCACTCACAGATATTGCTAAGGCTATCATTCTGAAAAGTAAATTAATTTCCCTTGGGTGAGAACTGTCTGAAAAACATTCAGGCTCCTCTCTAGGGTCGGCTGATTGACTCTGGAAAGAACTCGCGGCTTCTATGGCAACGCATTGTGCTAGGAGGCCCTGTCCACACCACTTTCCTAGGTTTTTGTTTTGTCCACCCTGTCTCTACATGGAATTTGGGAAGAAGAAAATTGGCTGGTGTTTTGGGGAACATAAAAGGTGCAGGTGCTGTTAGAAAGCTTTTCAACACACACACACATACACACACACACACACACACACACACACACACACACACACACACTTCTTCTAAAAAAGTCAGTGGACTTAGCTTGTTTTCTTCCCTCTCAGCAATCTCATTATCTTTAATTTAAGGTCGAGTAGAAGAGACTTTAACCCTGAAGCTCTTTTTACAACAGTTTTAGTGATGCAGAGTAAGTTAGTGCTTTGTTTGGGAAAAAGAAACAAAAAGAGTGCTTTTTGGGGAAAATTTAAAATGGCTTTCCTAGATCAAGGATGAGCAGCATCGCAGGTAATTTTAGAGACTCCAGAGTTAATGGTAATGACTCTAATGATGAAGCCTTCTATGCCTTGAACACCTGCTACATGTCAGGCATCACTTAGTCCTCATGCTCATTATCAGCCCCAGTTAATGGTTGAGGAACCTGAGGCTCAGAGGGTTTCTGTTACTTGCCCAAGATAACACACTGGCAGGTGTTAGAGTCTGTGTGCAAACCAGGTGTGTCTGATCCAAAGCCTGAATTTCTAACCATTCTATCTTGTGCTGGTGATGCAGGTGGGGATATGATGTTGACTTGGTCCCAGGATGGTCTCCTACAGGCAGCATGAGTCACTAGAGAGGACAAGAACAGACTCAGTACAAAGGCAGCCAGGTTCCTTGGTGTTTATTTTAAGTAGGTTTGAACCATAGCGTGATGGGTTAGACCCACTTTTGTTTGTGTAATTGAACCCTCAAACAAAGAATCTGAAATTGGCCAATATCAGATCCAGGGTGACCCTACTGGTCCTTGTCAGTCAGGGTTATAACACTGGCTAGAAATGACCCACTCAATGGAAATACAGAGCCAGGGCTGCAGGTTTATCCTGGGTGGTGTTGTCTCCTATCTGAGGGGCTTCTGTGGTCTCCACGGGGGTCATCCCTCAGCTTGTGGGAGGAGGCAGCCTGATCCTAATCCTGTACGGATCTGCAGCCTGCTCCATTCAGCATTGCTTTTGCAGTGTTAATAGATGGGGTAGACAGTCTTTGCAGTCTCCAGCAGCAGAGTGTCAGCCCCTGCTGGATACTTGGCCACAACTTTAAATCCATGGCACTTGTTGGGGAGGGTGTTTATGTTCCCCAGGTTTTTGATCTGGCATGAACTTTGAGAAAGGAAAAGAATAATTGGCAAGGGCTTTTTCTCTGAAGAGCTACACTCTCTGGCCAAGGAAATCTGAGCTTTAGTGTCTGTGTTTGCAGGTTTGGGGGTGCTCTCACTGCTCTGTATGTAGACTATGTGACATTGACACCAGAGCCACAGACTCTCATCTCTTTCCATATCTGAAATATTCCCGTGTTTAAAAATTGCCATTGTCATTGAACTCTTCACCACCATTGAGAATCATGTATTCTATTCTGGGGTGGTTGGATTGATAGACTGTTGAGGGTTGGGAGGAAAAGAGGTGATGAGAAGGTGGAAAAGTTATTTGTTGAGTTTTCTCAAGGATCTGAAGGGCACTTTGAGAACTCTTTCCTGGGGCCATTTTGTGTATTTAATCACAGTCAAGTCTACTATCAAAGAAGCATATATCTCTACGCCACACACACACACACACACACACACACACACATATACACTCACTTACACACACACAGGCTTCTTCCATCTCCTCTACAGATGGATTGAAAGTTGCCCATTGGGTGGTGTGTGGTGGCTCACACCTGTAATCCTAGCACTTTTGGAGGCCGAGGTGGGTGGATCACTTGAAACCAGGAGTTCAAGACCAGCCTAGCTAATATGGTGAAACCCCATCTCTACTAAAAATACAAAAAATTAGGCAGGTGTGGTGGCATGCACCTGTAATCCCAGTTACTCAAGAGGCTGAGGGAGGAGAATTGCTTGAACCCGGGAGGCAGAGGTTGCAGTGAGCCAAGATTGTGCCATTGTGCCACTGCACTCCAGCCTGGATGACAGAGTACGATTCTGTCAAAAAAAAAAAGAAAAATGGAAAAAGAAAAAATTGCCCATGGGAATGACAGGTAAAACACAGAGGATGTT
Organism: Homo sapiens; assembly: GCF_000001405.40. NCBI lineage: Eukaryota > Metazoa > Chordata > Mammalia > Primates > Hominidae > Homo > Homo sapiens. Next base: position 110,902,103 of record NC_000002.12, read on the forward strand.
ATATGTTAAGCTGATGTTTCAGTGTAGGATTGCTCAGGCCCAAAGGGCAAACCATTACATGTTCAACTTAAAAAAACAAAAAACAGGGCTGGGCACAGTGGCTACACCTGTAATCCCACCACTTTGGGAGGCCCAGGTGGGCAGATCACTTGAAGCCAGGAGTTTGAGACCAGCCTGGACAACGTGATGAAACCCAGTCTCTACTAAAATTACAAAAATTAGTCAGGCGTGGTGGTGCAGGCCTGTAGTCCCAACTGCTCGAGAGGCTGAGGCAGGAGAATCTCTTGAACCCAGGAGATGGAGGTTGCCATGTGCTGAGATTGTACCACTATACTCCAGCCTGGGCAACAGAGTGAGACTCTGCCTCAAAAGCAAACAAACAAAAAAGGAAGAACAAGAAACAAAACAAAAAAGCAGCAGGAATTGTGTGCAGCGAGGTCCCTTCCATGATCCCAAGGTGGAGGGTGGGATCACCTGGTGTTGGAGGTGGTGAGGCTTAGGGCTGAAGATCAGGGTGTCTGACTCTCACACATTCTTACTGATAATAAGAAGCCAGATGTTTACATCCTGGCTGGCCAGCTGGGCCAAATCTTCCAAGTTCAACTGGTGGCATTAAAAATATCCTACTTTGTAAAATATTTGCCCTCTGAGTTTGTATGTCTAGGAGTGCCCCAGAGAAGGGGGAGAAACAGGACAGATGGGCTGTGGACTCTGTGAGAGGTTGGAGGGTTTCTGTGGGAGCCACTGGGAATGGGGTGCAGTGGTCCAGCTGCCAGGCACTTACAAGCTCTCTTGAATCCTGCCTGTGGTCAGGTTATTAATGAAGGAAGGTGGCCACAAAGGAAGGTGGCCTGAGCCCAGGAAGGAACTGAGCTTTTATCTACAGAGGTCAGCACCTTGACGGTGGAGGAGGTTTTGTTCCTCCTTCTTCTGGTTGCAGGGATACCTGCAAACAAGTTTGCACCCTAAGAAGTCTCAGAGTCCAGGGTGAGGCTTAGCCCCAAAGCTCCTCTCCTTTGAAGTTGACTGGTTGCAATGGTACTGCAGAGCAGGAAACATGGGAAGTAATTATCTTTTTAGTAGGTCACTGGCCTCCTTTGGGAGAAGAGACCAGAGGGAGAGGGGAGAAGGCGAATGGCGCGGCCCCCCCAGAGGCTGCGCCTGCAGTAGCTGCCTTGGTGATTAATAGCCATGTCACATCCGACGAATATTGCCTTAAGCAGCCGCGTTCAAAATTGAGTGGGAATGAAATAAAACAACCCAAAATAAATGTTTCCTCTATTCCTTAGGAGTTGCTGGAATCTAGAAATAGCTTTTCAAATCTATAATTTTAAATGGCATCATTCACAGCACTCTGCGAGCCCGGCTTTATTCTCACATGGATATCGCTGTGCGCACAAGCACCACTTTTTGATTTTAAAGACCATGAAAAATTTGAGCTAAGTGACTTTTTTTTGGTATTGAAATAAAAATTATATTTACAGAGAGAAATATAGCCTTTGTATGTGTTTTTAAAGGAAAATAGTAACCCAGTGGAGGAAAAGGATGGGAAGAATATTGTGTCCACATAGATCATAAACTGGAACAATAAAAATGTCTGGCAGGCGGTAATTGCTGGCCAGCTGCAGGGATTACAGCCCTGTGAGCTGTGTTCAGGGCCCTGTGCCAGGATGCTGGCAACCAGAGTCCAGGCCTGGACTGTCATGGCCCTTGGTGAGGCCAATGGGGCCTGAGAGCATAAATAAGAGGGTGACCACAGCATGGCAGGGCAGGGTCTCTCACGGGCCAGGCCCTCTGGGGACCCTAAGTCTTGAGGCCCTCGGTCTCTGCTACCTCTGCTGTTGCCAGGCTGCCTGCATGGGGCTGATGGTGGCAGTCACAGGGCTGACCTCTTGCTGCATCTTTGGGTGGGAGAAGCTTCAGTAGCCCTCAGTGTCATTCCTCCTTGGAGAAGCCAGAGAGCACATCTGATGGGTGGTGAGAAGTGAGAGTAAACTCCCTGCTCAGTGCTTGGGGATTGTCAGGGTCTTGGGCCAGAGGGAGGGAAAGAAAGAGTTGGGTGGTGCCTACTCTTCTGCCCACCCACTTGTTTCCCTCTGGCCCCTGGCAGGAAAGCCTGTGGTGGAATGGGCTATTGGGCATAGGGGAGGCTCCTTCCTTTCATTTCATCTTCTATCCCTGTCCTAACTGCCCTGGCTCCCAGCCAGCACACCAGTGTCTGAGAATTGAATTTTGTTCAGAGCATCTAATGACAAGCAAACGTTCCAAGGAGAAGCAGGGAAGGGTGGGTGGAGGGGTTGCTGTGGAGCTGCTGGGAGTTGGCAGGACATTCATCTGCCCTCCTGCCTCTGTCTTTCCTGGGTGCATATGTCAGGCCAGGCTGGGGCACCAGAAGACTGAGCGGGCCTTCCCTCAGTGGGCTGAGTCCAGTGACAGGTGCTGTTTTAAAATGTAGGTTGTATTATTACTCAGTATGGTGAGCTTGGCAGATCAGAAGAGGACAGCCATTGAAAGCATAGTTTGTTACTCACAGTTCCCAAGAGAAGGGGCACGCCATGCCACGCAGGGCCACACGGGGAAACAATAGCATTGGTTAGAAGGGAGAGGGCATGAAGGGAAAATGTGGGCAAGAGCCTTTATTGTGGTTTCCACAGGAAGAGATGGGCAGGGTTGGTAAGCAGGTTTAAGACTGGCTAGTATGGATAACTTCAGAAGGCTCTGAGGCATAGGATCTGTCTGTCCTGAGTTGTCTGGTACCTGGCCCTGGGGAGACTAGGTTAGGCCCTGAGTGGAAGAGACAGATAAAGGAAGCAGCGGGAATGGGGTCCTGAACTGATTCATTTGCATATGAAAAATGCACTCAAAGGGAGTCGTTTGCTGTCTTCAGCAATTAGCTGGCCCTGGGAGCCCCTGTCCCTCCAGGGTCAGTAAAGTCTCAGATGTCCAAGCATCAGAGGCACATGGTTAACACAGGTGCACATGACACCAGCTGGAAAGGGAAGGTGCTGGGCCTCGCAGGAGGGGCAACATGAAATGCTCAGGGCATTCCAGGGAAAAGCAACTTCCTGCTTTGGTTGGTTTGGTTCTGTTTAGTTTTGAAGGGGTGTGCCAAGGAGAAGGGGAGAATCAGAGAAGTCTCAATTTGGGGAGAGGGCATGTGGCTGAGCCACCAAAAATGAGTCCAATTAGACACTGGCAGTTAGGGGTGGGGTCAGCTGCAGGCAGAGAGCCCTGCTTGGACAGAGGTCCAGGATGGGAAGCATCTGAAGGGGCTTAGTGGGAGAAAAGGCTGGAACACTCAAGTCAAGCTATAGCGGACTCTTGAATGCCAAGCTGAGGCGTTTTTGGATTTTATTCCCTACAAGCTGGCCAGAGCCGTTTTGCTCCCTAGAAGTTCTTCCAGTAAATTCATAGACTCACATAGAATGTCTGTGCTTGGCTGTATATCACAGTTACAGAACATAATTAACAAATTAGGATGCTGATGCCAATTTATTCTGGATGGAATAAAAAATGCAATGTGGCTAAAAACTCAGTGCTCCCTGGGCCAGCAGGTAATGTCAGGGAGTGGAAAGGGCTCTGGCGTCCTCAGGGGATAGCCGTTTCCTGCCTGGAGGGTTGGGCTTCTGAGTTCCAGCAGATTGCATTATGGGAATAGAGTCCGGAGGTGCCAGATCTTCCTATTTTTAAAGAAAGTCTGGACATTTAGATTCTCGTGAACACTCTTGATTTTTGTGAAATTACCTGGGAACTCAGCAGTGGATTAGGAGAACATAACTCCTCTCTGTCAGCACAGGGAGAGGCACTGCGAGGCCTGCCACATGGAGCCTTGGTGGCCTCTTTCTGCTCTTCACCCATCACCCCAATTGTGGGGTCAAAGAGGAACTGTGAGGGTCAAAGAGGAAATGGCACCGCTACAAGGTGTGCCTCCATTGGGAAACTGAGGCACAACAGGTCGGGGTCAGATCTGGCATCCAAAGACCTTCTCTGAGGTCTCCAGTGGCCACTCTGCTTTGCTTTTTTTGCATTTCCTCATTTGTGAAATGAATTCATTCTTTCATTCATTAAATGAATATTGAGCTTATGGTGGCCAAGACAAAGAGTTCGCCATAGAAACAAATTTTGATGAGATGCTGTTTAAAATTGTACTATTGGCCAGGCGTGGTGGCTCACACTTGTAATCCCAGCACGTTGGGAGGCCGAGGCGGGTGGATCACCTGAGTTCAGGAATTCAAGACCAGCCTGGCCAACATGGTGAAACCCCGTCTCTACCAAAAATGCAAAAAATTAGCTGGGTGTGGTGGTGGGTGCCTGTAGTCCCAGCTACTCGGGAGGCTGAGGCAGAGAATTGCTAGAACCTGGGAGGCAGAGGTTGCACTGAGCCGAGATTGCGCCATTGCACTCCAGCCTGGACGACAGAGCAAGACTCTGTCTCAAAAAAAAAAAAAAAAAAATTGTATTATTATCGTACTTATTTTTCAGCCAAAAAAAAAAAAAAAAAACCAACCTAACAAACAACAACAACAACAAAAAAGAAAACTAAATGGTGTTGTGGTCAATCACTGCTTTTGCTGTCACTGTGTGGGTAAAATGTCCTCAAGTGAAGCTCTGGAGCATGGGGCCATGCCCAAGGCTCTCTCTGCACGTGCCGCCTTTTCTGGGTTTTCTCCATGTCCCAGGCTCTGGGCTCAGTGGCTGGGACTCAGCCTTCTTGACCTGGTAAATGTCCAGTGCCTAGCATGATGCTGGGCACAGGGCAGACACACAGATGTCCCCCAGTGGGGTGGATTGCATGTGGCCATTGTCTGGTTTTGGTAGGTAAGAGTCTAGCCACAACAACCATAGATAAAGCTACAGTAGAATCACAGCATGTAAAAATGGAAGTTAAGTGAGAGGAACACATGGAATTTGTAAAATGATTATGTTAATCAGCCTGGGCTGCTGTAACAAAATGCCATAGACTGGGCGGCTTAAGTAATAGAAATTTATTTCTCACAGTTCTGGAGACTGCAAGTCAAAAGTCAAGGCACTGACAGGTCTGGTGAGGGCGCTTTTCCTGGCCGGCAGATGGCTGACAGCCGCCACCTTGCTGTGTCCTCACATGGTCTTTCTCAGAGCATGGGTGTGGGGAGAGAGGGACCTTTCTCTTTTCTTTTTATAAGGCCACCAATTCTATCAGATAGGATCCTTACCACCTAATTTAATTGCCTCCTGAAAGCCCTATCTCCAAATAGTCACATTGGTTGTTAGGGCTTCAATATGTGAATTCTGGGGCGACACAGTTCAGTCCTTAGCAGTGACCTAACATCATGATGACACCACTACTGGCTTTGGGATTTTTTTTTGTTATTTTCACCGTGATCCAGCAAAAGCTGAGAGGTTTCCCTGTAGACTGACAGCCTTTTCATTTGGAGCCACGAGCCTGCTGTGGTTGGGCGTGAACTAGGATGGAGGGGCAGGCATGGATGAAGGGCGGGTTGGGGTGGTATTCTTGAAACAGTCATCTGTGGGGTGGTTAGACTGTGCCTGGGGGAAGTCTGTGCTCTTACAAAATGAGGCTGTACTCACGGTGCTTGCACGCGGCCTTCCTTGTGTGTGCTTATCATTTGTCCTCACCACCCACATGACAGCACCAGACTTATGAGATGCCTTAAACACTAAAAAGATTATGATGCCCTTCTTTCAATTACAAATAAACACAATATTTAAGTATAAGATTATGTTTAAGAAAGTCTTTATCAAATATAAGATTTTTAAAACAATTGCTTCTTCTCTTTGAGTGGTTGATGGATGTTCTCACCCCATTGGTGTGTGAAGCAAAGGTTTGCCCACCATGCTTGATAACATAGCACAATGTATGTGTGTGTGTGAGTGAAATGTTGTTCTTTCATAAACCAGCGTTAAACTCAGAGCTGTTCAAAGACAGCATGCTGCTGAATGTAGGATGTAGAGCATCAGGCTGCAAGGGGCAGAGGGTGACCTCTATGAAAAGCCTGGGCTCTTTGCAATCTACAACTATGAGATCCTGGGGGATTTGTCCCTGGGCATTGCCTGTGGGGACAATCCCACACCACTTTAAAAATTGTTCCAAGGAAAGCCTTTGTTCACCTGACATAGCAGCCTCAGAGTGCAACGCAGATGCTGTCTGCAGGGCACAGGGATTTAAGGTGGGATATGGAGAACACCTTTTCCACATAGAATTGCAGGGGGGTTTAGGTGGGCTAAAAGTAATGACCTACCTGTGAATCTGACAGGAGCACCAGGGTTAATGTCACCCTCCTTGTTGAGAATGTCCTTTTGAAATATGTTCTAGGGTATTGCTCCTGTCCTATTAATTATGTAACAAATTTAGCAAAGCTGAATAATTAATGATCATGGGGCACTTGGAACTATAAAATGTCATGTAAATGTTAAGGAGTAAAAATTACTCTGGTGTTAGATAGATGTGCTGCTTTAAAAATGTTCCACGCTGGGAAGGTTAACTTCTAGAAGAGCTGAAAAGCTTCCTGTTGGGCTTTCCTCAGAAACTTAGGCTGTCTTGCCCTAACCACATTTTAGGAAATTCAGATTTCTGCATTCTGGAGTCTTTGGAAGGCAAATGGCTAGCCAGCATTTTTAGCTCTGGAAATGAAGTTACCTCCCGCTCCTGGATTTTGGTAAAAATCGTGTCTGTTGATTCCCTCTAGCCGGAGGCAGTTTGGGCCCAAAACCAAGGAAGAGGTGAAGATCATTGAGCACCAAACACAGACCCTGCGGCTGATGCCCCACCTGGCCACAGCCTTGGCCCTGACCTTCGTCAGCAGGTGAGATGGCTCTCAGGGTTTGCTCTCTTAGGGTAAGTGTGATACCCTGGCATGAGTAAGAATTCAGAGCAGCAGGCACAGGATGTCATTTTCTAACTGTGATCAGGAAAGAGTCTGTTGTTAAAATCGGATGCCCAGGTTAAAAGCATCCTTGGATGCTTAAACCACTGCAAATGTTTTTAACCTGGACATCTGATTTTAAAGGATGCCAAGGTCCAAATCTTGATTGTCTCTATATTCAGATGAATGGAAGCCACAGAGACTTTGAGAAGGCAGGAGCCAATGTTTCTCCAGAGTTTTCAAAAGTAGCAGACTTGAACAGTTAAAAGTTCTTTATTTCTGATAAAGGTTCTAATTTACAGTAAAGTTTTCAAAAATACGTCCAGGTGTGTGTGTATTTGGTGGGGGTACAGGGGAGGCAGGGAGTGAGGAGCTTTGAATAAAACGTGTACCATAAGTACACCTGGAAATTCACATTCTACCACAGGCTTTCATTTCTGCCTCTCAGCTATTCCTCCCCAAGTGCTAGGCCATTGTCCAGCACTTGTGTGTCGTGTTATCATCATCCCCGCATTATAAAGATAAGAAACTTAAGATTTATCTCAGATCACAGAGCCTAGAAGTAGTGGACTGGGAGTGGAGCTCCAAACTCTGGGCCCTATTCTGTGTTCTTTCCTCCCTCCATAAGCAATTTTGCTTCTCAGTGTTAACTCCAGTCATTCATTTCTGAATAATTTAGAATTGGCTTATGTTTGAAATTTAACATGCTGATGGGGAAGCTAGTGCCAGGGTTTATAAAAGGATGGTAATCAGAGAGCCCTTGGCATATCTAGTGTGCTGCTGACTATGGATTGCCCAGGCGTCGCTGGCATGGCGGGGAGGGATTGGATGGGTGCACCTGTGTTCTTATTGTACACAAGACTGGCAAGTGGAATGCCAGTGTTCCAAGGTGCAAGGACACTGAACCCTGCAGGCTGAGCTGCAGGTAACAACAGTAAGATCCATCCATGCCACCTGGAAGAAAATTAAAAGCACTTGCTTCCACCGTCTCTTACCTAAAATGTTTCTGAATGGTTTTTTTGAGGTTTAATTTGCATACAGTGAAATGCATAGATTTTAGTTTTTAGTGGAGTGAGTTTTGACGCACATATACTCTTCTCGTGTAATAAACACTAAAACCAAATACAAAACATTTCCATCATCCCCAAAAGTTCCCTCTGGCCCCTTTGCAGTTGACCCTCACCTCTCCACCACAGCAGAGCCAGTTTTCTGATTTCTATTCCCAATAGCTTAGTTTTGCCTGTTCTTGAACTTGATGTAAATGGAATCATACCATATGTATTCTTTAGTGTCCAATTTATTTCATTCAACAGAAGGTCTTGATGTTCCTCAATGTTGTGGATAGTTTATTTTTATTGCTGAATAGTAACATGAAATGACTAAACTGCAATTAGTTTATCTCTTCTACTGATGGACATTTGAATTGTTTCCAGGCTGTAGTTACTATGAAAAAGGCAAAGTGAATATTCTTGTACAAGTGTTTCATTTTTCTTAGAATAAATACCTAGAGAGGACTTGCTGGATAATTAGGTAAATGTATTTTTAACTTTATAAGAAATTGCCAGTTTTTCAAAGAAGTGGTACTGTTTTACAGGCCCTCAAGCAACATGTGAGAGTTTCAGTTGTTCTTCATCCTGACCAACATTTGTTTCAGTTCTTTCTTAATCATATTCACACTAGTAGGCATGAAATGTTGTCACATTGCTGTTTAAATTTACACTTATCTGGTGGCTGTCGACATTGAGTACTTTTTCATGTGCACATTGGCCATTGTATATCTTCTCTGTGAAAGATCTATTTAAATCTCTTGCATATTTTTCTAAATTGACTTGTTTATCTTATTGTTATTGACTTATAAGAGTTTATTTATAACAAAAACAAGCACTTACTTATTTTAAATATTTTTGGTCAGTGTGGATTTTGCCTTTTTATTTTCTTAATAATGTTATTTGGGGGAGCAGAAAATTTTAATACTGCTTAAGTCTAATTTATCCTTTTCTTGTTTTATGATTATTGCTTTCTGTGTCTTTTCTAAGACATTGCTATAACTGTAACTTAATAGTAAGTCCTGAAATCAGGTGGTAGGTCTGACCTTACAGAAATAAAAAGGAATATAAGAGAATACTATGAACAATAGTATGCAACAAAATATACAAAACCTATATGAAATGGATGAAGTCCTAGAAGGAAACAAACTACCAAAATATAATAAAGAATACATAGAAAATTCTAATAAACCAATCACAGGATATTAGGTAAATAATTTTAAAACTTCCCACAATGAAAATCCCAGGCCTAAACAGCTTTAATAGTGAATTCCACCAAACATTTAAATAAGAATTAATATCAGTCCTCCACAAACTCTTCCAAAACATAGAAGAGGAAGGAACACTTCCCAACTTATCCCATGTGGCCAGTATTACTCAATACCAAAATAAGGCAAAGACATTAGAAGAAAACTATAGAGCAATATCACTTATGAATATAGAGGTAAAAACCCTTAACAAAATACTAGTAAACTTAATCCAGCAACATATAAAAAGGAGTATACACCATGACCAAGTGAGATTTATCCCAGGAATGCAAGGTTGGTTTAACATATCAAAAACAACATACTACACTGTGTTAATAGAATATGTGAAAAAAAACATGATCATCCCCATAGATGCAGAAAAAGTATTTGACAGAATCAAGTACCTTTTCATGATAAAAACGCTCAACAAACTAGGTATATAAGAAAACTTTCTTTACCCGATTAAAGTCATCTGTGAAAAACCCACAGTTAACATCATATGTAATGGTGAAAGATTGAATGCTCTCTCCCTAAGATTAGGAACAAAACAAGGATATCTAATTTTTCCATGTCTATTTAACATCATGTTGAGGTTCTAGTCAAGACAATTAGGCAAGGAAAATAATAAAAGTCATGTAAACTGGAGACGAAGAAGTAAGCTATCCCTATTTGCAGATGATGTGCCTTCATATATAGAAAATCTTACAGAATCCACTAAAAATTTATTAGAAATGACATGTTCAGCAAGACTGCAGGATAGATCAACAAATAAAAATCAATTGTATTTCTATAGACTAGCAATGAATAATCCAAAAATCAAAAAGAATAAAATACTTAAGGATAAATTTAACAAAGAAGTTAAAGAAGATGTGAATATATGGAATATATGTTCATGGATCAGAAGATGTAATGTTGTTAAGGTGACTATACTCCCTAAATTAATCTGTAGATATAAAGCAGTCTCTATCAAAATCCCAGAAACCTGATCTTTTTAGAAATTGACAAGCTGATCCTAAAATTTATGGAAATATAAAGGAACCAGTATAGCCACAACAATCTTGAGAAAGAGTAACAAAGTTGGAAGGCTCACATTTCTCAATTCAGAAACTTAATATGAAGCTGCAGTAATCAAGACAGTGTGGTACTGGCATTGGATAGATACACAGGTCAACAGAATTAAATCAAGAGACAGAAACACATCCCTAAATTTATGGCCAGTTTATTTTTTACAAAGATGCTAAGACAATTCAATGAAAGAAAGAATACTCTTTTCAATAAATGGTGCTAGGACAACTGGATATTGATATGCAAAAAATGAAGTTGGACCCCTATACAGCAGTTAACTTAAAATGGAGCATAAGCCTAAATTTAAGACCTAAAACAATAAATCTCTTAGAGGAAAACAGGAGCAAATCTTTGCAACTGTAGGTTAGGCAGTGGTTTCTTAGATAGAATACCAAAAGCACAATTACAAAAGAAAAAAGTGTATACATTGGACTTCATAAGAGGTAAAAGATTTTTTGTGCTTAAAAAGTCACCATCAAGAAAGTGAAAGACAATCCACAGAATAGGAGAAAGTATTTTCAAATTATATATCTGGTATATACATCTGGACTTGTATCTAGAACATACATGAATTCTTTCAATTCAACAATAAAATGACAAATAATCCAATTGAAAAATGGGCAAAGATCCAAAGACTTTCCTCCAAAGAAGATGTACAAATAACCAATAAGCACATGAAAAAGTTCTAAAAGTCATTATTTGTCAAGGAAGTACAAATCAAAACAGCAATCAGATAAAACTTCACACCCACTAGGATGGCTATAATGAAAAAGATGATAACAAGTGTTGACAAGTATGTGGTGAAATAGAAACCTCATACATTGCTGGTGGTAATGTAAAATGGTATAGTCGCTTTGGAAAACAGCTTGGCAGTTCTCCAAAATATTAAACATGAAATTGCCATATATCTCAGCGCTTCTACTCCTAGGTATATACCCCACAGAAATGAAAACATATATGCACACAAAAATGTGCACATGAGTGTTCTTAGTGACATTTTTTGTAATAATGAAAATGTGGAAAAAATCCAGATGTCCATAGATTGACAAATGGGTAAACAAAATATGGCACATTCACAAAGTGGAATATTATTTGGCAATGAAAAAGAATGAAGTACTGATACATGTTATAACATGGATAAACCTTGAAAACATTATGCTAAGTGAAAGGAGCTACTCGCAAAAATCATGTGGTATAATTCCATTGATATGAAATTTCCAGAATAGTCAGAGTGATAGAGATGGAAACTAAATCAGTGGTTGCCAGGGACTGAGGGGTAAAGGAGGTGTATTTAGGCCAGTCTTGCATTGCTCTGAAGAAATACCTGAGGCTGGGTAATTAATGAAGAAAAGAGGTTTAGTTGGCTCATAATTCTGCAGGCTATACAAGCATGGCACAGGCATCTACTCTGCTTCTGGGTAGGTCTCCGGGAGCTTTTATTCATGGCAGAAGGTGAAGTAGGAGGAGGCACATCACATGGCGAAAGCAGGAGCAAGAGAGAGTAGGATAGGTACCACACACTTGAAACAATTAGATTTTGTGAGAACTCAGTACAGTGAGGACACCACCAAGCCTGGAGGAATCCACCCCCGTGACCCAAATACCTCCCACCATGTCTCACCTCCAACATTGGGAATTACAATATGAGATGTGGAGGGGACATCCAAACTATATCAGGAGAAAATGAGGAGTGATTGCTAATAGGTATAGGCTTTCTCTTTTGGGTGATGAAAATATTCTAAAATTAGATGGCAATGGTTGCACAACTCCTTAAATATACTAGAAATCACTGAATTGTACACTTGAAAAATATGAATGCTGTGGTATGAGAAATATGTCTAATAAAGCTGTTGAGAAAGAGAGAGGAGGAAAAAAAAGAAATCAGGTTATGTGAGTCTTCTAAGTATTTTTTTTCCCCTCGAAATTGTCTTGCTATTCTAGAGTCTTTGCAAGTCTGTTTAGATTTATTTGTGATTGCATTGAATCTATAAAGCAATTTGGGCAGTATTGCATCTTTCAGATTAATGAAGATGATGTATCTCTTTGTTTATACAGGTGTTCAATTTATCTAAGTAATGTTTTATAATTTACAGTGTAGAAATCTTGCACATTTTTCACTAAATGTAGTCAAAAGGCATTGATTTTTAATTTAATTCCCAATTACTAATATTTTATAGAAATATAACTCATCATTGTGTACTGACCTGTATTATCACTAAATTTACTTATTAGTCATTTATTTGTAGACCATTTAGAATTTTCTACCTGCACAATAAATCAAATGTGAGTAAAGAGAGTTTTACTTATTTTTTCCAATATTTATTTCTTTTAATTTTTGTTTTGTTTTGATTTTGCCTTATTACACTGGACAAAACCTTCAGTACAATATTGAGTAGCAGTGGTGAGATGGACATCCTATATTGTTCTTGACTTCAGGTGAAAATGCGTTCAGTATTTCACCATTAACATGAATGTTCACTGCAGATTGTTATTGTCTTTCTTGTTTGTTTTAATTTTTGTGGGTATATAGTAGGTGTTACATAGTAGGTGTTACATTGCCGGTATTATATTTAAGGGGTACGTGAGATGTTTTAATGCAGACATGCAATTTGAAATAAGCACATCATAGAGAATAGAGTATCCATCCCCTCAAGCATTTATCCTTTGTGTTACAAACAATCCAATGACACTCTTTTAGTTATTTTAAAATGTACAATTAAGTTATTACTGACTATAGTCACCCTGTTTTGCTATTAAATAGTAGGTCTTATTCATTCTTTTTAACTATTTTTGTTGTTGTTGTTGATGCCCTTTATTAGACTGAGGAAATTCCCTTCAATTCCTAGTTGGCTGAGTGTTTTTTTCATGTATGTTCAATTTTGACACAATTTTTCTTTCTCTATTTAGATAGTCATGTGATTTTTCTCCTTCATTCTATTAAGAAATGAGTTACATTACTTTTCAAATTTTGAGCCAAATTTGCATTCTTTGAAATTTTTTGTTATATGCATTTTATATATATATATATGTGTGTGTGTGTGTGTGTGTGTGTGTGTGTATGTATGTGTGTGTGTGTGTATATACATATATATATATATATATATATTTTTTTTTTTTTGAGATGGAGTCTTGCTGTGTTGCCCAGGCTGGAGTGCAGTGGCACAATCTCGGCTCACTGCAACCTCTGCCTCCCAGGTTCAAGCAATTCTCCTGCTTCAGCCTCCTGAGCAACTGGGATTACAGGCAACTGCAACCACACCCAGCTAATTTTTTTTTGTATTTGTAGTAGAGATGGGTTTTCACCATGCTGGCCAGGCTGGTCTCAAACTCCTGACCTCAGGTGATCCACCCACTTCGGCCTCTCAAAGTGCTGGGATTACAGGCGTGAGCCACTGTACCTGGCCATATTATATATTTTTTATATTACTAGAGTTAATTGGCTAATGTTTTGATAAGGATTTTTTGTGTCTATGTTCATATGGAATATTGATTTTTAATTTTGGTGCTTGAAATTTCCTTGGAAGATTTTGATATCAGTGTTATATTGTCCTCATAAAAAAAATAGGAAAGTGATCTCTTCTCTATTTTTCTTAAGGAGTTTGTGTAAGATTGCTCTTATTTCTTCCTTAAATGCTTGATAGTATTTACTAAGATGGTATGGATATGGGTTTTTTGTTTTTTTATTGGAAAGTTTTTAATGACTTTATTAATTTCTTTAACAAATGTGAGTCTTCAGTCTTGCCAATTTTTTCTCCTGTTTTGTTACCCTGTATTTTTTGAGAAATTTGTTCACTTCTTCACTAATTTATAAACTATATGTGTTAATAATATTTCCTTATTATAATATTAATGACTGTAAGATCTGTGACAATGTCACTTCTTTTATTTGTAAAAGAAAACAATTTTTGTGGCTTCCTTTTTTTTTTCTTTTTCTCAGCCAATTTTGCTGGGTGTTTATCAGCTTAGTTAATCTTTTCAAATAACCTGCTGGGTAAATAATGAAATTAAGGCAGAAATAAATAAGTTCTTTGAAACCAATGAGAGCAAAGACACAATGTCCCAGAATCTCTGGGACACAGCTATAGCAATGTTTAGGGGGAAATTTATAGCACTAAATGCCCACAAGAGAAAGCAGGAAAGATCTAAAATCGACACACTAACATCACAATTAAAAGAAGTAGAGAAGCAAGAGCAGACAAACTCAAAAGCTAGCAGAAGGCAAGAAATAACTAAGATCGGAACAGAACTGAAGGAGATACAGACACGAAAAGCCTTTAAAAAATCAGTGAATCCAGGAGCTGGTTTTTTGAAAAAATTAACAAAATAGATAGACAGCTAGCCAGACTAATAAAGAAGAAAAGAAAAGAATCAAATAGACACAGTAAAAAATGATAAAGGGGATATCACCACTGATCCCACAGAAATACAAACTACCATCTGAGAATACTATAAACACCTCTACACAATTAAACTAGAAAATCTAGAAGAAATGGATAAATTCCTGGACACATACACCCTCCCAAGTCTAAACCAGGAAGAAGTCGAATCCCTGGATAGACCAATAACAAGTTCTGAAATTGAGGCAGTAATTAATAGCCTAGCAACCAAAAAAACCCAGGACCAGACAGATTCACAGCCAAATTCTACCAGAGGTACAAAGAGGCGCTGGTACCATTCCTTCTGAAACTATTCCAAAAAATAGAAGAAGAGGGAATCCTCCCTAACTCATTTTATGAGGCCAGCATCATCCTGATACCAAAACTTAGCAGAGACACAACAAATAAAGAAAATTCGAGGCCAATATCCCTGATGAACATCGATGGAAAAATCCTCGATAAAATACTGGCAAACCGAATCCAGCAGCACATCAAAAACCTTATCCATCACGATCAATTTGGCTTCATCCCTGGGATGCAAGGCTGGTTCAACATCAATCAATAAACATAATCCATCACATAAACCGAACCAATGACAAAAACCACATGATTATCTCAATAGATGCAGAAAAGACCTTTGACAAAATTCAACACCCCTACATGCTAAATACTCTCAATAAACTAGGTATCAGTGGAACATATCTCAAAAGAATAAGGGCTATCTATGACAAACCCACAGCCACTATCATACTGAATGGGCAAAAACTGGAAGCATTCCCTTTGAAAACCAGCACAAGACAAGGATGCCCTCTCTCACCACTCCTATTCAACATAGTATTGGGAGTTCTGGCCAGGGCCATCAGGCAAGAGAAAGAAATAAAGGGTATTCAAATAGGAAGAGAGGAAGTCAAATTGTCCCTGTTTGCAGATGACATGATTGTATATGTAGAAAACCCCATAGTCTCAGCCCAAAATCTCCTTAAGCGTATAAGCAACTTCAGCAAAGTCTCAGGATACAAAATCAATGTGCAAAAATCACAAGCATTCCTATACACCAATAATAGACAAACAGAGAACCAAATCATGAGTGAACTCCTATTCAAAATTGCTACAAAGAGAATAAAATACCTAGGAATCCAACTTACAAGGGATGTGAAGGACCTCTTCAAGGAGAACTACAAACTGCTGCTCAAGGAAATAAGAGAGGACACAATCAAATGGAAAAAACATTCCATGCTTATGTATAGGAAGAATCAATTTGTCGTGAAAATGGTCATACTGCCCAAAGTAGTTTATAGATTCAATGCTATCCCTATCAAGCTACCATTGACTTTCTTCACAGAATTAGAAAAAAACTACTTTAAATTTCATGTGGAACCAAAAAAGAGTCCGCATAGCCAAGACAATCCTAAGCGAAAAGAACAAAGCTGGAGGCATCACGCTACCTGACTTCAAACTATACTACAAGGCTACAGTAACCAAAATAGCATGGTACTGGTACCAAAACAAATATATAGACCAGTGGAACAGAACAGAGGCCTCAGAAATAACACCACACATCTACAGTCATCTGATCTTTGACAAACCTGACAAAAACAAGCAATAGGAAAAGGATTCCCTGTTTAATAAATGGTGTTGGGAAAAGTGGCTAGCCATATACAGAAAACTGAAACTGGACCCCTTCCTTACACCTTATGCAAAAATTAACTCAGGATGGATTAAAGACTTAAGACCTAAAACCATCAAAATCCTAGAAGACAACCTAGGCAATACCATTCAGGACATAGGCACAGGCAAAGGCTTCATGACTAAAACACCAAAAGCAATGGCAACAAAAGCCAAAATTGACAAATGGGATCTAATTAAACTAAAGAGCTTCTGCACAGCAAAAGAAACTATCATCAGAGTGAACAGGCAACCTATATAATGAGAGACAATTTTTGCATTCTATCCATCTGACAAAGGGCTAATATGCAGAATACAAAGAACTTAAACAAATTTAGAAGAAAAAAACAAACAGCCATATCAAAAAGTGGGTGAAGAATATGAACAGACACTTCTCAAAAGAAGACATTTATGCAGCCAACAAACATATGAAAAAAAACTTCATTATCACTGGTCATTAGAGAAATGCAAATCAAAACCACAATGAGATACCATCTCACGCCAGTTAGAATGGTGATCATTAAAATGTCAGAAAACAACAGATGGTGGAGAGGATGTGGAGAAATAGGAATGCTTTTACACTGTTGGTGGGAGTGTAAATTAGTTCAACCATTGTAGAAGACAGTGTGGCAATTCCTCAAGGATCTAGAACCAGAAATACCATTTGACCCAGCAATCCCATTACTGGGTATATACCCAAAGGATTATAAGTCATTCTACTATAAAGACACATGCACAGGTAGGTATGTTTGTTACAGCATGTTCACAATATCAAAGACTTGGAACCAATCCAAATGCCCATCAATGATAGACTAGATAAAGGAAATGTGGCACATATACACCACAGACTACTATGCAGCCATGAAAAAGGATGAGCTCTTGTCCTTTGCAGGGACATGGATGAAGCTGGAAACCATCATTCTCAGCAAACTAACACAGGAACAGAAAACCAAACACCACATGTTCTCGCTCATAAGTGGGAGCTGAACAATGAGAACACATGGACACAGGGAGGGGAACATCACACACCGGGGCCTGTTAGGGGGTGGGGGGGCAAGGGGAGGGATAGCATTAGGAGAAATACCTAATGTAGATGATGGGTTGATGGGTGCAGCAAAACACAATGGCACATGTATATTTGTGTAACAAACCTGCATATTCTGCAGATGTACCCCAGAACTTAAACTATAATAGTAAAAAAATAAAAATCACACTTTGTGTTGTATGGTTCTATAGGTTTTGACAAAGACACAGAGTTGTTCCATTCAGTATCAGACAAAATTGTCTACCACTTCAGTATCAAACAAAATTGTTCCACCTCCCACCAAATTCCCTTGTGCTGTCTCTTTTTAGTTAACTTCTTCCCACAGTCTTACCCCAGCAACCTGTATTTTACACCTATAGTTTTTCCTTTTCTAGAATGTCATACACACAGAATTGTAAAATATGTAGTCTTTTGGATATACCTTCTTTCACTTAACAAAATGAATTTCAGATTCATCCATGTCATTGTGTGAGTCAATATTTTCCTACTTTTTATTGCTGAGTAGTATTCGTAGTATTCCATTGTATAGATGTACCACAGGCTGTTTATCCATTTAACTAGGGAGGAACATGTAGGTTGTTTCTAGTTTTTACAATTATAAATAACTACTAAAAACTATTCTCAACAAGTTTTTGTGTGAATATAAGGTTTTGATTGACTAGGGCAAATACTTGTAAGTAGGACTGGTAGGTCAAGTGGTAAGTGTATGTTTAACTTTATAAGAAATTGCTAACGTGTTTTCCAAAGTGGTTGTATCATTTTGTGTTTTCATCAGTGATGTATAAGGGTGCAGTTGTCCTGCATCCTTGCCAGCCATTGTTATTGTCAGATTTTGTTTTGATTTTTATTTGTTTTCTGTCTTTCTGATAGTTGTCTCTAATAGTTTGTAGCTTTACATTTTTATAACACTAATAACTAATAATGTTTAGTGTCTTTTCATGTACTTATTTGCCATCTGTGTATCTTCTTTAGCAAAGTGTCCGTTCTGGTCTTTTATCAGTTTTTCAGTTGAGTTGTTTGTTTTCTTATTGTTGAGTGCAAGAGTTCTTTATAGGTTCTAAATAGACTTTTTGCATCATATTTTTATTTGCAAATGTTTTCTCCAAGTTTGTCACTTTTTAAAATTCTCTTAAGAGTGCCTTAATAAGAGCAATAGTTTTAAATTTTTGTTTGGTTCAACAGCTTTAAATTTTGATTTGTCTTGAAATTGGGTAGTGTCAGCTCTCTAATGTTCTTTTTTGAGAATTGTTTTGGCTATTCTTTTTTTTTGGCCTTTGCTTATATATTTTAGAATCATCTTGTTAATCTCTACAAAAAAGATAGATGATGTTTTTCTTGGGATAGTATTGACTTAGAAATCAATTTGGGGATAGTCTGCCTATTAATATTGAGTCTTTCAATACATGAACACTGTATATCTTTTCATTTATTTAGGTCTTCTTTGAGTTCTGTTTTGAAGTTTCCAACATACAAACCCTACTCATATTTTACTATGTTGATACCTAAGCATTTTACCTTTTTGAAGGTACAGTTGTTTATTTCTAATATGTAGGAATACTATTGACTTTAGTTCTAGGAGCTTTTGTTGGGTAGATTTTAATAAATATAGGACTTTTCAGATTACCTAAT
Organism: Homo sapiens; assembly: GCF_000001405.40. Lineage (NCBI taxonomy): Eukaryota > Metazoa > Chordata > Mammalia > Primates > Hominidae > Homo > Homo sapiens. The sequence continues at coordinate 110,921,039 of NC_000002.12, forward strand.
TTTTTGAGTGCTTTTCAAATTTATTTTATCTAATTTGTCAAATTTATGGCGATAGTGTTGGTTGTAACATTCCCTTTTCTTTTTAATGTCTGTGGGATCAGTGCGATTTCTCCCCTGAAATCCTGATGTTTTGTGTCCTCTTTCCTTATCCCCACTGTTTTGTCTCTCTCACATCAGTTTGGATAGAGGCCTATCAATTTTGTTGCTTTTTCCATATTTTATGTGATTGATTTTCTCTATTTTTAATTTAAATTTCATTGCTATCTGCTCCAATCTTTATTTCTTTCCTTTTGCTTGCTTTAAGTTGCTCTCTCTTGCTCTCTCTCTCTCTCTGTGTCTCTATATATCCACCCCCCCCCCCCTTTTTTTTTTGAGGCAGAGTCTTGCATTGTTTCCCAGGCTGGAGTGCAGTGGCGCCATCTCAGCTCACTTGCAAGCTCCACTTCCCGGGTTCACAACATTCTCCTGCCTCAGCCTCCCAAGTAGCTGGGACTACAGGTGCCTGCCACCACGTCCGGCTAACTTTTTGTACTTTTAGTAGAGTTGGGGTTTCACCGTGTTAGCCAGGATGGTCTCAATCTCCTGACCTCGTGATCTGCCCGCCTTGGCCTCCCAAAGTACTAGGATTACAGGCATGAGCCACCGCGCCTGGCCTTCCACCCCCCTCTCTTAAGGTGAAAGGTTAGATTACTGCTTTGAGACATTGCTTCTTGCCTAATATAATCAATTCACACTAAAATTTCCTTTAAGCATTGCTTTAGCTGCATCTTTCTCATTTTGACATGTTGCAATTTCAATTAGTTAAAAATAGTTTAAATTTCTCCTTAAGACTTCCCTTTCCACCCCCGAATTATTTATAACTGCTGTCATGGTCCAATAACATCCTTTGTATGAATTTTATTCTTTGAAATTTATGGCTCAGTAAAAATAGTGTTCTATGTACACTTAAAAAGGATGTGTATTTTGTTGTGGTTGGGAGGAGAGTATTATAAATGTCAATTAGGTCAAGTTGGCTAATTGTGATCTGCAGATCATATATATCATTATTGGTTTTCTGCTTACGTGTTTTATCAATGACTGCAAGAAGGGGGTTGGCATTTCCAACTGTAATTATGAATTTGTTTATTTCTTCTTTCAGTTTTATCCATTTTTTCCTCAAGTATTTTGAAAGTTTTTTTTGGTTGTTGTTTTGGTGCATACACATGCAGGTAGCTTCCTAGCATGACCTGGAAATTTCACAAATAGAAAACAGGCAACAGTGTTATATGATCATGAAAGTTTAAATTGGATCAAAATAACTTGATGATGAAACCGGAAAATTTTTCATATGCATGCCAAAGGAAAACAGTTTTTTTCTTTTTTTTCTTTGAGTTTTCCCCAGTGTGACTTGTAACTGTTACAGAGGCAAGACTGTGTATACATTTGCTTCTCAGTCAACTATTTGCAAATTTGTGACACAGAAGTTATTAGACTACATAAGAAAGAGCTGCTATATATTCTACATTTATAAATATATATCTGTTTGTCATATATCTATGATAAAAGTGTTATATGTATCAACATGTTTCCTTTTTCTTCAGCTCTTTTTATATTTTGGCTTGATTTAAGCTTGATTTTATAAGTGCTGTGTTACACTGTCAATGAAAATTAAAGTTTCTCTTGATCTTAGTTAGACACTCTCCAGGTACCTGTATCAGAGACGTAGACAAATGTCACAGTCTAGCTCAAGGAAAGAAACAAGAGGTGATCAATAGAAATTCAGTAATTGATAAAAGAAAGAACCCCAGAGCCCTTACCATGTGCCATTCATGAATGCCGCATTGAACAGGACAGATCGACACTTGCCTTCACCAGCTGTCAGTCTAATTGCCCCCAAGGACCTTCTAATTTTCTTGACTTGGGCCTCCTTGCACCCTCCATGGTCTCTGGCCCACCTCATTGTCCCCATTATAGCTCTGCAGCTTCTTTCCTTTCCTCCTGCTTCTTTCATTCCCGGTCTCCCTACATCACAGTAGGGGGTTGACCCATGGAAAATCTGGTCATAGGAATCTCCAGGAAGGCAGTGTCCCAATTAGGGGAAAGAGACTGCCTTCACTTTAACACAAGCCCAGGAAAAAGTTGGCACATTCTGCGACAACGTTCTGGTTTTCTAGTTTGCTCCTAGTTTACTGTCCCTGCTACCTCTTCTCCAACTTGTAAGGAAATAGCTTCATAAAATTGGTTGGAGCATGACAAAATTTTATGCTGACTACTTCCCCCCAACACACATCTTTTCTTTTTCTTTTTTTTTCTCTACTAAGGGTGTCACATCTTGGTCGTAGGGCCCATCTCCTAACTTTCCATGAATGTAGGCTGCCACTCAATTGGTTTCAAGGTTCAGGGTCTGGGTAAGTGGAGGTTTGACTGGTTAGATGTTTATTCAATACATTTGATCCTACTCAAGTGCAAGGAGAGTATACATCTTTAGGTGTACAGGTCTGGAGTTAGGTGAGCAGGAAATGGACAGTTTCCAGACTATCCTGAGTTCAAATCCCAGTCTCTCCACTTACCATCCTAATGAGCAATTACTTAAATTTTCTGGATGTGCATTCCCTTATTAGAAACAGAGCATGAGGCCTGGTGTGGTGGCTCATGCCTGTAATCTCAGCACTTTGGGAGGCCGAGATGAGCAGATCACTTGAGGCCAGGAGTTCGAGACCAGCCTGGCCAACATGGTGAAACCCCATCCCTACTAAACATACAAAAAAATTAGCTGGGCGTGGTGGTGGGGGCCTGTAATCCCAGCTACTCGGGAGGCTGAGGCAGGAGAATTGCTTGAACTCAGGAGTCAGAGGTTGCAGTGAGCTGAGAACACACCATTGTCATCTAGCCTGGGTGATAAGAGCGAGACTCCATCTCAAAAAAAAAAAAAGAGAAACAGAGCATGAATGTCAGTACAGATATACCTCAGAGACATTGCAGATTTGGTTCTAGACCACTGCAATAAAGTGAATATCGCAATAACATGAGTCATAATTTTTTTGTTTCCCAGTGTGTATAAAAGTTATATTTACACTGTACTACAGCCTATTAAGTGTGCAACAGCATTATGTCTAAAAAATATACATACGTCTGTTAAAAATACTTTATGCTAAAAAAAGACTAATGAGCATCTAAGCCTTCAGTGAGTTACTCTTTTTGCTAGTGGAGGGTCTTGACTTGATGTTGATGGCTGCTGACTGAGCAGGTTGGTAATTGCTGAAGGTTAGGGTGGCTGTGGCAATGTCTTAAGATAACAACGAAGTTTGCCGCAACAATTGACTCTTCCTTTCATGAAACATTTTTCTGTAGCATCTGATGCCATTTGGCAGCGTTTTACCCACAGCAGAATTTTTTTCCAAAATTGGAGTCAGTCCTTTCAAACCTTGCTGCTGCCCTATCAACTAAGTTTACATGATATTTTAAATCCTCACTTGTTATTTCAACAATGTTCACAGCATTTTCACCAGGAGTAGATTCTATCTCAAGAAACCACTTTCTTTGCTCCTTCATGAGAAGCAACTCCTCATCTGTGAAAGTTTTATTATGAGATTGCAGCAATTCAGTCACATCTTCAGGCTCCACTTCTAATTATCGTTCTCTTGCTGTTTCCACCATATCTACAGTGACTTTCTCCAATGAAGTCTTGAACCCCTCAAAGTCATCCATGAGGGTTGGAACATCAACTTCTTCTGAACTGCTAATGTTGGTATTTTGACCTCCTCCCATGAATCACAAATGTTCTTAATGGCCTTTAGATTGGTGAGGAAGATTTTCAATTCACCTAGGTCCCTAAGAGGAATCACTGTCTATGACAGCCATAGCCTTATGAAATGTATTTAATAAATAATAAGACTTGAAAGTCAAAATTACTGCTTGATCCAGGGACTGGAGAATGGTGGTTGTGTTAGCAGGCATGAAAACGACATGTATCTCCTTGTACATCTCCCTCAGAGCTCCTAAGTGACCAGGTGCATTGTCAATGAGCAGTAACATTTTGAAAGGAATTCTTATTTCTGAGCATTAGGTTTCAACAACAGGCTTAAAATATTCAGTAAACTATACTGTAAACAGATGTGCTATCAACCAGGTGCTGTTGTTTCATTTCTAGAGCACAGGCAGAGTAGATTCAGCATAATTCTTAATGGCCTTAGGATTTTTGAAATAGTAAATGACCATTGGCTTCAACTTAAAGCCACTAGCTGCATTAGCCCCTAACAAGAGATTCTCTCTGTTCTTTGAAGTTTTGAAGTAGGTACTGATGAAAGTCCTAGATGAAACCAAGGCTGTTTCACCTATGCTGAAAATATGTTGTTGAGTGTAGCCACTGTAATCACTGATTTTAGCTAGATCTTCTGGATAACTTGCTGCTTAAGCTGTAGCTTCTACATCAGCACTTGCTGCATCACCTTGCATTTCTATGCTATAGAGATGGTGTCTTTCTTTAAAAATCAAGAACCAATTTAGCCTCAAACTTTTCTTTTGTAGCTTCCTCACTTCTCTCAGCCTTTGTAGAATTGAAGAGAGTTATGACCTTGTTCTGGATTAGGCTTTGGCTTAATGGAATGTTGTGATTGGTTTGATCTTCCATCCAGACCACTAAAACTTTCTCCATATCAGCAAAAGTCTGTTTTGCTTTCTTATCATTTGTGTGTTCACTGGAGTAGCACTTTTAATTTCCTTCAAGAACTTTTCCTTTGCATTCACAACTTGGCTAACTCTTTGACACAAGAGGCCTAACTTCAGCCTTTCTCAGTTTTCAACATGCCTTCCTCACTAGGCTTAATTACTTCTAGCTTTTTTTTTTTTTTTTTTTTTAAAGCATTTCTAGCTTTCGATCTAGAAAGACATATGACTCTTCCTTTCACTTGAACACTCAGAGGCCACTGTAGGGTTACTGGCCTAATTTCAGCATAGTTGTGTCTCAGGGAATAGAGAGGCCTGAGGAGCGGGAGAGAGACGGGGAAATGGCAGGTCAGTGGAGCAGTCAGAACACACACATTTACCAATTAAGTTCACTGTCTTATGTGGGTGCAGTTTGTGATGCCCCAAAACGATTACAATAGTAACATCAAAGATCACTAATGACAGATCACCATAACAGATACAATAATAATGAAAAAGTTTGAAATATTGTGAGAATTACCAAAACGTCACAAAGACACAAAGTGAATATGTGCTGCTGGAGAAAGGGCTCTGATAGAATTGCTCAATGCAAGGTTGCCGCAAGGCCTCAATTTTTAAAAAGTGCGATATCTGCAAAATGCAATTAAATGAGGTATTTCTGCACCTACTTTGGGTTGTCAAGGGATTAAATGAATTAACACATGAAATGGGCTTGAGACAGGGCCCGGCATATCATACATGCTCCAGTGTGGCAGCAAGGAGCAGGCCCTCTGTGACCCTACTTTGAGGGTCCTAATCCTGATCTTGCCACTTGCTAATTGTATAACATCGAGAAGGCTGCTGACATGCTGTGCGTCAGTTTCCCCATCTATAACATAGGAATAATAATATCTGACCTAGAGGGTTATTAGAAGAATTGAGTGAGTGAATATTTGAACATGCTTAGATTAGGGTCTGGAGGATAATAAATGCCCAATAAATGTTAGTTGCTATTGCCATCCCCTCCAGTACCCTCAAACTTTCTATCCCCCTGTCCCACCAATTACCACATTGTGATGATTTTTCCTCCTACATTGAAATTACTCAAAGCCTTCCTTCCCTGTCATCTCTCCCCGACCATCCCTGGTTGCACACTCTCTCCCCATTCAGCCTGGCCCTCTTCAAATCCACTCTCCAGGAATCACCAGCGCCCTACCTGAAATGAAATCTAAATTCCTACTTGCCAGCTGCCTCCCTCCTGGGGCCTTCCAGCATCTTCTGTACTGGGTTATATTAGTTTGTTCTTTCACTGCCACAAAGAACTACCTGAGATTGGGTAATTTATGAAGAAAAGAGGTTTAATTGACTCATAGTTCCACAAGCCTAACAGGAAGCATGACTAGGAGGCATCAGGAAACTTACAATCATGGTGGAAGGCAAAGGGGAAGCAAGCACCTTTTTCCCATGTCAGCAGGAGAGAGAAGGAGCAAAGCGGGAAGTGCCACACACTTTCAACCAACCAGATATCATGAGAACTCACTCACTATCACAAAAACAGCAAGGGGGAAGTCCACCCCCATGATTCAATCACCTCTCGCCAGGCCCCTCCCCCAACACATGGGAATTACAATTCAATTCAAGATGAGATTTGGGTGGGGACACTGAGCCAAACCAAATCATGGGTCAAGCTCAAGCTCCCGCATGTGGCCCTGGGGTGCCTTCCACCTGCTGGGCCTTCCCACTTCCACCCCACCCACACCTCTCTGTCCTCTACTGAGGCCTCCACACCTGTCCTGTGCTCCTGCTGTGGCCTTTCTTATAGACGTCTTTCCCCTCACACTCTTGCTTCCCTCACCTGATAATTTAGTGCTTATCTTTTGAGACCCAGTTGAGGCTGCCAACTTCTCTAAGACACTCTCCCTGAGCCCCTTCTGGAATAAGGAGCCCCCATATAAGCTTCCTGGAGTAGCAGCCTGGGCCCATCTTGTCATTGCACTGTTACTTTTGGTTTGTGATTGTAAATTCTGTGAGCACAGAAGTTGCGAATCCTCAATTTGGCATCATCACACCTAGTAGCGTCTGGCTCTCTGCACAGATTAATTCACCTACAAAATGAAATTGCCTTGTGTAACTACATCACACCTGGCTGTGGGATTGCTTGGAGCTTTGCCTTTAAATCATGTGATCATCTTTGAAACGTACATTTCTGAAGGGTCCATGAGGTAGCTGGCCAAGGAAGTTGGGAGCTGATATCTCCCTTTGGAATCATCTAGTGGGATTTGCTACAGGGATGAATTTCCTAACTTAGAAAATGATTAACAATTTTAAAAAATCAATATTTGCAGTCCACCAGCCAAAGTGAGTATTTTAGGGTCTGCCTCTCCTCTTTATTCCAGGCGAGCAACTCAAGCAGTCCAGGATGCATCTCAGGCAAGGAGGGGCCACAGCACTGTCCCTGCTGCTATCTTTCAACTGGATTCACTTGTTCTCTTGGGCAATCTCCATTTACCCAATACCTGTAAGGGTAAAATTAAGAAAATAGCTAACACACATTCAAGTTCTTGCCATTTACCAGGCACTGTCCTAAGATTTCATGTGTAGTAACTCATTTAATGTCTCAAGACAAATCAACGGGACAGAGATTTTTCTCTTTGTTTTTTGATTGATGTTACAACAGCACCTGAAATGATGCCTTGCACAAAGTTAGACTTTATGAATATTTGTTGAATAAATGAATGAGTGTAATAACCCTCCACAGTTTACAGAAATTCACCAAGTCTTCTCTTTGTTAAAAAATGAAGTTAAGGATAGTTAAGCACCTTAGACATTACTCATCCCTGCCATTTGTGCACTAGATTTTTAAAAATATGATTCTAATAGCTTATTGCCAAAAAGTCTTGTTTGGTCTTTTTATACAAAATAAACTTTTATAAATAGAATCTTGCCATCTCATTGACTTTATGGTTTTAGATATATTGTGGTATTTCTCATGAATCTTACCATGATGGTGGGTTCCTGATATTGTTTGGCTGTGTCCCCACTCAAATCTCATCTTGAACTGTAGCTCCCATAATTCCCACGTGTTGTGGGAGGGACCCAGTGGGAGATAATTGAATCATGGGGCTGGTTTCCTCCATACTGTTCTCATCATAGTGAATAAGTCTCATGAGATCTGACGGTTTTATAAGGGGAAACCCCTTTCACTTGTCTCCCATTGTCTTCTTCCCTGCCACCATGTAAGACATGCTTTTCACCTTCTGCCATGATTTTGAGGCCTTCCCAGCCACACGGAATTGTGAGTCCATTAAACCTGTTTTTCTTTATAAATTACCTAGCCTTGGGTATGTCTTTATCAGCGGCATGAAACGGACTAATAGAGTAAATTGGTCCCAGTAGGGTGTTGTGCTGTTGTAAACATATCCAGTGACTTTGAAACTGGGTAATAGGTAGAGGTTGGAACAGTTTGGAGGGCTCAGAAGAAGAAAGGAAAATGAGGAAAAGTTTGGAACTTCCTAGAGACTTCTTAAATGGCTTTGACCAAAATGGTGATAATGATATGGACAATGAAATCCAGGCTGAGGTGGACTCAGATGGAGATGAAGAATTTGTTGGGAACTGGAGTGAAGGTGACTCTTTCTATGTTTTAGCAAAGAGACAGGTGGCATTTTGCCCCGGCCCTAGAGATGTGTGGAACTTTGAACTTGAGGGAGATGATTTAGGGTATCTGGCACAAGCAATTTCTAAGCAGCAAGGCATTCAAGAGATGACTTGGGTGCTGTTAAAAACATTCTATTTTAAAAGGGAAACAGTATAAATGCTCAGAAAATTTGCAGCCTGAAGATGTGATAGAAAAGAAAAACCCATTTTCTGAGGAGAAATTCAAGCCTGCTGCAGAAATTTGTATAAATAGTGAGGAACCAAATGCTAATCCCCAAGACAATGGCAAAATGTCTACAGAGCATGTCAGAGACCTTTGCAGCAGCCCCTCCCATCACAAGCCAGGAGGCCTAGGAGGAAAAAATGGTCTCATGGGCCAGGCCCAGGGTCTTCCTGCTGTGTGCAGCCTAGGGACTTTGTGCCCTGCATCCCAGCTGCTGTAGCGATGGCTAAAAGGGGCCATGGTATAGCTGGAGGCATGGCTTTACAGGATGCAAGCCCCAAGTCTTGGCAGCTTCCACATGGTGTTGAGCCTGCAGGTTCACAGAAGTCAAGAATTGAGGTTTGGAAACCTCTGCCCAGATTTCAGAGGATGTATGGAAATGCCTGGATGTCCAGGCATAAGTTTGCTGCAGGGGCGGGGCCCTCATGGAGAACCTTTGCTAGGGTAGTGTAGAAGGGAAATGTGGGGTTGAAGCCCCTACACAGAGTCCCCATCGGGGTACTGCCTAGTAGAGCTGTGTCCTCCAGACCCTATAATGTCAGATCCACTGACAGCTTGCACCATGCACCTGGAAAAGCTGCACTCACTGCCAGCTTGTGAAAGTAGCTGGGGTAGGGGGCTGTACCCTGCAAAGCCAGGGGAGCAGAGCTGCCCAAGACCATGGGAACCCACCTCTTGCATCAGTGTGATCTGGACGTGAGACAAAGAGTCAAAGGAGATCATTTTGGAGCTTTCAGATTTGACCACCCCACTGGACTGTGAACTTACAGGGGGCCTGTAGCCCCTTTGTTTTGGCCAATTTCTCCCATTTGGAACAGCTGTATTTACCCAATGCCTGTACCACCATTGTATCTAGGAAGTAACTAACTTGCTTTTGATTTTACAGGCTCATAGGTGGAAGGGACTTGCTTTGACTTGCTTTGTCTCAGATAAGACTTTGGACTGTAAACTTTTGAGTTAATGCTGAAATGACTTAAGACTTTGGGGGACTGTTGGGAAGGGATGACTGGTTTTGAAATGTGAGGACATGAGATTTGGGAAGGGCCAGGTGTGGAATGATATGATTTGGCTGTGTGCCCACCCAAATCTCATCTTGCATTGTAGCTCCCATAATTCCATGTGTTGTGGGAAGGACTCAGTGGGGGCTAATTGAATCATGGGGGCAGTTTCCGCTATACTCTTCTCATGGTAGTGAATAAGTCTCATGAGATCTAGTTGTTTTACAAGAGGTTTCCCCTTTCACTTGGCTTTCATTCTGTCTCTTGCCTGCCATCATGCAAAATGTGCCTTTTGCCTTCCATCATGATTGTGAGCCCTTCCCTTGTGAAACTGTGTGTCCATTAAACCTTTTTGCTTTATAAATTACCCAGTGTCAGGTATGTCTTTATCAGCAGTATGAAAACACTAATACAGTTCTAACAGTTTGTTTAATCTATTTTTTGAGTGGATGTAACCCATAAACAAATACCTTGCATTTCTTGAGACATCACCTATTAAATAAACATGTTTGGAAATGAGAAATAATTTTGCCTCAAGAATCCCTATTTCCTAATTTATCTTTTGGGCCACGATGAGTTTCTTATATCAGATTTTCTTAAGACATACTCCTCCTGTACTCTAAAACACACTGAACATGGAAGACTTCTCAGACTCCTTGGTTAAACAAATGTAAGGGTACAGCAAAGAGTAAGAGCCACTGGTGCACCTCTCCACCTGGCAGCTGGAAGTTTGGCTGGGGCCTCTCACAGTTCTTTTCTTAAAGACTATTTATTTCTTATTTCCCACCTATTTCCACCCCTGGGGAATGGGGAGAGATGGGGGTGTGTGTGATTGGAGAGATCAATGGGGAATCATGTATACATTTTTTTAAATACCCATTTCTGAGATTCTCTGAGAGTCATTGTATTATAGTCACAGCCCGGAGCATGGGTGATGATAATATAGCATAGATGAAAATGCCACAGACTTCCTTAGGGCACTGACAGGAACATTATCTATAATGAAAAGAACATGCTATTTAGGAATAGAGAGCCCTGGGTTTAAATGCTAGCTCTGCCCTCACACATGAGGGACCTTGACTGAGGTATGTTTACTTCAGTTGAGCCTCAGTTTTCCCAACAACTCTATGAAATAGGAAATTATATCTCCATTTTACAGATGCAAATTCAAACCATAAGGAGATACCATTACATATACACTAGAATGACTAACATTAAAAAGACTGTAAAGACCAATTGTTGGCAGGAATGTAGAACAACTATAATTATTACACACCGCTGGTAGGAATGTAAAATTGCATAACCACTTTGGAAAATTATTTGGCAGCTTCTTACAAAGCCTGAAATGCATCTACCGTATGACTGAGCCATTTCACTTCAATGTATTTACTCAAGAGAAATGAAGACATGTATTTTCTCTAAGAATTGTACATGAATTTTCATAACAGTTTTATTTGCAATAGTCCCAAACTGGAAACAACCAAAATGTTCATCAACAAGTGAATGCATAAATGAATGCGGTGAGTACATTACGTAGAATAGAGTACTACTAGCAATAAAAAGGAACAACTACAAATATATATTGTAATGTGGATGAATTTCAAAACAGCATGCTGATTGAAAGAAGCAAGACAACACACACTCTGCAATTCCATTTACTTAAAATACATCTCACCTATAGTGTCAAAGAACAGTTCAGTGGTTGCCTTGGGGTGGGAGTAAAGAAAGGAATGGAGTGCAAAAAGACATGAGGCATTTTGTTCTGTAGCTTGATTGTGATGCTATTCTCATGGGTGTGTACGGTTGTCAAAACTCTTCAAGTGGTGCACTTTGAATGAATGCATCATTGTAAACATATTATTTCTCAATATTGTTGATTAGGGAAGAAGATAAGTTGTTTAAAGCAAAAATAGGCATGAGGTTTATCACACATGCAGAAGATCTGTATCTATATTTTATACATAATATGTATACATATCTTTATATATAAAATCTCAACAGTAGCAAAGTGGATGGGGGAGTGGAATTGAGGTATACTGCATTGTTGTAAGGTGCAGAATTTCAAGGGAAGTGGAATTAAAAAGTTACAAATACAAGAGGCATGTGAAACCTTTTGTGTGTGTGGTTAAAAGAAAATAATTTGGAACCTGATCCTATGTGTGTAGACCAAAATAAGAGGAGAGTTGAGCATAGGTCCCACTTTGTGCTGGGTCAAGGGGTGCCTAGACAGATGTCAGCGTAAGCAGTGAGGCCTGTAAATGGATTGGAAGAAAAGTTAACTTGGACAGAAAGCAAAGGAGAGGTTTTCCAATGGGAGAACGATGTGGTGGAGACTCATGGTTGCACGTATGGTCATGGTGCAGGGTGACAGTTTTGACAGACCCATGAAGACTTTGGTAGACTTTGGAGGAGCAGGTTTAATCTCGAGGTCTACGTCAGATGCCGACAGGCCTCTGCTGTTCCTCTGGTTCGTGTTTGCAGGTATAAATTTTTTTGTTATTTTTCTTTTGACCTATTTCTCTTTATATTTTGAGTGGGTTTCTTGTATAAAGCATCTAGTTGAATCTTGATTTTTTAAAAGTCATGTCTGACAATCTCCAAATTAAATAGTACTGTTTAAACCATTTGCACCTAATGTAACTATCAATAAACATAGAGTTTTAGAATATTATCCTGCAACTTTTTCTCTATATATCCCATATGTTCTTTGTTCCCTTTTCCCTCTGCTCTTGTGTTTCATTGACTAATTAAATAATTTTTAGGTTTCCACTGGTAGCGTTTTAACTATGCCACTGTTATTTTTTAGTGACTATCTACAGTTTAAAATCTGCATCACTGACATCATATTCTTTCCTCAAATAGCGTTATAGCACTTCACAGATAATGCTCCTTCACACATGTGCTGACTGCACCGCCACTTCCATCACACATGTCTGCTTTGTCCTGCAGGTATGCTGGGGCCCTCCTGGATGAGGATGTCTTCCAGGGAAAGGAGCTGGTCAACAGTCGCTCGCTGCAGGCTCTGGTGGCGGGGCTGAAGGCCTACAGCACCTGGGAGAACATCCGCTGCCTGCAGGACTGCCGCGAGTGCACTGGAGGCATGGTGAGCCCCAAGGCCTGCAGCCCCCGTGGGTCCCCACGATACAACCCACACTGGGGGAGCACTGTGGGGCGGGCAGATAACATGCTTCAGAGTCTAATAGAAATCCCAACTGCCCATGACTCTGGGTTCCTTCCTTACCAGCCTCATAGTCTTGTGTGTCTCCATCATATGATGCTGCCAGGACTGATAGAATACATGTTTGTAAAATGCCTGGCCCATGAAGGCACACAATAAATATCATGAAACTTCGTGGGGCAAAGGTAGTAGTGGACAGTATGGGAAAGGGCCACTGAAGGTTCAGATGATCAAAGCTCTGCTCCAATGTTTTAATCCCTTGGGAGAACACAGGAAATGACCCCAAGGGTTTCCCTCACCCCTGGTGAGGACACAGGAGGCAGAGCATTCAGAGACTTCCTGGTGTGTCTCCAGCCCCAGTCTCAGACTGGATTGTGTGGTGAGAAGCACAAGGTGTTAGAAATCCCAATATGAATATTTGAGGGAGTTGAGGGGGACTCTGAGAGCAGCTGGATCTGTGTGCAGCTGTGAGAACAGAAGCCCTGCAGGACTCTGCAGGTCTCCACACCCATGCGGGGGTCCAGAGCCCATGACAAAGTGAACCCAAGTTGGGTGTCTGAGGGCAGGACACGCAGCATGAGGCTGTGGACCTGTGACATGGTGGCACGGCAGGACTGCAGGATCAGCTGTGCACTTCATTCGAATGCAAGCCAGATGTGGCAGCTACTGGAACTCCAGACCACACCCCCAGAGGAGAATGGAAGGAGGGAGCCCCTGTTGGTCTTTGGTCTGAATTTAATGCTGAACTTCATCAAATATTTGCTTATAAACAGCACCTCTGAACATGAAGGGGAAGATGAAGAGTTTTAGCTTCAGAAGAGAATGGATCAAGGGCAAGTCAAGGGCAGCTGTAGAAAATAAAAGGGAAAGGATGAGTTTCTGGAAAGCCGATTCCCTGCCATCCGTGTGGAGCTAACGGATGGCACAGAGGGGCAATGGTGAAGAGGGGCTGAGCCTTCATAAGAGGCAGAGCTGCGGGCACAGCCTGAGGGCCTCTCCCATGTGATCCATGGTGTTTGTCCACCTGAAAGCTAGCATGATCATTTCTTTTAGGTGGCTAAGTGAAGATGTGTCCCTGATGATGGTGGGGGGTGGGGCATGTCTGCTTCATTCCTATGGGGTTGTTGTGTGGGGTCCACATGGAAAAGAAAGGGAATGGAGAATGAAATAATAGCTGGCCTAGGGTGCAGCTGGCCAGGAGCTGAGGTCCTCCAAGGCAGCTGGGGCAATGGCGCGATGTGACTCTCCTTAGCTAAGGAGGGCCCTGCCAGGGGGCTGGTTTCTACCTGCATCTCCAGGAGGTGGCTGTCCCTTCAGTGAGCAGGCTGGGAGCAGCTGGGAACACAGCCCAGGGATTCGGGGGTAGAGTAAGGAGGTTAGGTCAGCAGGTGGGGGGTATGACCTGAAGTGGCCCCTCAGGCAGGGACAGCCCACACAGTGGGGTGTTGGGGCACTGCTGGGGGCCCTGAGCTCAGACACTGTGGCCTTGACAGGTGACTCAGCCTGAGGGCTTGCGCAGAACCTCTTGCAGGCTCCTGGTCCTCTGGGCTCCCGTGACTCATTCCCTTTCTCGCAGTTCACAGGTGGGCAGGCCCAGGGGTCTCTCACCCCCAGGCCTTCATAGCCTCCCTGCACAGAGACCCTCCTGCACCCCTCTTGTCATCCTAACCCTCATCCCTTCGTCCTGGCCTCAGTGCTTGTTCTGGGAGGCCGTATTTCCCCAGGGTCAATGCTGAGCCCTGGCAGTGCCACCCGGAACAACCGCCCTCGCCTGCTCTCCAGTGATCCAGCCTGTCATGTTCACCTGTGCTGCCGAGGACCACCCAGCAGTGCGGAAATAACCCCACCCTGTTAGAGAAGACGCAGTCCATGCTGGAATGCCAGCCCCCCAGGCACGCTGCCTCACAGAACTCTGCGCCCAGTAGCTCCTGAGCAACCTGGGGCAGAGGGCCCTAAAAGGCAAATGCTGTGTCCTCTGCTCACAATAATTCTGACACCAGATGTGTGGCTTTTCCATAACAACCAGTCCTCTAATTCTCTGTGGACACTAACAGGGTGCTCTGCAACAGTGGCCTCCAACCTGTTTGGCACCACGGACTGGTTTCGTGGAAGACAATTTTTCCATGGATGGTTTTGGGGGTGGGGGGTGCGGGGTAGGGGAGATGTTTTCGGGATGAAACTGTTCTGCCTCAGATCCTCAGGCTTTCGATTCTCATGAGGAGCGTGCAGATCTCTCACATGTGCAGTTCACAATAGAGTTCACGCTCCTATGAGCATCTAATGGTGCTGCTGAACTGACAGGAGGTGGAGCTCAGGCAGTAATACTTGCTCCCACCACTTACCTCTTGCTGTGTGGCCCGGTTCCTAATAGGCCATGGTCTGGTACTGGTCCATGGCCTGGGGATTGGGGAACCCTGCTCTACAATTTAATTTATTCTGACGACTACCTGGAGTGCATGCAGACTCCACAGATTAAGGCCTCAGTTCCATAAGTCTTCCCCCAACTTTGGATGCTAGTCACAAATAGTGGTTCTCTGGGTTACCCGCACTGTTATTATTATTATTATTGAGACAGGGTCTCACTGTCACCCAAGCTGAAGTGTAGTGGCACAATCACAGCTCACTGTAGCCTTGAACTCCTGGGCTCAAGCAATCCTCCTTCCTCAGCCTCCCAAGTAGCTAGGACTACAGGCGCATACCACTACACTGGCTAATTTATTTTTTGTAGAGATGGGGATCTCACTGTGTTGCCCAGGCTGGTTTCAAACTCCTGGCCTCAAGTCATCCTCCCATCACACCCTCCCAAAGTGCTGGGATTACAGGTGCGAGTCATGGTTCCTGGTCTACCCACACTTTTGCCTAACCTGTCTATAAATCAGGAGTTCCCATGACCCTCTCCTTAGGTTCAATAATTTGCTAGAACAGCTCACAGTACTCAGAGAAACACTTAAATGTTTACTGGAAATAATTAAGGATACAGATAAACAGCCAGATAAAGAGATACATCGGCTGAGGTCCAGAAGGGTTCTGAGCACGGGAGCTTCTGTCCCTCTGGAGTTGGTGTGTACCGCCCTGCTTGGCACAAGGATGTGTTCACCAGCCTGGAAGCTCTCTGAACCACTTATTTTAGGGATTTTTTTTTTTTTTTGAGATGGAGTCTTGCTGTGTTGCCCAGGCTGGAGTGCAATGGTGCAATCTTGGCTCACCACAACCTCCGCCTCCTGGGTTCAAGCAATTCTCCTCCCTCAGCCTCCTGAGTAGCTGGGATTAAGGCATGTGCCACCATGCCCAGCTAATTTTTGTACTTTTAGTAGAGATGGGGTTTTACCATGTTGGTCAGGCTGGTCTCGAACTATTTTAGGGATTTTTATAGAGGCTTCATCGCATAGGCATGATCAATTATTAACTCAGTCTCTAGCTCCTCTGCCCTTCCTGGAGGATGGCAGGGGTTTCAGGGAGGGCGATAAAAGCTGTGAGCTTCTAACCATGGCTTGGCATTTCTGATGACCAGCCCCCATCCAGAAGCTGACCAGGAGCCCACTAGGAGTTGCCTCATTAGAACAAAAGATGCTCCAGCACCCAGGAAATACCAAGAGGTTTAGGAACTCTGTGTCAGGAACTGGGGTAAAAGAGTAAATTTAGAACAAAGAATGCTTCTAGCACCTATCACTCAGGAAATAAAAAATGTTTTAGGAGCTCTGTGCCAGGAACCAGGGATGAAACACGATGTACATTTCTTATTAGATCACAGTATCACGGCCCTGATTTCCATTTTTGTTCCTTCCCTTCTCCTCTCCACTCCCAATCCACTTGACACCTAGCATGGAGATATTTGTAGAGACACAAATATTTGTTGAAAGAAAAGAATGAACATCTTCTAATTGTTTTAAGCTCATATGCATACATGCTGCATCTTCAGGTTGGAACTCCCTGGGAGTGAAGTGTGGACTTGAGTCTGGGGGCTACTGAGAGGAAACCAAAGACCATCTCTTTTTTTGGGTTGTAGGACTAGGCACATCTTGCTTCAAAAAAATATATTTCAACACACATTTACTGCCTTTGAAGCCAGTAATCCTGGGCATGATTTTGGGCCAGTTATTCCCACCCTATGCCTCAGTTTTTCCTTACATAATATGGAGATAACAAACCTTCCCTTGTAGAGGTTGTGGGAGTTAAATTCTATGCGACAAAGAGCATCAAATGCTCAACACATAGACTCAGGAAGTAGGAGTTGATGTTTCCTCGATGTGCCCAGGCTGGGGATTTGGAGAAAAGAGATACCACATGGTCTCTTTTGCTTGCCATTGTACCAGGTAGACAGGTGGCTGCAGAGCCCAGCACGACGAGGCAGGCCCTGTGCAGCTGCAGGGGCTCAGAGTACTCAGTGCGAACTGTGGAGGGTCCGCAAGCAGTGCCACTTGAGCAACTTAAGGAATGAGCAAGAGCCTTCCAGGTGGGGCTGGAGGACCTGCTAGGCAGGGGAACCTGAACTCAGGATGAGGGTGTGGGAGTCTGTGGTGCACTGAGGGACACCATGACAGGCATGGGCTGGGTCTCAGTGAGGATGCAGGGGAGGAAAGGAATAAAGGGAAAAAGCGGGAACCAGACCTAGAGAAGGCCCGGAGCCTGTCTGCACAGCTGCCTACAGCAGGCACTCTGTGGTGCCTTCAGGCCCCAGCACCACATGGTGCAGCTGATCCAGTGCACAGAGGCTCAGCCTGCAGCACTGCAGCATGGTGCTTGGCACATATGGACACTTCACGTCAGCTATTCTCACTTATTTCCATTTTACAAATGAGTAAACTGAGGCTAGACCATGAGGGCAGTGAGGGCAGGGACCAAGTCCTTGATCACTACAGCCTAAGTCTGACTGTTGTGTGGAATATTCAGGAGATAGCTGTGGACTGAGTGATGACCAGCTGACAGACAGATGGACAGATAGACTGATGTGCACAGACATTGAATGAATGAATGAATGAATGAACGAATAAATGAATGAATGAATGAATGAAAGAATGTCCTGTGCATCTGTTTTCTTTCTTACCCTTAAAACTTGGAATTAATCCACAAAACTTGGCCCCCTTGATCTTTTCTTGCTTTATTATTTTTTTACCCTGAACACTTTTTTTTTTTTAAAAAAACATGATTTTATTGTTACTTTTGGAGGGAGAAAGAACACTGTATTGCCTACAGACTACTCATAATGAGAGCAATGATGACATTCATTAGCTTTAAAACCTGCACAACCCATATTGACAGCTCATTTGTTGGGGACAGATTTTTATGTTAGTGTGTCTAGTTTAGGAGATGGGGACTTGAGAAGAGGGGAGCATGAGAAATTATTGTAAAATTTACCAAGATATGGGTGCATCTTGCACCTAATTTTTGCCACTACTCTAAACATAGGGCCCTGTGAAATCTTTTTCCTCTCAACTGCTAACTTTAGTGTTTGTTGCTATAGCCTAAAATGAGCATCATCTGTGGAGGGCAGCTTCTTGGCTGAGCAAAGTCTATTTGAAATCACATTTATTGCATTATTTTTATCAATTACAAAAGTAATATATATCCATTGTAGAAAGTTTTGAGAATAAAGAAAAGCACAAAAAAGTAAATATATCCCAAAATTATACTTCTCAGAGATGATTCTTAACTGTCTGCAGTATATTCTTTCTGTGCAGTGGGTGTGTGTATTTGAAATTTTAGAACCCCCCTAATTTACCTAAGACTTGATATGGATATTACTTCAACTCTTTACTACAACCTTACTTTGAAGTAAAATTTTCATAGCCGGTACCATTTATCTTGTAGGTGTACCATAATGCATTCAATCAATTCCTCAGCTTATGTAAAATTGTTCCATTATTATAAACAACACTATAGAAAACATTCTAGTACCTTGGCACCTAACTTTTATTTTTGTGCATACCTGGGATTGCTTTTTGGGAATCAAGTATTTAAATCAAACCTGTCCAACCCGTGGCCCTCAGGCCTCATGCAGCCCTGGATGGCTTTGAATGTGGCCCAACACAAATTCATAAACTTTCTTAAAACATTTGGGATTTTTTTGCAATTTTTAAAATTAGCTCATCAGCTATCATTAGTGTTTGCGTGTTTTATGTGTGGCCCAAGACAATTCTTGTTCTTCCAGTGTGGCCCAGGGAAGCCAAAAGATTGGACACCCCTAATGTAAATGATGATTGGTATTGTCAGTACAGGTTAAACCAATTTCCACTCCCACCAGCAGCTGAACACAGAATGCTTAATTAGTTTCTAGACCAGTGGTTTTCAAATTATTTTGACCTTAACCTGAAGTAAAAGGTATGCTTTCCTTTACAAATCTTTACAACCCAGTATTTACAAAGACACATGTATGAAATTGAAAAAAGGAATTTTATGAAACAGTACCGGCCTCACTATTGTGAGGTGCTCTCATATTTTCTTATTTTGTGTCATCTTTTAAAAAGCAAGTCATGATACAGTAAGTTGATTTCATGACCTGCTCATGTGTTGTAGCCTACTGTTTGCAAAACACAGCCCAGACTCACTGATCAAACAGAAAGGGTCTTGCTATATATAGTTGAGAGCTGCAGGTCATCAGAGTGTGTCTGTGGTGATCAAAAGAAGCTGGAGTTTCCGGGGAATAGATTTCTCAGCCCTGCTAGAAACCAAAATCTGGCTTCTGTTGAGACCAAAATATGATCATTTAGTTTTCACTGGAATGTTATTAATTTGGCCCTTGAGACTTAAGATTTGTATTTGAAAGTGGGAAAGAGATAAAGGCCTCCAAATGTCTCCTGAGCATTGACACAGAAAGTGATCAGTTTTTTCTAACTGCTTGGTTTATCTTGGATCTGGGCGGAATGAGTGCACACAGCAGCCCCTCACGTTTGGCCTCACTGAGAATTCATGGTCCCAGCACTGCTGCTCTTGAACTCCTCTGTGGAAACCTTTGGATTCCAGGATTCTTTCTCTCCACAAATTGATGTTTCCATAACACTTGATGGTCAATTTTAATAACATTATCACTCTGTGTTAGGAAATCACGAGAAAGTCTTAAACTAGCTATTTCTACAGGAACCTTGGCAATTGTGCTTTCTTTGGGTTGAATGTTGCAAGAGTAATATTCTGTTACTTAAGGAACGTTCTTAGCAGTGAGGTAGACACGTGCAGAGTACAAATAGAAGGGAAACTTTGGAATTAAATCATATTTTAGTCTTTTAACTCCTTTGTTTCTGAGTTCTAATTTTTCAAACTATCTTTACCTTTGTGGTATAATCTGTTCCTTTTTGTGCATAAAACCTGCGATAAATGAGATTTCACACAAGAAAGAAAAATTGTCCACAATATGATCGTTAAATGAACGATACTGGTTGGAATTTTCATAATTCATATTCATGCAAGCACCTCATAGCCTCAATGACTGCTGATTAAGAATCATTGCTAAGTATTGCTAAATTCTCTTTATGTGCAGAACAGTGTACTAGGTACATGTTCCCGGGAAGCCAGGTAATTTGAGGGGCACTGTACACTGTGCATGGAATTGCAAGGCCCTGAGGTTTCAGCATTAGCAGACTTCTGATCAAGATGCAGCAACAGGCAGCAGATATACCCTCCTGACTGAAATAATCAAAAAATGGACAATATATGTATGCTAAACAGTTTGCAAGACACCGGACGTCACTGGACAGCTGCTGACATTCCCCTGTGCAAGCTTCCAGCTTCCTTATCTATGTTTGCAGCTCCATCTTTCAGGCTGCTGTTTGTTAGAAAAAAAATTATTTCTGGGGCTGTTTTTGTTAGAAGGGAAGTTTTGCTGAGGACTCATTTGCCCTCATATCTGCCTAAATAATTTCTATCTCCTATATCATTATGTGTAAAAGAACAAAGATGAGGATGACAACAGATTTCTCATTAGAAACAAGGCAAGTAAAGAGACAGTAGAATGGCATCTTTAAAGTACTAAAAGGGAAGAAAATCAATCTAAAATTCTATATCCAACAAAATTATGTTTCAAAAATAAAGGTATAACAAAGATATTTTCAGACTTGCAAAACTTGAGATAATTCATCACCAACAGATCTTTATCATAAGAAATATTAAAGAAAATTCTTCAGGCAGAAGGAAAATGATACCAGATAGAAATATAGATTTATACAAAGGCATGAAAAGCACCAAAAGTAGTAAGCATACGGATAAATACATGATGTTTTTAGCACTTAAATATCTTTAAAAGATAACTGCTTAGACAAAAATAATAACAATGTAGTGTGAGGTTTATAACATCCATGAAAATAGAATGCATGACAATAGCATAAAGGCCAGGAGAGAAGAAAAGAAAGTACACTATTGTGAGGTCCTTAGACTATGTGTGAAGTCATTTGCTATTATTTGAAAGTAGACTGTGATAAGTTAAAGATGTATAAGGTAGGAAAAGAAGAAGTATGGAAGAATGAAAAGATTATTCACATAGAAAACAAATAGCAAAATGGTATATTTAAACTTGACTATATTAATAAACACTTTAAATATAAATATCCCAATTCAAAGGCAGAAATTGTCAGACTGGATAAAAAAGCAAGACCAAATTATATGCCTACAAAAAACCCACTTCAAATAGAAAAGTATAAGTAGGTTAAAAATAAATGGATGGGAAAAGATGCACCATGTTAATGCTAGTCAAAACAAAGCTGGAGTGACAATGTTAATATCAGACAAAGTCGATTTCAGAGCAAAGAATATTGCCGAGAATAAATAACATCATTTCATAATGACCAGGGGCCTGTTCCTCAGGAGGATATTACAATTCTAAACGGTTAGGCACCAAATCATAATCCTATGAGGTGGCTACTTTGGTTATCTTCAGTTTACAGATGAGAAAGCTGATGTGGCCAGGCGCCATGGTTCACACCTGTAATCCCAGCACTTTGGGAGGCTGAGGCAGGTGGATCACTTGAGGTCAGGAGTTCAAGAGTTCAAGACCAGCCAACATGGTGAAACCCCATCTCTACTAAAAAAAAAAAAAAGTTAGCTGGGTGTGGTGGTGTAATCCTGGCTACTTGGGAGGCTGAGGCATAAGAATTACTTGAACCCTAAGAGGTGGAGGTCGCAGTGAGCCAAGATCATGCCACTGGACTCCAGCCTGGGTGACAGAGTGTGACCCTGAAAAAAAAAGGAAGGCAGGAAGGAAGGGAGGGAGGGAAAGAAAGAGAAAGAAAGAAAGAAGAAAGAAAGAAAGAAGAAAGAAAAGAAAAAAAAAGAAGAGTGGGAGGGAGGGAGGGAGGAAGGAAGGAAAGAAAGAGAAAGGAAGGAAGAAGGAAGGAAAGAAGGAAGGAAGAAAGAAAAGGAAGAAGGAAGGAAGAAAAGAAGAGAGGGAGGGAGGAAGGAAGGTAGGAAAGAGGAAGGAAAGGAAGAAGGAAGGAAAGAAGGAAGAAAGAGAAAGAAAAAGAAAAAGGGAGGGAGGGAAAGAAGGAAGGAAGGAAAGAGAAAGGAAAGGAAGAAGGAAGGAAAGAAGGAAGCAAGAAAGAGAAAGAAAAAGAAAAGAAAGGAGGGAGGGAGGGAAAGAAAGAAGGAAGGAAGGAGAAAGAAGAGAGAAAGAGAAAAAGAAAAAGAAGGAAAGGAAGGAGGGAAGGGGAAGGAAGAGAAAGAAAGAAAAGAGAGAAAATTGAGGCTCTGAGCAATTGGGTGGACCCAAATCCCATTAGGGGATTTGAAGTCTGATTTATCTGACCCTAGAGCCCACGGTGATATGGTGAAGCTACAACCAGAGGAGAGGGGGAAATCACCCCTGGAGCACCTGGGGAAGCTTCCCCAAGCAGGGTAAGTTCAGCTTTGCAGTACAGAATGAGCAGAAGTCACTGGGTGAATGAGACCCCCTTACTCTCTGCATTTGCACACAGGTCCTATTTCAGCTTTACACACCTCTTAGTGTTAGGAAATCCTTACCTCCCAAAGATGAGGTACTAAACTCCATAGGGCTTAGTGCTTCTGATACCCCAAACCTGACCTTCCTACGGATTCTCTGTGCTAATGAAAAGGCAGCTTATTGCCGTAGCAGACACAGCATATTTAGGGCCCCAGACCCAGGTATGTCCTGGCCTGGGGCTGCAGGGTCTTTTTGCATTTTATTTGTTTTTTTTAATAGTCAAAAGCACATCCTGTATGTGTAGATACCTTTATTAGTGCTTACGTGGAGTAACTTAGCTAATTCTCAAATTGAGTGAATACTATTATTAGTCTTACTTTACACAAGAAGGAAACTGAGGCCAGAAAGATTAAATAATTTGCCAAAGTTTAAGTGAGTTTAAGTGCTAAAAAATGGCAGAGCCATACTTTTATTTTTTTATTTTTATTTTTATTTTTTGAGACAGTCTTGCTCTGTTGCCTAGGCTGGAGTGCAGTGGCATGATCTTGGCTTACTGCAACCTCCACTTCCCAGGCTCAAGCGATTCTCCGGCCTCAGCCTCAGCCTCCCAAGTAGCTGGCACGTACCACCACACCCAGCTAATTTTTGTATTTATAGTAGAGACGGGTTTCACTATATTGGCAAGGGTGGTCTTGAATTCCTGACCACAAGTCATCCACCTGCTTCAGCCTCCCAAAGTGCTGGGAGCCACCGTGCCAGGCCTCATGCTTTTTTTTTTTAAACTTTTATTCTAGGTTCAGGGTTACATTTGCAGGTTTGTCATATAGGTTATTTGTGTGTTATGGGGGTTTGGTTTACAGCTAATTTCATCACCCAGCTAATAGCATAGTCCTCAATAGGTAGTTTTTTTATCCTCACCTCCTCCCATCCTCAAGTAGGCCCCAGTGTCTGTTGTTCCCTTCTTTGTGTCTGTGCGTACTCAATGTTTAGCTCCCACTTATGAGTGAGAATGTGGTATTTGGTTTTCTGTTTCTGTGTTGGTTCGCTTAGGATAATGGCCTCCAGCTCCATCCTTGTTGCTGCAAAGGACACAATCTCATTCCTTTTTATGGCAGTGTAGAATTCCATGGTGTATATGTACCACATTTTCTTTATCCAGTCTATTATTGATGGGCATTTAGGTTGATTTTATGTCTTTGCTATTGTAAATAGTGCTGCCATGAACATACGCGTGCATGTGTCTTTATGGTAGAATGATTTATATTTATTTGGACATATAACCAATAATGAGATTTCTAGGTTGAATGGTAATTCTGTTTTAAGTTCGTTGATAAATTACCAAACTGCTTTTCACAGTGGCTGAACCAATTTACATTCCCACCAGCAGTGTATAAGTGTTCCCTTTTCTCTGCAACCTTGCCAGCATCTGTTATTTTTTTGACTTTTTAACAATAGCCATTCTGACTGGTGTAAGATGGTATCTCATTGTGATTTTAATTTGCATTTCTCTAATGATTAGTGATGTTGAGCATTTTTTCATATGCTTGCTAGCTGCATGTATGTCTTCTTTGAAAAGTGTCTGTTCATGTCCTTTGCCCACTTTTTAACAGAATTGTTTGGTTTTTACTTGTTAATTGTTTAAGTTCCTTCTGGATGTTAGACCTTTGTTGAATGCATAGTTGGCAAATATTTTCTCCCATTCTGTAGGTTGTCTGTTTACTCTGTTGATAGTTTCTTTTGCTGTGCAAATGCTCTTTCATGTAATTAGGTCTCATTTGTCAACTTTTTTTTTTTTTTTTTTACAATTGCTTTGGCATCTTTGTCATGAAATCTGTGCCAAGGCCTATGTCCAGAATGGCATTTCCTAGGTTATCTTCCAGGGTTTTTATAGTTTTAGGTTTTATATTTAATCTTTAATCCATCTTGAGTTGATTTTTGTATATGCTGTAAGGAACGGGTCCAGTTCCAATCTTCTGCATATGGCTAGCCAGTTATTTCAGCAGCATTTATCGAATAGACAGTCTTTTCCTCATTGCTTGTTTTTGTCATCTTTGTCGAAGATCAGGTGATCAGAGGTGTGTGGCCTTCTTTCTGGGCTCTCTATTCTGTTCCATTGGTCTATATGTCTGTTTTTGTACCAGTACCATGCTGCTTTGGTTACTGTAGCCTTGTAGTATCATTTGAAGTTAAATAATGTGATGCCTTCAGCTTTGTTCATTTTGCTTAGGATTGCCTTAGCTATTCAGGCTCTCTTTGGTTCCGTATGAATTTTAAACTAGTTTTTTTTTTTCTAATTCTGTGAAGAATGTCATTGGTAGTTTCATAGGAATAGCGTTGAATCTGTAAATTGCTTTGGGTAATATGGCCATTTTAACACTATCAATTCTTTCAATCCATTAGCATGGAATGTTTTTCCAATTGTTTGTGTCATCTCTGATTTCTTTGAGCAGCGTTTTGTAATTCTTATTGTAGAGATCTTTCACCTTCCTGGTTAGCTGTATTCCTTTTTGTGGCATCACGTTTTGTGGCATAACATGTGAACGTTAGCTTTATTCTTTTTGTGGCAATTGTGAATAGCACTGCCTTTCTGATTTGGCTCTCAGTTTGAACGTTGCTGGTGTATAGATGCTACTGATTTTTGTACATCAATTTTCTATCCTGAAACTTTGCTGAAGTTGTTTATCAGCTCTAAGAGCTTTTGGGTAGATCCTACGAGGTTTTATATATCTAGAATTATGTTATCTGCAAACAGAGATAATTTGACTTCTGCCCTTTCTATTTGGATGCCTTTTATTTCTTTCTCTTGCCTGATTGCTGTGGCTAGGATTTCCAGTACTATGCTGAATATAAGTGGTGAGAGTGGCATCCTTGTCTTGTTCTGGTTCTCAGGGGGAATGGTTTCAGCTTTTGCCCACTCAGTATGAAGTTGAGAGCCATATCTTAAACCCAGAGACTATGTCCAAACTCATGCTCCAAACCATTTTGCCATATGAAAATTGAGTTGTGTTGGCTTCTGCCCTCTCTGCTTCAGAAAATAGTAGAGTCCTCCTTAATGGGATGAGCACAGTTTGGCTCTAACTTGTAATTTTCCAACTATCTGAATTTGGGTAAGTCCTCACTTCCCAAGCCTCAGTTTCCAGGTGTCCATAGACATGCTTTGCTGAGCTGCCCCGTGGTTAGTGTTAGCTGGAGGGGACCTTCTCATGGCGGTGGAAGTCAGCCACCAGGACCAGACCCTTCTTTTCCTATTAGTCTTTCTGAGATTTCCTGCTGTTTCCCCCTGTTGTCCAGCTGAGAGAAGTGAGGTGGGATTTGGTTAAATTACTCACCCCAGTCCCCTTTGGTGAGTCAAGGAGAGGCTGGAACTGGAGTTGGCAGAACTCTGCTCTTGGCGTGCAGCTGTGACATTCCCAGTGGCCAGTGCTTCATGCTTACACATGTTCTGCATTTCAGCCTCTAATCGCAGTATGTAAGGGGAGAATCAAACTGACCTCCTTTGAACGTGTTGAAAACCCTTCACCTGCCCTTGTGGGAACACTGCCTGAGAGCCGAACTCTGCTGGCTCTGATTAGTCATGTGACGCAGGCCTGGCAGTTTCGCTTCGTTTCCCACTTTCTTGCTTTAAGGATTGGGTGGGGTCAACCAAGTTCTTCAGACTGTTGATATTTAGTTCTGCTTTCACATTGCCTCTTTTCTCCATATTCAAGCAAACCTAGATTGAATTTCTAAAATCCTGAGAGAATAATAGGGGAAACAGCCCTGGATCTTGCATTTCTGCCTTACAGTGGAGAGGGGGCATTCTAAGAGATGGGACAGGTCCCTTGTCATGGAAGGGGAGCTGCTGGCTTTGGTGTGGTTGGAATCTCATGGTCAGGGCTCTGTGATCTTGGACTTTACCACTGGGAGCCTCAGTTTCCTTCTCTCTTAAGGCCCAGAACATGGTAGATATTCAATAAAACTTGATTCTCTTTCCTTTCCCTTTTGCTGGTTGTAGTAACAGATCACACTGAAAGATCCGAACTCTTTCCCCTTCCCTTCTCCCCCTCTGCCTCCAGGACCCATTAGACATGGGAGCTGCCTGGTTGGGGTTCCTTGGGTGTGGCTTGGGACCATGGAAGAAAGCCATCTTCTCGGCCACTGCTGACACCAAAGCATGGGGGTCTACAGGTCTGGGACCAGAACACACCACAGGGTCTCCACTGCCCCTCCACTTGGGAGAGCTGGAACTCAAGCCCAGCTGCTGGCCTTGGCCCTGCACAACCACATTCTTTACAAGGACCTCCTGCAGTGTCTCCTGGCCCTTGTGTTACCTGAGCCCGGATGCCCATGGCCAGGGCCGGTGCCCTCCATCTTGGCTCCTTTGAAACCAACACTAGAAGGTGCCACTCTCGTGTCACCGTGCCCTCAGGGCCAGTCTCCACAGCAGGACTTTGTCTTCCCACATCAGTGGAGACCCTTCTCATCTCTGCCCCCAGCTGCCCTGTTTCTCCTCAGTGCGTTCCAGAATTTCACAAAGAAGAACAGAAACAGCCAAAGCAGGGTGAAAAAAATATCTACAAAATTGGAGCGCAGTGAAGTCTCGAAAAAGCTCTGCAACCTAGCACAATGATAAGGTTATCAGCAAACATGCACTGATCCCTCCTTTCACGTTAGACGCAGAGCTGCTCTTTGCTGCTTGGAGATGTAATCCATCCGGGCAGCGACTGAGCGATTATATTTAATGATTGCATAGGGAACGCTGAAGCAATTCCAAGTGTTTGTAAATTTTTTCAGAAAGTGATGTGAGGCAGAGCCCTCTGCTTATTCAGTAGACTTTGTCCCAGGACTAACTCCTCAGGGACATTCAACACCACCTCATTTATCTGGCATCAGCCAACCCTTGGAACAGAGCCAAGGCCTGAAATAAACAAAACAGATCTCTGGGAATCACAAAGAGATGTTGCAAAGCCCACGTACTGGAGCTCAAGCCCTTACTCCACTCCTGAAGGAGCCTGTGGCCTCTGTTCCTGCTTGTTCCATGTGGCTTCTGGTTTCTGTGGGCTGTAGAGGAAGGGCAGAGGGATTGTGAATGTAGACAGCTAAGACCACTCAGGAGCCAGGGACCAAGGAAGATCCAGAAGAACTAAAAAAAAAAAAAAAAAAAAAAAAATAGACTGAAAAATCCAAAAGCACAGTGGGCTCCTGCTCAGCCCTAGGCGGGACTCGAAGCTCGTCTGGAACAGTCCTCCAGGCAAAGTGGGCACCAGGCAAGCAGCAGACTGGTGCGAGCAGAGACAGTCATTCGGGGGTCTCCCCTCCAACCTGGATGCTGCAGAGTTACTATTCATTGGAATAACATAGATGGTGTTTGTTTAAATACCTCACAGCAACCCCCGAGACACGTACATTTCACTACAGACCAGTAGGTCAGCTTGACTTAGATCTGATGTGGCAGAGGCCCTTTTGCTCCCTATACAATTTCTTAAGAAGCAGAACCATGAAAAATTCTGGCTGGTGCTTGGGTCATGAATAGCTGAGTCCAGCTGGCTGGGATTGCATTTGTGGGCAGGACAGGGTCGAGCTGAGCTTCACCATAATGCCAAGTGACTTGTGGGTAGGGTGGAAGAAGTTCAGGCATGGTCCATACTCAGAGGGTCCAAGGCTGGATCTGGCAAACCTCCCAAGAAGGATCTGTCTGGGGTCCAAGTGTCAGTAAGGCCCCCTAGTAGAAGGGCCTTCTCAGTGGTTACTGTGACAACTTTATCAGCCAGACTCTTTGCTCAAGAGTCTCATTTTTCCCGGGCATCAACTGGTTTCTGACCAACTCCCTTTCTATTTTATTGGTCAGAGATCTCTTTCTCTGGAAGGGTTGAGAGCCATCAAGAAAAAACCCCAAAGTTCTGGGGCTCTGGATTAAAGCCTAGGCTTCCCCTTTCCTCTGCTGTTACTTTCTGAGAATTCTGCTGACCCTAACCTATTTGGCTATAGGGATTTACAAAGACAGACGATAAAAATCACCTTGTGATTATAAATGATTCAACTTTGAAAGAACCTTGCTCCAAGATTAGAGGAATCAGCTCTTATTTTTTTTTAAAAAAATCATTTTTGACTCCCTGACATTCTCTTGAGTCCCTGCTATGAAGAAGCACTAGGGACATGTATAGATGCTGCCACCTTTAATCCTCCAATAGTCCTGTGAGTAGGAGTTATTATCCTTATAGTTTTCCCATGGAAGGACGAACAAGGCCAGAAGTGAGATGTTATTTCTCCAAATCTACTGAAAGACAGAGGCAAAGGTTCTACAGGCCTTCCAAACTAAGGCTATTATCCCTAATTCAGGACCTTGTCCCCTTTTTTGGCAGGTGATAACTTTCTTCCCTGGCCCTCTGGGTTCCATGTTAATGAATGTTCTACACTTAACCCTCATTTAACATAAGTCCTTGGCTTTTAAACAATCCTCTGTCTTTTTTTTATTTTTATTTTTATTTTATGTTATTTTATTATTATTATACTTTAAGTTTTAGGGTACATGTGCACAATGTGCAGGTTAGTTACATATGTACACATGTGCCATGCTGGGATAGCATTAGGAGATATACCTAATGCTAAATGACGAGTTAATGGGTGCAGCACACCAGCATGTCTTTTGATGTTAATTTGTGGTTACTGGAAAAAATCGCTCCCCAGTGAGAAAGTCCGTATGTCATCTTTGTGAGTGTCCTAGGTTAGTAGGTCCTATCTTGTCAGGCAAATTAGAGGGGGAAAGTAGCCAGCAGTAAAACTGACCTTCATCACTGATAAGGAAAAGAGAGATTGCTAAAATGACCCAGGGATAATCCATTTTATTTGGCAACATTCCTTTGAGGGTCTCAGCCCAAAATTTTTAACGGCATAAACAAGGCAATTATAAATTTCATAAGGAATGGATAGCGGCCAGACATATTAGAGAATAATGGACAGAACTGGCATAGATCCTGGGCCAATTTGCCAAATTTTGATCCACGGTATGTTGTTTAACTTTCTCATTTTACTCTCCCTTGGGCCAGTTCAGTCCAGAAGGATTCACCCCATATCCCAGCAAGGAAACAAGAAGGTTGGTGGCAGGGAGATGAAGTTTTACAAGTTGACTTCTGAATTTGTGATCATCTTACATCTTAGTTAAGATTATTTTGGATGCAAATAAAAGAGATCAATTATAAACTTTCTCCAGCAAGAATGAAGAATCAATCTTAAGGAGGAAGGGTGGGGGGTGGAGAGAGAGAGAGAGAGAGAGAGAGGGAAGTTCTGGAATTTAGCTCTCATGAGAACCAGGGACTGGGAAGGGGTCTGGAGTCCCCGAATCTGTGCTAGAGGGTCTCTCTCTCTCTCATAGTCTGAGCCTTTGCACCTCTTGGTGTCTGCCCATTCTTGCTCTTCTCTGCATTTGTGACTGTCCATTTGGAATTTATAGCATCTCTTTTCCAGCCACACTCTGAGATGGTGTTTCTCAGATCAAATGCTGAATCTGCATCTCAGTTGAGTCAGAGTCCTCTCCAACTCAGCCACTTCTGGTTAGGGAATGGGGTCACGTGTTATGAACGTGCCAGCGGACGTCCCATCTCTGTAGGTGCTAAGACAGTTCCCAAAAAATAGCAGCTGAGTAGATATCTATTATAAAGTGTGTGGTAGTTTTGAAAATATTTTCTAATACTTTGAAGCTGGTGTATAGAAATGGAGTTTAATTTTGTATGTTGATCTTATAATCAACAACCTAGTTAAAGTGCCATATTAATTCTAACGATCTGTTTGTAGTTCTTTTGGGTTTCCTATGAAGATAGTCCTATCACCTGAGAAAAATGATAGCTTTGTTTCTTCCTTTCCAATCATTTACATTTGTTTCTTTGCCTATATTATACAAGTGGCAAGAGTTTCCAATGCCATGGTTAATTAAAGGAAGTGGTTCATAACAGGCACCTGTATTTTATCCTTGGCTTTAAAAGAAATGTGTTTACTATTTCACCATTAAGGATATTATTCGGTGTGGGACTTGTGCAGATATTCTCTATTATGTTAAGGAAAAGCCTGTTTTACTCTTCCTTTATAAACAGTTTTGTGCATGTGTGCATTTATTGAGTGGTTTTAAAATTAAATATATTCATTTTATGGAATTATTTATCTGCATTTATTTTATTGAGATGATTGCACATTTTCTTCCTTTTAATCTGTTAATGTGATGAATTTACATTAACAGATTTTCTAATGTTAACAAATCTTGAGTTTCAGGATCTATACAACTCAGTCATGATGTATGTGTGTGTATTTAAAAAGCTGCTGATTTCATTTGGTAATATTTGTTTAGGGTTTTCTGCTCTGTGATTATGAATGAGGTTGGCCTCTGCTATTCCTTTCTAGGGGTGTCCTTAACCTAGTTTGGATATCCAGGCTACATCACTCTCATTAAATGACTTGAGGGTGTTTCTTATTTTTCTGTTCTCTGGAAGAGTTTGTATAGAATTGAATTATCTGTTCCTTGACTATTTGGTACAAATATAATGATAAGGCTAAACAGACCTTGTGGTTTCTTTCTAAGAACATATAAAATGATTGGTTTTGTTTCTTTCCTTGATATAAGCTATTCAGGTTTTCTGTTCTTGAGTCTGTTTTGCTAATTTTTATTTTCCTAGTAATTTGTTCATTTCTTCTTAGTTTTAAAATTTATCAACCATAAAGTCCATGATACCCTTTTCTCTTTTTAGCCCCTGTTGTATGGGTATTTATGCCCCTTTGCCATTCCTAATATTGTTTGTTTTCCACAGCCGCCTTGTCACTTGATCTATTTTGTATATTTTTTCAAATAATAAGTTTTTGGCTTTGTTGATCCTCTCCACTATATCTGATTTTTCTATTTCATTGATTTTTATCTTTATTACTTCTTTTCTTCTGAGACAAGGTTTCACTGTGTCACCCAGGCTAGAGTGCAGTAGCGTGATCGTGGCCCTTGGGCTCAAGAGATCCTCCCTCAGCCTCCCAAGTAGCGTAGCTGGTATTACAGGTGTGTGCTATCATGCCCAGCTAATTTTTAAAATTTTTGTTGAAATGGGGGTCTCACTGTGTTGTCCAGGCTAGTCTCAAACTCCTGGGCTAAAATGATCCTCCTGCTTCAGCCTCCCAAAATGTTGGGATTACAGGAGTGAGCCACCATGCCTGGCCATTACTTATTTTCTTCTACTTTCTTTGGGTTTATTCTCCTGCTCCTCCTATAGTATCTTAATTTGAATGTTATCTTCTCCATTTCTCTTTTTCTATTATAAACACTTAAAATGATAACTTTTCTTTTTAAATGCTGCTTTGGTCATATCAACCATGATTTGATATATAAGATTTTCAGTTTATTGATTCTAAATTTATTTTAATTTCCATAGTGACTTTATTTGACCTATGAATTAGTTGATTATGTTTTTCAGTTTCTAATGTCTGGTGTTTAAAAAATATAGCCAACATTTGTTGAATTCTTACTATATGTCAAGTATCTGTCTTCACGCTCTACATTCATTAACATAAATTCTCACAATGGCCCTATAGAGAAGGACTGTTCTGATCCCAATATTATGTATGTGAAAAATGGGACACTGGGAGTTTAAGCAAGTTACCCAAGATCACACAGCTCCTGAATTGGCGGAGCTGAGATTCAAATCCAGGCTGTTTGACTAGGGAGTATAACTACCATACACTAGTGGCTTTTTTTTTAGTCACAGTTCTTGTTGTTGTTATTATCATTATAATTACTTTTATACATATATATATATATATTTCAATTAATTCCATCGTAGAGAAAATGGCCCGTGTCATAAAGATCTTTTGAAATTTTTTTATGGCCTGCTCTGTGGTCTAGAGGCTGGTCAGTTTCCATGTATGCCTCAGAGGAGTGCGTCTTCTGCAATTGGATGCAGGGTTTCAAAGGAGACCAATAGATCAAGCTTCTTAGTGGCATTATTCAAATATGCCCTATTCTTACTGAGGTTTTGGCCTGTCTGATCTATCAATTATTGAGAGATGTGTGCTGAAATCTCCCACTGTTGATAGTGGATTTGTCAGTGTATTCGTCCATTTTTACACTGCTATAAAGAACTACCTGAGACTGGATAATTTATGAAAAAAAAAGAGGCTTAATTAACTCACAGTTCCACAGGCTGTAGAGGAAGCATGGGTGGGTGTCCTCAGGAAACTTACAATCATGGCAGAAGGTGAAGGGGAAGCAATTATGTCTTACCATGGCAGAGCAGGAGAGAGAGAGAGAAGTCGGGGGGAGCCACACACTTTTAAATGATCAGATCTCGTGAGAACTCACGCATTATCATGAGAACAACAAGGGGGAAATCCACCCCATGATCCAGTCACTTCCCACCAGACCGCTGCTCCAGTTGGACATGAGATTTGAGTGGGGACACAGATCCAAACTATGTCAGTGTCTCTTTGTAATTCTATCAATTTCAGTCTCATTATTTTGACATTGCATTATTAGATGTTTGTAAGTTTTAAATTATATTTTCCTAGCGAATTGAGTATTTGACCTTTATGTAGTTGACTCCCTTTATCAATAGCAATGCCTTAAAATGTATTTTGTCTAATATTAACATAAGGACAAAAGCCTCCATTTGATTGGCATTTACCTGTTATATGCTTATAGTTTCAACTTTTCTGTGTTATTGTGTTTATGTGTCTTATAAACAACATTTGCCTATTTTTAAAACTGAATCTACCTTGACAATCTCATTTTTATCTGTTTAGTCCCAGTAGTTATTGTCATCACTGATATATTTGAATTTATGTTTTCCATCTCTTATTTTCTATTTGTTGAGTCTTATCTCTGCTTGTTTGGACTTACAACCTTCAGCTTTATGGTGTTTATTTTCCCTTTTCCATTTTTCCCTTTTATGTTTTCACTCTACTTATGCTTATTTTGTGGCCACCCTAGCAATTTTAACATGCACATTTAACTTACGAAGTCTGAAGTGAATTATTAGCATTCTTTTCTCCCAATAATAGAAGAGCTTAGATTGCTTTAACTAATCATGAGCTCCCACCCTCTAAACTATTGTTGTCCACTGCTCCAGTACTGTGTTTTCTGATCCCACAAATTAGCCATCATGTTTATTATTCTATGGAATCATTTTTTCTTTAGAGTTACCACCTTTTACCAATTTCTTTGCTCACAATTCCTTCTTGCATCTCTGTAGTCATTTCCTGGTTTCTGGGGTACTTTCTTCTAAACACCATTTAGTGTGGTCTGTAGTTTTTGTCTGAATCTGTCTGTTCCATCCCAGTCTATAGAGGTTACATATTGTTCAGTATAGAATTCATTGTTGATAGTTATTATCTCTTAGCACTTTGAAGTTTTGCTTATCTGGATTTCCTTATTGCTGAGGAATCAGCTATCTAATAGTAATTTTTCATGGCAATCTGTTTTTTCTTTCTGTTTCTTTTTAAGTATTTTATTTGTTGTCATGACCTATGGTTTCACTATAATATGTATAAATATAAATTTGGTTGTATTTTTCCTATTTGGATTCATTTGAGGTTAGTAAGTACGTGGATTTGTGTCACTAACAATTCTGTAACATTTTAGGCCACTCATTTTGAATATTGTTTTCCATGTTCTTTGCATTATCTCCTTCTAGGCGTATTAGGCTGATATCAATATCTGCTGCCTCTGCAGTTTTGATTCTGTTGATTTTTTAATCTTCTGCTTGTCTTTTATTTGCCCTTGTGTTTTGTGAGCAGCCTGTGAATAAGTAGGTGGATGGTGCAGTGCTGACTGCCTCTTTCATTCTCAGCCCTCAGCAAGCCCTTCACTGTCTGCCTCCATCCCCCACCCCCAGCTAGTCCACCTCCCTCTCTCTCTCTCTCTCTCTCTCTCTGTCTCTCGCCACCTATGGTCTGTGTTCCACTAAGCAGCTGGAGTCATCTTTTAAAATCACAAATCATCTGACTCCAAAGCTTAGAATTTATTTTTAACTTTACATTGCACCTAAACTAACATAAAATAAATCCCCAAGATGGCTGCTGAGGCCCCTGTGACTTGACCCCTGTCTGCCCCCAAAGGCTTCTCTTCAGGCCCCTCCCCCTCACTCATCACCTCCAGCCCAGCCTTCTTTCCAGGCCCTGGACATTCTGTACCCCTTCATGCCTCAGGGCGTTTGCACAGGCTGCTCTCTCAGCTGGAACAAGCGTCCTCCCATTCCCAGATTGGCTGAATTCCCTTCTTTAAGTTTCCAAGTTAAGCAAGCCCTCTGAAAACCTTCTCTGGCATCCGGGTTGGAGGAGGTCTCTCTTGCTATTTATTTTCTCACAGAACCTCCCTGCCCCCATCTTTTCCTTTCTGGAACTTGCCACAGATTTTTTTTTTTTTTTTTTTTTTTGAGATGGAGTCTCGCTCTGTTGCCCAGGCTAGAGTGCAGTGGTGCAATCTCAGCTCACTGCTATCTCTGCCTCCCAGGTTCAAGCAATTCTGCGTCAGCCTCCTGAGTAGCTGGGATTACAGGCAAGTGCTACTACGTCCGGCTAATTTTGTATTTTTAGTAGAGACGGGTTTGTTGGTCAGGCTGGTCTTGAACTCCTGACCTCGTGAACCACCCACCTCGGCATCTCAAAGTGCTGGGATTACAGGAGTGCCACAGATTTTTAATTACCTATTTTATTTGTCCACCTGGCCAATGTCTGTCTCTCTCATGAGGACAGGGCCATGGCTGTAGTTCACTATGGGTAGCGTAGTGCCTAAGATGGAGGGAGCCTTGGTATGCATTTGGTGACAGGATCCATGAAGGAACTCTTTTCTGCCCACTCTGTCCAGCGAATAAGTCCTGAGAGTGCAGGGCAGCAGCGATAGGGTCCCCTCAAAGCATGCGGCAGGATGGGGCAACCTGCCATCACTCCACTGGACTCAGAATCCTGAATTCAGGAGACCCAACCCAGATCTCAGCTGTCACGGGACAGGTTGCAGTGACTCTCCATGCTCCCAGATCCCCTCACATACGGTTTCTGCACCACTGGGCACGGTGGAGGTCACAGGCATAAAGTTAGTGCCACCCGAAGACACGGTGCCTCCTGGTTGGTGGGTCAGTCTCTGTATTTTTAACTGGCCTCCTCTAACACATAAGATAAGATTGATTTAATCTGTTTTGTCTTTTTCAAATTAACAGAATTTCTAATTTGTTCTGATACCTTTATTAAATGTAATCATATAGTGAAAAATTCAGTGATGTTAAAAACAGCAGGAAAATATTAAACTTGCCATATACAAAGTTTGGATCATAAAATATGTTTCATGGGGCTGTCACTGAAATGGGACACAACCTTCATGACACTCACAATAGTTGCTAAGAGGCTCGATGTAACCCAGAAGGCAGAGAGCGGAGGAGCTGTCTACCGAGTGAGCTCTTGCTTCCCAGAGCCCAGGTTCTGGCGCTTCCCTCTCTGAGGATTCTGCTGGTGTTTGGAACATGGGTTTAGAGTTCCCTCTGTCTATCCCATGTTTCTTTCTCTCCTGCTTAGGAATAAAGTAAGCTCACGGAAAATCTTACTCACTTTTTTTTTTCGGATGAATCTGTTTTTTCTGCTACCACCCTTTTTTTTCCTACCACCCATCGACCCCACCAAGAATATACAAACAAATATCCCCACTCTGGAGTCCAATGTAGAAAGGAGAACAATTTCATATTGTAATGAAAACCTAAGGTGCTACTTACTGAGTGGCTTGAGTTGATGGCTTAGGAAAGGACTTCCTCAGACTCCAAAAGATTTGTTCATGTTGGAGAAGCAGTTAACATTGATTTATCTCTGGTCAGGAACAGACATGGTTTGAGCTAACACTTCCCACACGCTGTATTTGTCTGTGCTGGCTGCTATACGAAGTGCCATAGACTGGGTGGATTACACAACAGGAATTTCTTTTCTCACAACTCGAGCTGGAAGTCTGGGACCCAGGTGTGGGCAGGGTTGGTCTCTTCTGAGGCTCTCATCCTGACTTGTCGATGACCATCTCCTGCCTGTGTCTTCACACGTTCCTCTGTGTGTGTCTGTGTCCTGATATCCTCTTATAAGGATGCCAGGCAATATTGAATTAGGGCTGCTCAATTACCTCCTTTAATCTTAATTACCCCTTTTAAGGTCCTGTTTTGAAATACAGCCACATTCTGAGATTGTGGGAGTTAGGACTTCAACATAAGAATTTTGTGGGGGACCAGGGGTGCTGGCTTATGCCGGTAATCCTAGCACTTTGGGAGGCCGAGGCGGGCGGATCACCTGAGGTGAGGAGTTCCAGACCAGCCTGGCCAACATGGTGAAACCCCGTCTCTACTAAAAATACAAAAAAAAAGGCGGGCATGGTGGCGGGCGACTGTAATCCCAGCTTACTCTGGAGGCTGAGGCAGGAGAACCTGGGAGGCGGAGATTGCAGTGAGGCAAGATCACGCTGCTGCACTCCAGCCTGGGTGACAGAGTGAGACTCCGTCTCAAAAAAAAAAAAAAAAAAAGGAATTTTGAGAGGACACAATGATGTAGCCCATAGTACCTGCATATGCACGCGCATGCATACACACGCACACACACATGCACACACACACTCTCATGCATACTCTCTCTACTTTTCTATAGGCCTCTTCCAACTAAATTTTTAGTTTTAATCTGAGATATAGCAAAGGCCCAGTGATTAGGTCTTGCAATGAAGCGATTCCCAACAGAGACATAAGGGGTGAGAGCCCCACGCACCTTCAGCGAAGTATCATTGGCCACATGTCAGCCATGGGGAGAGCAGGCTGGCCCAGCACGCAGGCCAGTCTGTGTGTGGAATGGTCCCTGACAACTGGAAGAACCGCTATTGGTTCAGGGGCCCTCATGCTGCAATCAGCACCACCATAGCTGGGAAGGACAGGGATGAGGTTTTAGGGAACTGATCCCCCAGGCTTCCATTCAGTTGGCAGCTCCAAATGGACACAGAAGCTTGTGAATCATGTGTGATGTGGCAGCCTTCCTGCTCAGCAGACATCTGTGGTACCCTGGTTAAAGCCAAGACAATTCAGAGGCTGAGAGAAATGAAACCAAATCCCCAGGGCACTGAGGGATCCCATGGGCAGCAGATGGAAGGAAAATGCCCCGTGGCAGGAGTGGGAGTGGAGAGCATGAAATGCAGGTGTGGCAATTTCCCCAGAATACTTTGGACTCCCCTGGACAATGCCACAGAGGACCCTGGGCATCCTGGGACACCAAGGAGCCTGTGCTTCCTCCTAGGCATAGGCAGGTTCTCATCTGTCAGCTGTTGGAGGGCTGCACTGGAGAGGAGAACATTTGGCACCTGGTATGTCTCCCTGTAGAGCAGTCCCCCTGGGAGCTAATGGATCTTTTCCACCTGTGGCAAAAATAGACTTGATTCAGATACCTTGTCCTGAGATTGGCTTACCCAGGCCTGCACGGCCCCTCCAGGCAGATGAGACCCCTCGTGCATTACCTCTGAATGAAACACAGGGTCCAGGCAGATGGAGTTCCAGGGACAGAGCGGGGCAAACCTTGGAATCTTGCTTGGCTGAGTGTGAATGGCCCCTTGGCCTGACTCAAGACTTGAGGGAGATGACAGAGGGTTAATTGAGGATGGCAGGGCCCTCCATGTGGCTCTGCACTCAGCCCTTTCTCTCCTGAGCCTGAGGCCACAGCCCTGCCCTGCACCATGAACCCCAGGCGGGAGGCTGTCGGCTCTTGGCCCAGCTCCCCTGGGGCCTCGGGTGATATTCAGCTTCAGAAGTCCTGCTCTTCTCCCAGCCCTGTGGATCCCACTCAGCATCAGGTGGTTACTGCAGGAAGCCGTCTGCCTTTGTTTTTCTTGGGCACCGGCTCAAAGTCCCTTTAAGTGCGAAGTCTTTATTCCTGGTTTCCTCCTTCTCCACTTCCTCCCCCTGAAAACAGCTGATGGCCCGTTGTCACTAGAGCCCAGGAGGGGCTCCTTCCTTCCCTCCCACCTGGGCTATTTTTCTGTGCCACACCTGTCCTGGTCTTTGTGAGGCATGGCCATCTCCATGCTGGGCTGATTAGAAGTTCACCTCACATCCTTTGAGAGAGCTTGAGTCACCTCTAGTTGCCATTTCTAGCCTACCTCCCCGCCACCCCCTGAGAATGAGGGATGCTGGGACACTCCCCAGGATCAGCATTCAGCACCCCAGGCTATAGAAGCT
Organism: Homo sapiens; assembly: GCF_000001405.40. Lineage (NCBI taxonomy): Eukaryota > Metazoa > Chordata > Mammalia > Primates > Hominidae > Homo > Homo sapiens. The sequence continues at coordinate 110,959,758 of NC_000002.12, forward strand.
GAGGCAAGGTTTACATTCACCATTCTGCACCCATTCTTCTTTCAGCGATGACTGCATATATCATTAGCTGTGTTCAGTAAGGGCCAAGCAAGACCAGGATCTCAGAGTCAAAGTTGGGTACCACATACAGGCCAGAGTAGCACAAGGCAGGGGTTGGGGACAGGTGGGAAAATTGCTACCCAAGGCCACAGGTGATCCCAGTCAGATCCAGGGGCTGGAAGGGAGGAGCATAAGGCTGCTTGTCTTAAATAAAGGACAAGGGGCTAGAAAGCAAAGGTGGTGGGTGAGGCAGCTGTTTTAAACAGAGAGGTAGGGACACCTTTCTTGCAGTGGAACTTCTTCAGACCTGAGATGGAAATGAAATGAGGGAGCCCCCATGGAGGTCTGAGGGGAGTGTTCCAGGCAGTGGGAACAGGATTGCAAAACCCCACGGAAGTGGGCAAGCAGCCGGTGTGGCCAGAATGAACCCAAGCAAGGTTCAGGGAAACCTCACTGAACTTCAGTTTTTTCATCCGGAAAACTGGAGTGATGAGATGTGAAAAGTAGAAATGACACATTGTATGTAGTGCATACGAAAGTTGACCCTCAGTAGTGGCCTCCATGACTGTCCCTTCTCTGGGCACACGCCGTGGTGCTGGTCTGTAAAGACGTGTGAAGGTCTCCTCTAACCGTACCTTCCATGTGCAGTCGTGGCCCTCCTCCTCTCACAACATTCCTTGGCTCCTTTTTACCCAGATCAGCTCCGTTGTTGGCTTCCGAGTCTTTCATTTCCTCCCCGACCTATCCCGCCAACTCCTCCCTCCATCCTTGTGATCCTTAGTCCAACTCTGAGCCTCTTTCTTGGGGTCTTTCTCAGGCACCCATTTACCTTCCACCTTGGGAGTTTGTGAATGACTTTTTTCTTTTGGGTTTTTTTTTTTTAATGTATAAATTTTCTGGGTTTTTTTTTTTAACATTGCTTGTGTATTACTTTTAGTAATTAATTAAAAAACCCAAAAAGTTCATTTTTAGTTAAAAAATGATGCAGACACAGATGCATAAACTGTTTATAATCATTTGTCTCCAAAGAATTCAAGGCCTCAAGTGTAGAATTTAAGTTACTCAAGAAGATGGCTGCAAGCCCCATTCAGTGACTGCTCTATGCCATGGGTCTTTCTGTAAGCCGCATAGACGTTTACCCAGGACATGGATGCTGGGACTTTCTAAGCCTGACTAGTTTCTAAGTGGGTCACCTCAGGGTCCCAAGGATTGAGACTCCTGTGAGGCCAGGCCTTTCTGGCTTATTCTAAAGAAATTAGATCATAAATACACCTTGTTACTTTCAGGAGATGGGAAGCAACATGACAACCACGAGCCTGCCTCCCATGTGGTTGGACTTTGATTTTTCTCGTTGCCATTTCATTTTCAGCTCCCTGCAAGCTGTTTGAGGGCTGTGAGCCCTGTTACCTCAGTTCTCAAGGGCCAGGTAGAGTCCAGAATCAACATCCAGTTTCACTTGACTTTCAAACTAGAAGAGGAGCTCACAGCTGAGTTTCACCATGTAGGAGAGAAGGGAATTATATTGCATGTGAAGAGCTGATACAAAACATTTTTGTGCTCCCAGAACTCCATTGCCTGTTCTTTTAGAGACTACTGGTGTCTGTTTGCTGGTTCTGCCCTTTGAGTAGATTCTCTTTCTGGTCATTTTAAAGCCAGATTGCCTGACTTCCAGGGCAGGGTGGAAGTAAGTTTAAAAAGTGTCAGAAAACAACAAAGAGCCTGTTGCCCTCTCCTCCACCGGAAAAGAGGAGAGCAAAATGCTCAGAAAAAAAACACTTTGTTTCTTCAACATTAGTATTTTGAGTGTTTTGCATCTGAACTTCTTAGGTATAACCACTGCTTCTCAACACTGAGGTGCTGTATTAGTCTGTTCTTGCACTGCTTAATAAAGACATACCTGAGACTGGGTAATTATTAAGGAAAGAGGTTTAATGGACTCACAGTTCCACATGGCTGGAGAGGCTCCACAATCATGGCAGAAGATGGAGGAAGAGCAAAGTCACGTCTTACATGGTGGCAGGCAAGAGGGCACGTGCAGGGGAACTACCCTTCATAAAACCATCAGATCTTGTGAGACTTATTCACTACCATGAGAGCAGGGCAGAAAAAACCCACTGCCATGATTCAGTTACCTACCACTGGGTCCCTCCCATGACACGTGGGGATTATTACAATTCAAGATGAGATTTGGGTGGGGACACAGAGCCAAACCATATCAGGTGGTATATTTAGTGTTACTCTTCTTCCACATCAGAACTTGACAGATGATTCAAGAACATTCCAACACAATCCTGAGCCTCACTTGCTTCATCTGTAAAATAGGGATAATGCCTTCTTCACAGGGCTGTTGTGAGGATTAAAGGATTCTGTGAGGTAAAGGAAGTCTGTGTGAAGTCCCAGCACAGTATCTAGCATAGAGGGCACTGTAGAATGAGAAGGGTGGAAATGAGTCCACTGTAGCCTTATGCGGAAATCACTCTGCGGCAGGACCGCACTTTATCGGAACCTGCTTTCATGTGGTTTGCCCACAGGCAGTTTTAATCCTGTGATTATTATGGGGTGGGGGGAAGTGAACTTCTGGTTGGAAATGTTACTGATTTACTTACTCATAAGCACAATCAGTTTAACCTTATGAAGGTAATTAAGGCTTCTGCTGGGGACTCCTTTGCTTCTGTAAACTGCAGGTGGTAACACCGCCCAGTCAGCATTGATGGAGATGAGGGAAAGGTGGCCGGGCCTTCCAGGGTGGTTCTCCCCACAGGAGCAGGACTGATGCTAACAAGTTTTCAGGCATCTGAGGGCAGCAGGCACCTGGAAATCCAGACTTCTAAGACCCCTGTGGCCATTTTCAGAAATGAAGCAGGTCCCCCAGGCATGAAAGGTACCTGGAGATTCAAGAGTATGACTGCCCCTGGGCCTCTGTGGCTTGAAAATATTATCAGAGCAAAACTTGTCATTCCTTATTCAGAGCTAAAGTGCTCACTGCACATACTCCTGGGAGAAGTAACAGGACAGTCAGCTCTGACGTGACTGACACAGGCAGAAGTGATTTGTGGAAGCAGGCTTGGACGGGGGAGCAATTCTGGATATTTCATGGGGAAAACAAAGAGCTGGAAGAAGGAGGTAGTGCAGAGGCCCTCAGAAGGGGAAGGACCTGGGACCCACACAAAGACAGGCTTTGCTTCTTTCATGTTTTACTTGGGGCCAAACTTACTTTCTCCTGTGTAGCTGATTCTCTGGTTTGTGTGCAGAAACACTGCCAATGCTGCCATTTAAATAAGGATTTCAGGAAGTAAAAGGAAAAAAAAATACTGGAGTGAGAATTGATGGCGCAGAGTATTTAATGATATTAAGATGCAGAGTGGCAATTTAAGACATTTATGCTGCCTCCCGAGGAGTTTTGTAGGTATACAGGCTAATTTTCAGAAGGGTTGCTGGGGGTGGGGGAGGCATCATTTGCCTACATATGGTGAGGTATAATCACTAGTACCTTGGCATTTATTAGAATTTTGAAGAACGAGGTAAAAAAAAAATCAGTCCACTTTATTGAAATCTTTTGCAGAAATATGACACAACCATTTTCAAATAGTTTTTACTACCACCAAAATAATATTCGTGAACTAAAAGCTAATGTAAGGAATCAAAATTCTTACAGTGGTTATTTTGGCTAGGAGAAATATGATTGTTTACCTCTTTTCAATTTTCTGTATATTTTTTAATTTTAAAGAAAATGTGAGTCCTATGTAGTGATGGGATCGCAAATTTGAAATGTGTGTGTGTGTGTGTGTGTGTGTGTGTGTGTGTGTGTTTTTCTCTTTCTGCAACAGGGTTACATGATGGAAAATCGAATCTCAGGCTTAAAGTGTGACACAGATGTGTTTGCCACTTTTGAAGGTGACGATGTTGTTATGCTTCAGGTAAGATTCGGGAAATGTTTTCAAGATCAAGAGTTATCCAGAAGTCTGAAGTGTTTCATATATTTTATCTTTATCTGATTGCCTTCTTTAATTGGCAGGTGCTTTCCTGTTAGGCACTTGATATTTGTTGTAGCTGAACAGGGGATTACGTTATTTCTCTCTTAGCTGATCTTTGACTTTGAATTTTATCTTTTTGGTTTAAGAAAACCACTTATACATAGTGAGTCAGATTCTTCTACTAGGAAGGGTATTTTGAAAGAGTATGTAAGGCCCCAGAAGATGAACAAGCAAAAGGCATGAAAACCCAGTTTACAAAAGAACGGCAATGGATCAGCCTCCTAATGATCAAGGAAATGCATATTAGACTATTCGGCAATACTCTTTTCCTTTCTCAATCCAATCGGCTCATGTTTTCAAGTATGTTGAAGTCCCCATGTTGGCACAGGGGGGTCCCTTTGCATGTTGCTGTTGAACTGTGTATAATTCTACTTCTGGGCTGTATTTTAAGATAACAGCCTGAAATACAGGAAACTTTAAGGCACAAACATTTTCACCAGTACATTATTTATTGTAGCAATAATGTTGGAGTCCAAATTTTCAACAATAGGAAAATTATTATACAGTATAAATCATGCTCTGGCCACTCAGTGGGGAATTATATGGCTTTTAAAATAGTGCTTTCAGAGAGTGCTATTTATAACAGAAATTTAAAACTTATGATACGGTAAGTAAAAATGATACAAAAACATACAGTTATGCATTGCTTAACAACAGGAACATATTCTGAGACATTTGTCATTAGGCTGTTTCATCGTTGTGTCAACATCATAGAGTGCACTCACACAAACCAAGATGGCACAGCCTACTCCGCACCTAGGCTATGTGGTGGAGCCTATTGCTCCTACGCTACACACCTGTACAGCATGATACTGTACTGAATACCATAGGCTACTGCAACATAATTTTTGTTTGTTTATTGATACATAGTATTTGTACATATATAAGGGATACATGTGATGTTTTGTTACATGCCTTGAGTGTATAATGATCAAGCCAGAGTTTTTAGGGTGTCCATCACCTCAAGTATTTATCATTTCTATGTGTTGGGAACATTTCAAGTCCTCTCTTTTGTGTATTTTGCAATATGCAATATATTGTTGTTAACTATAGTCACTCTACTCTGCTATCGAACATTATAACTTATTCCTTCTGCCTGACTGTATATTTGTACGGATTAATCAACTTCTGTTCATTCCCCCTACCCGCCCCCACACCTTTCCCAGCCTCTGGTATCTATCATTCTACGCTTTACTGCTATGAGATCAACTTTTTTAGCTCCCATATATGGGTAAGAACATGCCATATTTGTGTTTCTGTGCCTGACTTATTTCACTTAACATAATGACCTCCAGTTCCATTCATGTAGCTGCAAATGAAATGATTTCATTTTTTATGGCCAAATAGTATTCCATTATGTGTATATACCATATTTTCTTTCTCCATTTCTTTGTGTGATGGGTATTTAGGTTGATTCCACATCTTTGCTATTGTGACTAGTGCTGCAATAAACATGTGGGTGCAGGTGTACCCTTGATATATTGATTTATTTTTCCTTTGGATAAATACCCACTAGTGGGATTGCTGGATCGTAGGGTAGTTCTATTTTTAGTTTCTGTTTGTTTGTTTGTTTTTGTTTTTTGGAAACCTCCATACTGTTTTTTATAGTGGCTGTACTAATTTACCTTCCCACCAACAGTGCCTAAAACAATTTTTATGTTTAAGTATTTGCATATGGAAGCACATCAAAGCATAGATAAGGTGATGTGTTGTGCTATGACATCATGATGGCAAAGATATCGCTAGGTGATGGGAAATTTTTCGCTGGGCACTTGACTGTATAAAGAATGTGATCATGATTTGGAGTTCTCAAAAAAGGACAATAGGGACTCCTGGCCTGCTAAGATAGAATAGCCCCATTCCTTACAGATTTTCCTCTTCACAGTTAAACTCCCTGGACAAAATACAACAGACAAGCATGGGAAGAGAAGACCCTGGAAGGGGGAAGGAAGAAGGAGGCTGCCTAGGGACTTTGGGACTTGAACAATGAAACAGCAATAAGGTCTCTGGATTTCCTTATTGTCTCCCATATATCCCAGACAGGATACACATCCCCTGTATCTCTAATAGGCACACACAAAATATGCTCCAGGAGACACCTAATCCCCTAGCCAAGGGACCAGGAAGATGGTGGCCTGATGACAGAAAATCTTTTTGGTGATACCCATGCTACACCAGCCAGACACAACAAAAAAACATAACCATTCTCCCGACCGCCGTTGACAATTTCTGCCTCGCTGGGAGCTGATCTTCCACTGGATCCTTGACCTAAGGAAGCAGGCAAAAGCAGGGGTAGTACTCCCATCCCCCACCCAGTGGCCTTAGTGGGGCTGAGCAGGGAGCTCATCTTTCATTCCTCTCCTGGTGGAAACAGGTGGTGCTCAGATTCCCCACCAGAGTAGTGTCAGCAAGGCCCGGTGGCGAATCCACCCCCACTCAGCAGCAACAAGAACCAATGAAGTGGCTTAAGGTGGAGCCCATCACCAGTGTGCTTCTGCTACCCACCCTGGGGCCAGCAGGGGTCCAGCAGGGAGCTGAGTCTCTACTCCCACCTGATGTCGATTAGACTAACCAGGAGGTGTGAGCAGGGACTAGTCACTACTCTGTGTTCTCCCCACCCTTGGTGTCTGTGGGCCCAGTGAGGAGCTGAAGCTCTATACCCACAAGATGACAAGAAACTGGATCAAGTAGCGTGCAGCAGAGCCAGTGGACACTTTGACCTCTTCCCTCCCTGCCCCCTAAACCCCTAAAGGGGATTTAGTGGGGAGCTGAGCCTCTTGCCTCACCTGACATCAACAGAATGAAATAGGATGAAGTGGGGGAGTTAATATCCTTCTTCCTCCTCCCCTATTTTTAGCAGGAGTCAGTAAGCAGTGGAGCCTTCACCTCATCCAGCATCAATGAGGCACAATGAGGTGGTGGGAAAAGGGGGTAGTTGGCCCTGTGCTTCCCCACTCCCTTCCCTGACGTCAGCAGGGCCTAGAGGGAACAGAACTTGCCCCCAACCTGTCTCCAACAAGGCAATGTGCATCAGCACTCCTTTTCCTCCAGCATGGTGTCGATGGGACCTAGCAGGAAAGTGAACATATACCCATCAGGACCTTTTGCTACCCTTCAAGATTAAATGTCATCTCATAATATCATATCTAAATACACTGGGTACAACAAAACATCACATTATAAAGGAACCAAGAAAATTGCAACTTAAATGAGAAAGTCAATAGATGCGGATACCAAGAAGAATCCAATGTTGGAATTATCTGATAAGGATTTTAAAGTACCCACTATAAAAGTGTTTCAAAGGTGCATAAAAGTACTACAAATGCTCTTAAAACAAATTTTAAAAATAGAAAAAATATAAGCAAATAAAAGGGGACCAAATTCAAATGATAGAATTAAAAATATAATGACTGAATTAACAAACTTGCAGTCTGACCCCAATAATAGAGTAGATATGATAGAGGGTGGAATCAGTGAATTTGAGGCCAGATCAACAGAATTTACCCAATCTGAACAACAGAGAAGACAAAAATGAACAGAATCACACAGATCAGTGGAGCAATAACAAAAGAGCTAGCATTTGTATTATCAGAGTCTCAGAAGGAGAGAAGTGTGTTGCTCAATATACATAAAGGAAATACTTCAGACAATTAAAAAGTGAGGAGGGCAAAGAGACCTAAATGGAGGTAAGGTTTCCACACTTCACTCAAAGTGGTAAAACATTAATATCACTAGACTGTGATGAGATATATTACAAATTTTTACATGTAAATAATAAGACTATATAATGTGATACTGTGAGGTTCTGGGGGAAAACCTGAAAGAAATGAAAGGAGAAATAGACAAATCAACAATTATAGTTGGATATTTCAACACATTTATTTCAATGGTTAACACAACTACTAGACAGCAAATCAGAAAGGATATGAAAGAACTGAAAAACAGGCACTGCTGGGCCTGCAGGTCTCTGTTGAGCCACGGATGTGGGTCTCTGTTTTGCAGGATGGGGTTTGTTAAAGTTGTTAAGAATAAGGCCTACTTTAAGAGATACCAAGTGAAATTTAGAAGACGACAAGAGGGTAAAACTGGTTACTATGCTCGGAAATACTTGGAGATACAGGATAAAAATAAATACAACACACCCAAATATAGGATAGTAGTTCATCTAACCAACAGAGATATCATTAGTCAGATTGCTTATGCCCGTATAGAGGGGGATATGATAGTCTGCGCAGCATACGCACACGAACTGCCAAAATATGGTGTGAAGGTTGGCCTGACAAATTATGCTGCAGAGTATTGTACTGGCCTGCTGCTGGCCCGCAGGCTTCTCAATAGGTTTGGCACAGACAACATCTATGAAGGCCAAGTGTAGGTGACTGGCAATGAATACAATGTGGAAAACATTGATGGTCAGCCAAGTGCCTTTACCTGCTATTTGGATGCAGGCCTTGCCAGAACTACCACTGGCAATAAATTTTTTGGCTCCCTGAAGGGAGCTGTGGCTGGAGGCTCATCTGTCTCTCATAGTACCAGATGATTCCCTGGTTATGATTCTGAAAGCAAGGAATTTAATGCAGAAGTACACCAGAAGCACATCACGGGCCAGAATGTTGCAGATTACCTGTGCTACTTAATGGAAGAAGATGAAGATGCTTACAAGAAACAGTTCTCTCAATACACAAAGAACAGCGTAACTCCAGACATGACGGAGGAGATGTATAAGAAAGCTCATGCTGCTTATACATCAAGTCTATGAAAAGAAGCCCAAGAAAGAAGTTAAAAAGAAGAGGTGGAACTGTCCCAAAATGTCCATTGCCCAGAAGAAAGATCAGATAGCTCAAAAGAAGGCAAGCTTCCTCAGAGCTCAGGAGCGGGCTGCTGAGAGCTACACCAAACAATTTTCTATGACGATTTTTCAGATAAAGACAATAAACTTATGGACAGCAAAAAAAAAAAAAAAGAACTGAAAAACATAACCAGGCAACAGGATTTATTTAACATGTATGGAACACTCTATTCAACAGGAACAGCATACATGTTTTTCAAGCACTTGTGGAATTTTCTTCAAGATGGACTGTATCCTGGGCCATTAAAATAAAACTCAGCAAATTTAAAGGAATTAAAAAGGTACAGAATATGTTTTCTCATCATAATAGAATGAAATGAGAAATCAAGAGCAGAAAGAAAAGAAGAATATCTCTAAATACTTGGAAATTAAGCAACATGCTTAAAATAATCCATAGGTTATATAGGAAATTTTAATGGAACTTTAAAAATACATAGAAATGAGTGAGCATGAACACACAACACATCAAAACGTATGGGAGGCAGATAAAATAGTGCTGAAAGGAAAATTCATAGTACTAAATGCTTATTTAAGAAAAGAGGAAAGGTCTCAACTCATTCACCTAAATCCCTACCTCAAGAAAATTGAAAGAGAAGAGCAAAATAAGTAGAAACCAAACATAAGAAAGGAAATAATAAAGTTAAGATTATACATTAATAAAATTGAAGCCAGGAGAACAATAGAGAAAATCCATGAAACAAAAGGCTGGCTCTGAAAAGAATCAACAAAGTTGATAACACTCAAGCAAGATTGACAAAGTTAAAAATTAAGAAGGCTCAAATCACCAATATCAGGAATGAAACAGAATATGTATCTAGAGATCATGAAGTCATTAAAAAATAATGAGGTTGCCAGTCGTGGTGGCTCACACCTCTAATCCCAGCACTTTGGGAGGCCGAGGTGGGCAGCTTACCTGAGGTCAGGAGTTCAAGACCAGCCTGGGCAACATGGTAAAACCCCATCTCTACTAAAAATACAAAAATTAGCCGGGTGTGATGGTGCACATCTGTAATCCCAGCTTCTCGGGAAGCTGAGGCAGGAGAATCACTTGAGCTTGGGGTGCAGAGGCTGCAGTGAGCCAAGATTGTGCCACTGCATTCCAGCCTGGGCGACAGAGTGAGACTTTGTCTCAAAAAAAAAGAAAAAAAAAAGAATGCTAGAAAATAGCTTTACATTGATAAATTTGACAACTTAGAGGAAATGGACCAGTTCCTCAAAAACTGGAAATTATCTGACTCAACAAAGTTGAAACAGACAAACTGAATAGTTCTATACTCTTAAAGAAACTGAACCCTTAATAATAATATAAAAGCTCCTGAAAAATAAATCTCCTGGCCTTGAAGCCTTGGAGAATTCTATTTACCATTTAAAGAAGAATGTTACTCTCTCCTCTTCTATTTTCAGAAAATTCTATTTCCAGAAAATAGAAGAGGAGAGGTACTCCTTGATTATTTTAGAAGGCTAGTATTACTCTGATACTAAAAGTAGACAAAGATAGAAGAAAAAAAGAATAAAGCTACATACTAGTATCACTCATGAATGTAGATACAGAAATCTTCAACAAAATATTAACAAATTGAATCTGGTAATGCACAAAATGAATTACACATGGCAACCTAGTGGAATTTATCTCTGATATGCAAGTATGCTTCAACATTCAAAAATCAATCAAATGCAATCCACCACATCAACAGACTAAAGGCGAAAAAGTCACATGATCATGTCAGTTTACACAGAAAAAGCATTTGACAAAGTCCAACAACCATTCATGATAAAAACTCAGCAAACTAGGAAAGAAGGGAATTTCCTCAAATTGAAAGAGTCTACAAAAATTATAGCTAACATCATGCTTAATCGTGGAACATTGAATGCTTTTCCCCCAAGATTAGGAAAAAGGCAAGAATGTCCACTGTTATTCAACTAGTGCTAAAAGTTTTAGCAGTGCAATAAGGCAATAAAAAGAAATTAAAACATAGAGATTAGAAGGGAAGAAATAAAAACTGTAGCTTTCTGACAAAGTTGCAAAAGCAATCCAGTGGAGGAAAGATGGCCTTTTAAGCAAATAGTGCTGGAGTAATTGGACATCCACAGGCAATAAACTGAACCTCAACCTAACTCTCACACATTATAAAGAAATCTAACTCAAAATGAATTACTTAAATATAAAATGTAAAATTATAAAGCTTTTAGAAAAAAGTTAGGAGAAAATCCTTGAGACCTAGGGACAGGGAAGAAGTTCTTAGGGTTGACATCAAAAGCACATTTCATAAAAGGAAAAATTGGTAAGCTGCATTTCATGAAAAATAAAATTTTTTATTCTATGAAAGACCCTGTGAAGAGGATGAAAAGATAAGCTACAGACAGGGAGAATATATTTTCAAATGACACCTTCAACAAAGGACTTGAGTCTAGAATATATAAAGACCTCTCAAAACTCAACAGTGACAAACAAACAATCCAATTAGAAAGTGGTCAAAAAAACATCAACAGACATTTCACTGAAGAGGATATACCCATGGCAAATAAGCACATGAAAATAGGTACATCATTGTAGCCATTATGGAAATGCAAATCAAAACTCCTAGAAGATATTACTACATTTCTATTAGAATGGCTAAAATGAATATTAATAACACGAAAATTGAATAAGCTTTGTGGCTTGCACCAACACTATTTTCCTGGTTGGGATGCCAGTAAATGTTTTGTAAAGTGTTACCGCTGGGAGAAAATGGATAAAGCCTGCATAGGATCTCTCTGAATTATTTCTTGTGCTTCATTGCTACAGTTACATTCATGCAAATGCTACATTTAAAGAATTTTGTAAAAAGGTATAAAACAAAAACCTATGCATGAATAAGTTTAGAAAGAAATAGAGCAAAATATTGATATCTCAATGTTGTAAACGGTCTTGATGATTAAAAAAGAACATTCTTTCCATTGTTATATATCTTAAAAAGTGTATTAGAATGAGGACAGTGGCATGTAGTGGCAGCTCCCCATTCCCTCTTAGCTTTTAGCAATATCTATAGGAGAGTAGATTATTTGGGGGAGAATTGAGACTTATAATTTAACTTGGGCTAGATTAAAAGTTGTCTGTTTTTTGTCTCCCTCCTGCTTAAATGTCGTATCAAAAAATCTTCTTAAGAATATTCAGTAATTCAGACATTACATTAATTCACATTCTCCATCTCAGCTTGTGATCCAAGTGAGGTTTTTTGACAACTTTCTCTCTGGGAGTATATTTTAAACATAAGCATGTGATTCAACAGCACTTGACCCTGAAGTTGTGATTTAGTGCTTTAATTGGAAGCTCTAGCTTGTAAGCATTATGGAAAGGCTGTTTAGTGTGTTATGGGAATGATCACAATTTCTAAATGTGAACTCAAGTGGAAGTGTGGGGAAAAACAGGGACTCCTTGTTGTTTATCACATACGTGGGAGCATGGAAAATGAAATGAGGAACTCTGAACCATGAACAGCAGGAACGTGCAGGGATGCTGGGCTGCAGGGAGGCTGAGCACCTGGTTGGGAGAATGAACATCAGCACAGAAAGCAGGGCACCCTGTGCACTAAGAACACACACAAGTGCTCCAAGGCCTAGGCTGGGGAAGGAACCAGGGCATGGTCCAGTTTTACAGTCTGCTAAGAAAGAGATCACCACAGACCTTAAGTCCAGACTGTAAGCCTTGTTTTGACCAATTTGCTAGACAGATATCTTCCAGACACATACTGGAAAAATGCTACCTCAAGTGATGATCCAGCCGGAAACACTTCTTGTATAAGTGGGGTGTGTCAACGGTCCCCAGGGTCACCCCCAGGATTGATGATTCACTAGGAGAACTCACAGGACTTGACATATACTTATACTCATGGCTATGATTTATTACAGCAAAATCATATGTAAAAAATACATATATACACACACATGCATCTCTGTCTCTCTCACACGCACATGCACACACACACACGTGCACACACACACACACACACACACACACAAAATTCAAGGTCAGCAAAGGAAAAAGACACATGGGCTGAAGTCCAGAGGAAACCAGAAGCAAGTTTCCAAGAGTCCTCTCTCAATGGAGTCATGCAGGACATGCTTAATTCCTCCAACAACAAATTGTGAGAATACCTGTGAAATGTTTACCAGGGAAGCTCAGCAGAGACTCCGTGTCCATGGTTTTTATTGGGGGCTGGTCATGTAGACACCCTCTGCCTAGCACATATCAATGCAGACTTTCAGAAGAAAGCACACGTTCAGCATAAACCACATTATGTGCTCAATTGGTTTAGGCACAGTGAGCCACCCTTATCAGTCAAGGAATGGTGGGAATCTTCCCAAACCCAAGTTCCCAGATGAAATCTCAGGCTAGCAGTCTCAGGCCTTTCATGTTAACTTTATTTTGCACATGGTGCCATAAGATAAAGCATATGCCCATCCTGATTGGCATTAGTGCTCTTCCCTCTTCAAGGTCAAATCACTAGAATAAATAAAAAGCAGGAATAAGTAAATGACAATGTCAATGACACTGACAGTGGGAGAGAAGCCATCAGATGACTGAGTATTTTTATTACTTTCTGGAGAATGCAAAGCATGGAATGAAATTGACAGGCCAACCTGCTACAGCCTGAATGTTTATGTCTTTCCATGATTAATGTGTCAAAACCTACCAAGATGATGGTATAGGAGGTGGGGCCTTTGAGAGGTGATTAGGTCACGATCACGCTGCCCTCATGGGTGGGGTTAGTGCCTTATCAAAGAGTGCTTCCTTGCCTCTTACACCATATGCAGACTCAGCAAGAAAGTGCCATCTGTGAACAAGGAAGTGAGCCCTCAGCAGACACTGAATCTACCACTACTTTGATCTTGGACTTCCCAGACTCCAGAACTGTGAGAAATCAATTTCTGTTGTTTATAAGCCACTCAGTTTATGGTATTTTGTTATAGCAGCCTGAGCTAAGACACAAGTTGAGTGGACACAGCTGGAGGTGGGGTTGTTTCTTCTGGATGACCGTGGAGAGACACTGGGTCACAAGGATTGAGAGCAGGAGAGGGATTCAGGCAGAGAGTCATGCATTTCCATAAAGGCCTGTTTAATAGCAGGACACCCAGTTCCCCACATCAGAGCGACTACAGTAATAGCATCTGCCACAGCTCCAGAAACCTTCTCTGGGAAGAAAACTTAACAGCCTGGCCAGGCAGTGCTTGGTCCCTTGGGGTGAGAGACCGAGACCCCTGAATACATAGCTTAGTGCTGGGGAGGGTCAGCCTGCTTGTTTGCCATCAGTCAGCACCCCCTCATAGGAAGCCTGCCAGGTGACTGCCCTGCGTTGGACCCGGAGTTTTCTGCTGCTGGGCATCCAGGGGTGATGCCTCCACAGTGATGGGAGGTTGTGCTGGCTGCCTGTACTGGTCCACTCAGCCTTCCACTTGTGTGTTGGAATCTCCCCATTTTGGGGAGGCCACCCTTCTGTGGGCTGGATCCTGCTTTGATTCTCCTTATTGAAGTAGAGATGGAAATTTCAGGAGACACAGGGGAGAAACTGGCCAGTGAGTTTCACAATATTCTGATATTACCTACAGTGCTTTCAGCTTTCTACCAGAAGGTAAAACTTTCAAGATCCTGAAGGTGCTAGGTTGCTGTCCCATGATTGAGGGGATGTGCTGTGGCATTTCTGCAGGCTTTACATGTTTCCCTTTAAGCAAGATGGAAAGTTTTCTGACCCTTTTATTATTTGCCAGGGCAGAGGTTGTAGCCCCTTGGTGAAATTTAATTATACCCTCCACCAAATCCAATTACTACCCACACCCATGAAACCCCATTATAACTTTCTTTTGCTTCATTAGAGATACACTAAGACAGGTCCCTTCCTAATCCATTATGGCAGATTCCCTAAAGAATGTTAGTTAGAGATTTTGCATATATTGTTCATTACTTCGCAGTGCAGATATGCAAAAATGCAGATGACCTGCCATTAACTTGCTTAAAGACCAGGAAGGGGTGTCCTCTTCCTGACTGATCTGGCTGGCTTCTGTTGCAGAGACCTCTGTCTTGGAACTGCCCATGGCAAGATATGTGCCTGCTGACGGGAAGCCTGGTAGTAATACCATCAAGCCTTATGTCCAGAAGAGCACAAAATGTTTCTCCAATCAGAAGGGAGCATTGGGTTGTTTTGGGGCTGGACTGTGGCAGGTGGCCAAGAGAACGAAACCCCTTTTGTACTTTTTCCTTGCTTAAAACACTAGACTCAGCCGAGATGTGGTTTGGGGTAGGACAGACCTTTCCTGCAGGGGTTGGGGAACCTAGCTGTTCTTCCCCTGCAGGAATGCCTGAGCCATGCTGTGGGGCAGGCCGGCTGATGTGTGCTGCGTACCAGCGGTGGGGCATCAGCCCAGTGTAGTTTCTATCAAATTTGAACTGAGGAAGAAAATAAAAGAGACCAAGCACATATCTGTTTTACTATAAGAAAGCTGATTCCTTAGGGATTTCAGACTCCCGAGGGTATTTTCCTAAGGATAATCAGAGAATGAACAATCAAGCATCATCAAATATTTTTGTTTCATTTTTATTTTCAACTTTTACAGTCAAAAATTTCAAACAAATTTCAAGACAGAAGTTGAAAGACTAGTACAATAAATGTCTGGGCACACCGTCCACCTAGTTTCATTATATGTTAACACTTTGCCATATTAAAATTTCTCTTTTTTACCGTCTATGCATATGTTTGTGTGAGTGTGTGTGTGTGTGTGTGTGCATGAAATCATTTGAGAGTAAGTTGCAGACGTCAAAACACTTCACCCCTAAGAGCTTCAATGTTCATTTTCTAAAAATAAGAATCTTTTCTTATAAAATCATAATAACCATCATCACACCTAAAAAAATGAGCAATGACTTCATAGTATTATCTAAAAAAAATTAAAGAAAAATCAACAGCGTGAAAAAGAAGGAGCAAGATGCACAAACACAACAACAGGCACTGGAGGAAGCAAAATAGAGAAACAAAAACTAATTAGTAACCCTAGGGATGTGTGGCCACATTGTATCCATAAAGCAAGAACAGCCTGCTATGAAACACAAGCATTCAGAGACCCATGAAGTGCTTGGAAAATTAAAAATAAAGATTGCAAAAAAAAAAAAATCCAATGTAAGGGCTGAAGAACAAATTTGAGAAAACTTCCAAGAATGAAGATCAGAAAGACAAAAAAGGGGGAGTAGGATTAAAGGGAAATTTCCATTCCATCCATTTTTGATGGATAATCAGTCTAAAATCTACAACATTTCCAAGAAAGGGATTGGAGAATACAGAGAGGCAGTCAAATGAGAGAAATAGAAGAAAATTCTTGAGATATGAAGAAAGGCAAAAAAAGTCTGGAGATTGGCGGGACCCATTGGAAGAGATTAGAACCTGAAAACAACCTGGAGAATTTCAGAACATCAAGCAAGGACAAAGAAAGGCCTCAAAACCCTCAAGCTGAAAAAACGTGGGATTATTTACCAAGGCCTGAGAGTCTGATTGACCACAGACCTCTCAAGCAGCACTGAAGGATGCAACGGCTTCTCAACTGTAATGTACCCATACATCCTTGGATATCTTGTTCAACTTCAGACTCTGGGGTGGGGGAATTCTGTATTTCCAGCAATCTCTTAGGTGATATTATGGCTCCTGGCCTATGGATCACACTGAGTGGCAAGGGCCTACAGGTCTAGGATAAAATGGAATAATACCTTTAAAGTTCTGAAGAAGGTTGCTTTGAATGTAAAATTTCACAGCTAGCCAAATTATTGATCAAGTATGAGGCAATATAAAGACAGATATTCAAATGCACTATAAGTTCACTTGATATGCATTTTCTGAAAAATGTTACTTGTGGATGAACTGCAGGAAAGCATTCAAGAAATGAAGAATTTAAAAGACATGGATGCTTTTGGGAGCTAACCCAAGTGGAGTATGTGTGAAGAAATACCTGGATGGTAGTGACGTGACAAGCCCAGAAAACAATTAGTCCAAATTTGAACAGGAAGTCAGAGGGGTCAAAATAATGACTTTAAGAAGGAAACAATTTCTGTTCAACAGAAAGAAGCAGGAAGATTCTAGTGATATGATGGAAAAGGCATGTTTCTTCTTGAAACAAGAGAAAGAATAGTCCATTAAGACTCCAGGAAAAACAAAACCACTCAAGAAAAGCATGCTCCAACTACGAGCAAACTAAAGCATGACATGAGAATGTATTTGACCTTCACACTGGGAAGCTTCCCCTTCTAGGAGAACAAAAACTACTTAAAAATGGTTATTTCTGGAGTGAGTTATTAAAGGTAAAAGATTGGGTAGGAGATTTTTGCTTTTTATTTAAGACTATTTAATAGAGCTTTTAATTTTTAGAGATCAAGTATATTTAAAACCATTAAAAAATATTCTCTCCCGGCTGGGCATGGTGGCTCACTCCTGTAATCCCAGCACTTTGGGAGGCCGAGGTGGGCGGATCACGAGGTCAGGAGATTGAGACCATCCTGGCTAACACGGTGAAACCCCGTCTCTACTAAAAATATAAAAAATTAGCCAGGCGTGGTGGCAGGTGCCTGTAGTCCCAGCTACTCAGGAGGCTGAGGCAGGAGAATGGCATGAACCCGGGAGGCAGAGCTTGCAGTGAGCCGAGATCGCCACTGCACCCCAGCCTGGGTGACAGAGTGAGACTCCGTCTCAAAAAAAAAAAAGAAAAAACACAAAAAACTTCTCTCCTTTTGATATAAAATGTCAGGGAGGGAAGAAAAGGAATGAAGAGTGACAAAGAAAGGAAGGGCTTTTCAAGAGAACAAACCAACTCATGATGCACACAAACTCACCCCATCCTCCAACATAACAACCCTCTTTACTCCCACGAATGAACAGACAAGTTCTGTTTTTCTCTTTCCAAATCCATTGACCCATACGCAAAGCTGGCACTAATTTTTTCGAAACCAGATGTTGCAGCATCTAAATATTTACATTGTTCCTCATCAGGACTCCACGTGTGAGATTCTGGAGAAAGGGAGCCTTCTGGATCAGGGGCCTTTGCTTGTCTTTTCTTCTCTGCTCCCCAGAATTTGATTTTAATGTAGTTTTTCAAATTGGGGACTATGAGTTCTTGACAAAATGTATTAATTTTGTGTCTTAATTTTGATGATCATCTAAACAGATATAGTCTAAGTAGTATACACAGATCATCAGGATAACAACCATATAACCAGAGATTGCCGTGGGGATTCTGGCCTTTGTCTTGCACTGCTAAGCCCATCAGCACCAGAGAACACCTTCTTGATGACCAGGAACCAATGAGGAAAGAGCAGATGTAGGTTTTCTATGATTTAAAAATCTGTGTTTAGTGGAGGCCGAAGACTGGTATGATGTGCTTGCTGCTTGAAGAGGTATCTTAGTCCATGTCTTCTTCTGTAACAGAATACCACTAAGTAATTGATAAAGAACAGACATTTATTTCTTACAGTTCTGGAGGCTGGGGAGTCCAAGACCAAGATGCTGGCCTCTGGTGAGAGCTACTCTCTGCTTCCAATATGGCACCTTGAATATTGTATCCTCACATGGCAGAAGGCAGAAGGGGAGAAAGGGGTGAACTCACTCCATCAAGCCCTTTTCTAAAGGCACCTAATCGCATCCACAAGGGAGGAGCCCTCATGGCATAATCACCCCTGAACGTCTCCACCTTTTAATACTATTACGTTGGCAACACCTAAATTTTGGAGGAGACACATTCAAACCGTAGCAGAGAGTTTTACAGACCGCAGAGAAGTGTGGCAGAGGGATCTCTTTGCCCAGCCCTCAGAGGTGTGGGTATAACTCCCCCAAAGGAACCGGTGCAGGCTGGAAAAAAACAAGTTCATGCTGCAAAACACAGTCTGTCACATGTTATTAGGGCTGTTGATTTGAATCTTATTGGTTTTGTAGTTTTGCTTGTATTTAATTTCATAGTTTAGAGTTGAACAAGAGCTATAAACATAAGGTGTTTATATCTAGTTTTATGTTTGAACATGTTTGAGTAACATTATAATTCGAAACAAATCAACATTGGGGGTTAAGGAGAATTGTTTTTCTTTCAGAAAGGGTTTGCACGATGCTCAAGTTGTAACAAACTAAGTAGAATTTCTTTTTTAACATTCTGCCCATTGCCATTTCATTCTTTATTTTGTCACAGCTTTAAGACAAGTTACTTTCTCTTTTCAGTTGAAAAAAATTCCACAAGTAACATGTATTCCAGCAACACTGGACGGTTTGTTGTTGTCATCAGGGCTTGGGTGTTGGGAGGGGGCTGACACACACATGCACATGAGGAGGCTTGCTGGAAATGAGGGCGATTCCGGGGGTGAGTGCAGGGTAGAGGGAGGCCAGGGGAGGTGAGAATGGGATGGGAAAACACTTGGGAACAACAGCCGGCCCTGCGCTAGGGAAGGTGGACACATCCACTTCCCTGAGTTCGGTTCAGACCCAGTCACTACTGGGGTTAGCAGTCAGGACACATTTGTCTGCTTGTAATAAATACCCATCTAAAGTGGCTGAAACCATAAGAACGCCAACCATGCTCCTTGGTGACCCCACAGCTGGGGCCTGTCTGCCCTTGAGTCCCTTGCTTCTGTCCAGCGTCCAGTTCCATTGACACTGGAGTGATTTCTGGATTATCTCATCAGTGTCTCAAAATAGCTGCCACAATTCTGGGGAAGACAGCACGAGGGAAAACCTTCCCCAGAAACCTTCAGCTGAATTCCTCATAGGTCCCATTGGCCAGGACGGTGCCCGTGGCCCAGCTGTATGAGAAATGGCATTTTCTACCTCTTTAGTGAGAAGTTTGGGCCAGAAGTCTGTGTGGGGTGTGAGGGCCCCAGCTGCCTGCAGGAGTGGTGTGCTCCTGAGCTGGACTCCACTGGGCCAGTTACAGATGGTGACGGGAAGAGCACAGGGGGTGCGGGGCAGGGGTACCCTCCCAGGCTCTTTATACCATGTGCATGGGACCCTTGGACTAGGCCCACAGCAGGGATCACCAAATCAATCACTTTCAAGGCCGGGCAGGTACCTTAATAACTGTAGCACACCCGAGACTCAGATTGCCATGGGCAGTGGTGCAAACGGAGGGCCTTTGCCCCTTTCCAAGGGGGCTGTAACCTCTCCTCAGCTCCCACTGACCATCGCTTTGGGGGAACATTGGTTCAGGCTTTGCAGAAATTCTGAGTTTTCAACAGAAGGTAAGCACATAATTTGTTTTTAATGTGAAATGGCCATGGGGGTTATGAGGGGTGTGTCTAACAAAACCCGTCTTTGGCATGGGGTGAGTCACAGAGCCTTGCACACAATAGGCTGCAAAGGAGGGAGCTCTGGAGGAAGAATACACGCTTAGGCCAGGGCGGCCTCATGGCCAGATAGCCCAGGCTCTGTTTCACCCACATTGAGGAACTGTGAAATCCTGGGCTTAGCCCCTCTGAGAGTTACAGCCCTCACCTGCAAAACTGGGACCATCACCTGTACCTTGGAGGACTCTTACAGTTACTCCTGTAGAGCACTCAGCACCCAGCAGGGGCTCAATTAAAGCTGTGTTGTGGCTACTAGAATAAGCTATGGGTTCTGCATATGGTGATGGTTTGGTTGCCAGACACCAGGGCTCACGCCCCTACTGTGGCATGAAGTAGCCTGGGCAAGTTCCAGGTAGGAGAGCGAAAATGTGTGCAGGGGACTGATGTCATGTGGTGCAGGTGTGTGGGATGGGAAGCGAAGGGAAGAAGAGACCCCAAGAAGGGAGAAAGGGACTGGAAGAGCTCCCTGTTCCTGTCTATTGTGGCACAGCAAAGCACCCCAAACTTCCTAACTTAGGAGCACACAACCACAACCACCTCATTGGGCCTGTGGGCTCTGCTTCAGGTCAGAAATTCTAACAGGAAATCGCAGAGGTGGCTCATCTGGCAGCCTGCTGAGTCTCCACGCTGGGCTCCAGGTGCTGACACTGTCACTCAGTTCCCCAAAGCGCCTGGATAAAGGCAGCTCTTCAGACAGCAGCCAAGGCCCTGGTGTCTAGCCCTGCCCCTGCCCCTTCCTGCCGTACACCCTGGCCGCCCAGGCTTCTCCATGCTGCTGCGTCTCTAAAGCCGCTCTGCCCGCGGCCCTGAAAGCCTTTGTTGCTGCTACCGTTCCTTCTCAGATTGAGAATTTATGTCAAGTGTGAGTGCGCAGCCCCTCTCTGTGCCCACTGAGCTTTGAGTTCACCTGTCATCTCGTCACATTATCCTGACATGCTGTCTGCTCTTGCCCCTCCCCCAGCACACCAGGGGTTCCTGCATTCTCTTTGTATCCCCAGTGACTACACAGAGCCTGGCATATAGCAGGTGCAGCTTAGGTGTGGAATTATTGAAAGCATGGACTCTGGGCTGGGTGTAGTGGCTCATGCCCATAATCCCAGCACTTTGGGAGGCTGAGGCGGGTGGATCACTTGAGGTCAGGAGTTCGAGACCAGCCTGGCCAACATGGTGAAGCCCCATCTCTACTAAAATACAAAAATTAGGTGTGGTAGCAGGCGCCTGTAATCCCAGCTACTCAGGAAGCTGAGGCAGGAGAATCGCTTGAACCCGGGAAGTGGAGGTTGCAGTGAGCTGAGATCGCACCACTGCACTCCTGCCTGGGCGACAGAGTGAAACTCCATCTGAAAGCGTGGACTCTGGGTTGAAATCCCAGCCCCACCGCTTCCTGGCTATGTGACCCTGGCAACTGGCTGAACCTCTCTAGGCCTTGGTTGTATTATTGGACCATGGGGTGAGCGATTCCATGAACTACCCAAAGTTGTCATGAAGATTAAATTAGGTATTCCATCTAAAGAGTTTGGAACAGAGCTTAAGTTTGGAACAGAGCTTAGCCTTAGTAGATAGATGCTCAAAGAAAATGAGTAGTTGCTGCTATTAGGTGTTGTATATATGAATGAACAAATGAATGAAGCTCATTCGTTCTTTAAGGCTTAGGTCAAAAGCTCTCCTGTTCCATAAAGCTTTCCCCAGTCCTCATAGTAAAGGGATCCACTTTTAACTTGCTGTGCTTCTGTACCTGTCATGTTCTTTACAGGTCCCTCTGAGAATAGTTGCGTGTGCATAGGCTGATCTCTCTATCTGCACTGGAAGACCCCGAGGGACGGCTGTATCTTATTTATCTTTTTAATGTTCCCTATACTCAATATAAACAGTAGGTGCCTTGTACATAGTAAGTGCTCCATAAATGTAGCTGGAAGGAAGGAGGGAAACCAGAAAGGGGAAACCACTTTATATCTAACTGGAAAGAGACACCAACAAGGTCCAGATTTAACTGAAACAACAACAAAACTAACCGCTCTTAAGTTCGATTGAATTGTGCATGATTTTTTGCTGGGCCTAAATCACTGCTTCAGATCCATCCATCCTTCCTGGTTTGAAGTTCAAATCCGTGGTTTTTTGTTTTGGTTTGGTTTGGTGTTTTTTTTTGTTTGTTTGTTTTTTGAGATGGAGTCTTGCTCTGCGCCCAGGCTGGAGTGCAGTGGCGCAATCTCAGCTCACTGCAACCTCCACCTCCCGGGTTCAAGTCAAATCCGTGTTTAAGGCCCAGCAATTACTCAGAGCTGCTTACTTGTTGGTTTCTGTGCTAAAGTAGTCCTTCCGCTTCCCTTTGCCCTTCCCTCTCTTCTCTCCCCGCTCCTTCTCCTCTCGTCTCTCCCCTCTCTTCCTCTCCTCTATTCCCCTCCCCTCCTCTTCCCTCCCTTCTTCTTCTGTCATCCCTTCCATCTCTGCCTATTTCTTCTAGCCAGGGAATTTTTAAAGATTCTCCCCGAAGACATCTTGCCTTGATGGGATGTCCAGCATCTAAAAGAGGTAAAGAGTTAAAATGCATGATGGTGGAAAATCAAGACCATCCCCTTAGTCTTTTCTTCATTCTCATACCCATGGGTGACCCCTGAAATGCCCTTCAGGAACCTAGGCTTGCCAGATGTAGGAAAAAGAAATATAGGATGCCCAGCTACATTTGTATTTCAGGTAAACAAGAATATTATTTTAGTATAAGTATGACCCATGCAATATTTTGGTGTCCAAATACAAATTGGGTGTCCTCTCTTTTATCTGGCAGTCCTGTTGGAACCCCTAGGGCCAGGGCCAGCTTCATGGGGTGAGATTTGTGCGGTGGTACAGGACCCTGCCCTCAGAAGGGACCATGCTTGGTTCAGTGCTCTGTTCTCATCATCATAAAATTCTTAATAATTTTTGAAGAAGGGGGCCTGCATTTTCATTTTGCGTTGGGCCCCAAATTATGTAGCCAGTCTACCTAGGGCTCCTTGGAGCATGATATGGGGCCCAGTGCCGTAAGTACTGCCACTTTGAGTCAATCTCCCACTCTATGGTACAAACCCAAGTATGGTCCCACTGCCTGGATTCATAATGGATATCTGGTGGGATCTCCTTGGAAATCACATTTTTCTATTATAATTGGCTCTAAGTGTTTCTGCTTTGGCAGCAAACTCTACTTGTTAGGCTCTTTAATCCAAGTTTCACTGTACCTAGCATAAATCAGTGAAATACTTAGTGTGAGGAAATGCTGGTTGCTTCATAGATGCCTTGAAAAGTGATTTGACCTTAGAAATAACTTTTATTGGTGTTACATAATCATGTTGCATGATGTATATGATATTTATTGCAAATGCATGTTGATGATGTCATCATTCTGCACAATTGCCAAACTCACAGTTTCCAAATGTTGGCTGTAGATTTGCTTGATTCCTCCTGCAGATGGGACCTTTTTTAAAAGAAAAGACATGGATGTTTTGACTGCTCACTCACCCTAGAGTTCTACTAAGAAAGGGGCTCCTGAGCAGGTGTATATGAAAATAAAGAGTGCAGAACCAGCAGAACATGCAGAACCAGAGACCTGTATGAAAAGCCACAGAAACACCACCCACAATCACCTATCACAAGTTGTCTTAAGGAAACCTTGAATAAGTAAAACACCAGGCTTACAGGAGAGTGTAATCACTTGTGTTGCTGAAAATAATGTTTCACTTTACAAAACAATCTACTACTAGGTCCATTTTAAGTAATGAAATATCTAGAACTAAAACATGTAATGAATAAAAATTTTTTTGAATTTCTTAGTTTTGATAGTCACCATTATTATGTAAGAGATCACTTTTTTATTTTATTTTTGGAGACAGAGTCTCACTCTGTCGCCCAGGCTGGAGTGCAGTGATGTGATCTCAGCTCACTGCAACCTCCGTCTCCCGGGTTCAAGTGATTCTCCTGCTTCCCGAGTAACTGGGACTATAAGCACGCACCACCATGCCCGGCTAATTTTTTAATGTTTTTGGTAGAGACGGGGTTTCACTATGTTGGCTAGGCTGGTCTCGAACTCCTGACCTCAGGTGATCCACCCACGTTGGCCTCCCAAAGTGCTGGGATTACAGGCGTGCACCACTGCGCCTGGCCAAGAGATCACTTTTTAGGGGAATCTGGGTGTTGGCTGGAGAGAATCATTCTATGCGCTTTTAACTTTGCAACTTCTGTGAGTCTACGATTATTTTTAAATAGAGTTAAAAATTATATATATACACACACACATATATACTACATAGTATATTATAATATATTCAGGAACACCTCTATGAGGTAAAACAAGCACATCTTCATTGCACACTCAGTCTAGGTGGTGACTGATCTCTCTTTGCCTCTGCCTGGTAATTTATAAAATAAAGTACTGGACCTAGAGTCTGTAATGCCCAAATCCCGTGGTAGCTGATGGCTTCAATCACTTAATCTTTCACCAAAGGGGCATCAACAGCAGAAAATAAACTCATTTTTAAAATCACGTTTCCTTGTCCCATGACCTAGAAAAGGAGCAAAGATCCAAAGTGAGTAATCTGCTTTTGTGATGTTAGCCAGAACCAAATTTATCTCCCTTGTCTTTCTTAAGTTTAGCACCTGAACTTGATTATTGTATCATTCTAATTTTAATCCTAGTTAGAGTGAGTTAGTTCTACCCAATTTTAGTTGCTTAAATGGAAAAAGTGGAAATAGCGGCAGAAGTTAAAGGAGTTTATCAAGGAATTGGACGTATTGGATGAGATAGGGAGAACAGGAAGGGAATGTACTTATTCATTTACTCAAGGGTGAGTCCTCGCCTCTGGGCTCTGGGCAGTACATTGTCTGATGGCACAAGGATGGACACACTCCGACCCCTGGCACTTGCTTTCCAGGCTGCCGGAAGACAGCAAGCCAGTAAACAAGTTGTGGTCTGTAGCACCAGGTAGCCATAAATGCCATGGAGAAAAATAGAGTAAGAGAAAGCTGTGGGAGTGGGAATCAGAGAAAGCAATTTGTTCATACTTGGAGTGACATTGCTTCTGCAGCAAGAGTGAGATAGAGTTACAGCCATCATAAATTTTATAGATTAGCAAAAACAAAGTTAAATCTTAATCCTGGTATTGCGTTAGTGAAATGGAACTGGATTGCTATTATCATTTTAATTTTAATTCTAGTTAAAGTCATTTTATTTTCCCCACTTTTCCAGATCCTGGCAGGGTTTGATTCTCACACTTACTTTGTGTAGCAGCAGCCATAAAAATGTACATGTTCTTTGACCCATAATGCAGTGATTCTCAATCTCACTGGACCTAATGCCCTCTTTTTGACAATAAATATTTTGTAACACTCCCTTTACTAACCTGAATGAAATCACGGATCACATAACCTATCTAGAGACGTAATTGCAAGAATTCAAGACAATACTTAAGGAAACCAAAGGCAAGTTATTTATATTATAAATATATTTATTTAATAACAAAGTAAACATGATCACAGCAAGACATACAATGCCTGCATCTATACTCAGAATTACTGTGTCAGCCTCGAATGCAGATGCCCAGGCTTATGGTCCAGTCACACCTGGGAGCATTGCAGGTTGCCATGGGGATGGGAAAGGAGAGGCGGCGGTGTCACTTGTGTACTGGCCTAAAGCACCTCTAATTTCAAGGGAACAGGGGAGTTTAATTCTTCCATAGGCCTGGGACTTGGAAAACCTGAAAGCTTTGGTGTAACTAAGTTCAGGGCTCTTAACTGCCTGCATGTATTTTACCACGTGGCATTTGACAGGACACGGGGTATGGCACAGTCCTCTGTTGGTTGAGACGGTCCCATGCATTTCATACCTGGCTCTGCCCACCAATGCCAATAAAGCTTCCCCAGGCAAAAATGCCTTGAAAGTTTTCAGCATCCCTCTTATTGGCAGAGTGGCCCTCTTTAAGAGCCTCTGTATCAATCAAGTTCGTGGGGATTTATTCTCAGGAAATAATACAAAATATGACTATGCTATTTGTCTGCTTATATTGCTATCAAGGTTATTATGACAATGTAAAACTGGAAACAACCTAAGTATCCAACCAAATGGAAATGTTTAGTTAGCTATGATTTATCAAAACAAAAGTATACGGTTAGTAAATAAACAAATAGAATTCTACATAACAGTGCAAATCAAAAATGTCATTTATGATATATTGTTGAGTTAAAGCAAACATAACATTTTATATAATCTGTATAAAAACATGCATGCATATAAAGCAAAGAAGAAATGTTCTTAAATTGATAGTTGAAAGAGAATGAATCAGCTATCTATTGATTTGTAACAAACCACCGCAAAACTTAGTGCTTTGAGACAACAATTTGTTAGCTCATGATTCTGTAGGTCAGCAGTTTGGGCTAAGCTCACACGACGTGGTTTTTCTGCTGCTCTGCTGGTCTTCCCTGGGCTCACTCGTGCTGTGGCAGCAGCATGTCGGGGCTGAGTGGAGGCACGCTGGTCCAAGGTGGCCTCGTTCACATGTCTAGTGGTTGTTGCTAACCATCAGCTGAGTTTCTGCAGCGGGCTAGCCATGGACATCTTCTTTGAACCGCCACAGAAGAGCATGCAGTATTTTAGGCCCAAATTATAACTTTAAAGCTGCTGAAGTAGAAGATAGAGATTGAAGTAGAGGATAGAGATTGTTTTATTTGTGCATTTCAATACTATTCCCCAAAGGTCTAATTGACCAGAGAATGTCAGGGGTGAAAAAGAGAACGGACCAGCCTTCTGGTCCACGGAAGGCAAGCAGGTTTTACTAAAGTGTCAGCTAAAACAGTTGGTCCCAGGACCAGTGTTAGAGACTGATACAGGCAAGAAGGGAGAGCAAGCAATAAGTAGTTAATGAAGTTGGCCACAGGGGAGGATGGGGGATGGTGTGATAAATGCCCCACATTTGCCTTGGGGAAATAGAGACCCTTGTAAGAATGAGGTCTTGTATTTGATTCCTTCCAAGGAGTTTGCTAAGTGACAAATAGATCTTATTGGGTTGCAGTATTAAAGATACTGTCATTTTTTACACTGCTGAGACTGATGAGCGATAAACTCTTTGCACAGGTTGTGGGGCGGGAACTGCTGGCCCAATACACCAAACAGTATGAAGAAAAACCACTCTTTGGCCTGCTCCAAAACTGGGCTGAATCTGTGGGGGACAAGCTGAGAACCAGGTACGTATTACTCAGGCCATCATCATCTGCCTTCAGTGGGTTATCATGAAGCCTGAGTTCATACAGCCTTGGCATAACTCACTCTTGCTTGAAATTTTTAGTGTTTGCTGTATGCAAGAAATCTGTGAATCTGTAAAATGAATACTCATACACTCACTACCAACTTAAAAACTAAAACATTGCTCATTCTGTTCTTTCTCCTTGAGTTCCTTCTTTATTTCATGTTCACTGTTCCAAGCAGTTTACAGATTTTAATCCTAAAAACCCCATGAGGTAAGTTCTTATTTCCATTTCACAGATGAGGAAACTGAGGCACAGAGGTTAAGTACCTTGCTCAAGGTTACATGGCTAGTGAGTGGCAGAGGTGAGATTTGAACCCAGACAGTCTGGCTTCAACATCCATGCTTTTGGTTGTTTGTATTAATCTTTCAGTATTGTCTGTTAGCTTTATAAATAAAGCATAATATATGTAACATTTTGTAACTTTGTTTTCCCTCAATATTTTGTTTCTTAGAATCATTCAAATTGTTAAGTATAGGTGCAGAACTCCTCTTCACAATATTCTGTAATATTCCATCCTGTATATATGCCACACTGTACTTACCCATTCTAATCTCTGATATCTTGGACATTTGGGTTGTGTATGGTTTTTTGATATTTTGCATGATGCTGTTATGAAAAACCCTGTACATGTTTTCTGGGGGATGTGCACAAGAGTTTTTATAGGGCTTTCAAACTTAATTGACATTACTTAGAATAAGAAATACACTTTAAATCACCATGGACACCCATATATCCATAGGACCTCCACTTCAGACGCAACTGAAGCAAACAGTTCATGGAGCAGTGGCTACCTTCCTATTTATTACTAGTGATGCTCTCTGATATTTTTAAATTTTATTTTTAAAGAATACTGATCTTAGCAGAATATTGATTTCAGCCAGACATGGTGGCTCATGCCTGTGATCCTAGCACTTTGGGAGGCCAGGACAGAAGGATTGCTCAAGCCCAGGAGTTCGAGACCAGCCTGGGCAATATGGTGAGACCTCTGTCTCTACAAAAATAATACAAAAATTAGCCAGGCGTGGTGGCACATGCCTGTGGTCCCAGCTGCTTGGGAGGCTGAGGCAGGAGGATCACTTGAGCTGGGAGGCAGAGGTTGCAGTGAGCTGAGATCATGCCACTGCACTCTAGCCTGGGCAACAGAGTGAGACCTTGCCTAAAAAAAAAAATACTGACCCCAACCCTTAAACTGATTTTATGACCTTTTAGTTATTTGCAATCTGTTGTTTGAAAAACACTCCCCTACGGTATATATTACCTAGGAATGGAATTGCTGTGCTATGGAGTAATGTTCAACTTTACTAGATAGTGACAAATTATTTTTCAAGGTGGTTGTATAAATTTACACCCCCATTAGCAGCATGTATCTTGTGGGGCCTTATTCTGTTCTCACCAACCCTTGGTACTATCAGACTTCTTAATTTTTGTCAATACAATATAAGAAATGATCTCTCACCCTGACTTTAAACTGAATTTTCTCAATTACTATTAAGGATGAGCATGATTTCACATGTCTGTTTGCCATTTGTATTTCTTCCTGTGTAAAATGCCTGTTCATGTTTTTTGCCTATTTTTATTGTGTGTGTGTGTGTGTGTGTGTGTGTGTGTGTGTGTCTTGTTCTTATTGATTTTTAAGGGCTCTTTATCCTTTGTTGTTACAAATGCTATAATTATCTTTTCTATGTTTGTGGCTTGTCTTATATTTTCTTTATCGTGTGTTTTGATTGAGATAAATTCATTAATTATAGTCGAACTTATCAATCTTTTCTTTTATATCCAACACTTTTTCTGCATCATCTATTCTGAGGTCATGAAATCTATATCTTTAAAACTTTGAAAGTCTCACCTTTTACATTTAATTATTGAATCCATACACATTTTTGTGTATGGTTTGAGGAAGGGATCTAATTTTATTTTTCTCCTTTGTGGACAGTCAGTTGTTCCGGCACCGTTTACTGAATTGGACATTCTTTTCTAGTAACCTGCAAGGTCTCTTTGACATTTATTAAATCTCCGTCTATTTGAGAGTTTGTCTTGGGGCTATTTTGTTCCTAGTCTCTTTGTGTATTTTTGATCCAACAATACACTGTTATAATTACTCTGGCTTTATAATAAAATATTACTATAGTATTATTATATCAGAAATGTAATTCAGAATTGGGTTGGCTGTTCAGAATCTTTGGCCATTTCATGTAAGTTTTGTAATAAGTTTGTCAAGTTTCTTAGAAGTAAAACAAAGGATGAATATTGTAGGATTGTACTTACATGACATACCTAGAGTAGTCAAATTCGTAGAGATAGAAAGTAGAATATTGGTTCCCAGGGGCTAAGAAGAGGAGAGAATGGGTAGTTATTGTTTCATAGGTAGAGTTTCAGTTTGGGAAGATGAAAACGTTGTGGAGATGAATAGTGGTAATGGTTGTACAACAGGGTGAACGTACTTAATACCACTGAACTGTACACTTACAAATAGTCAAAATGGGCTGGGCACAGTGGCTTATGCGTGTATCAGCACTTTGGGAGGCTGAGACGGGTGGATCACCTGAGGTCAGGAGTTTGAGACCAGCCTGGGCAACATGGTGAAACCCCGTCTCTACTAAAAACATAAAATTAGCCAGGCATGGTGGCACATGCTTGTAATCCTAGCTACTTGGGAGGCTGAGGTAGGAGAATTGCTTGAACCCAGGAAGCGGAGGTTGCAGTGAGCCAAGATTGCGCCATTGCACTCCAGGCTGGGCAACAAGAGTGAAACTTCGTCTCAAAAAAATAAATAAATAAAATTAAAATGGTAAATGTTTTGTTATTTACCATTTGTTATTTGTTATCACAGGCCTGCAAACCTGCTGAAAGTTTCTTTGAAAATATATTAAATCTATATACTTGCAGAAAATTGACATATTTATAAAGCAGGTCTTCCTCTCAAAGATTTTCATCTTCAAAGTGTCCTTCAGGGTTGTATAATTTTTTCCATACATACTATATCCTTTCATAGATTTATTACTGGTTACTTTATAATTTTGTTGTTAAAAGAATATTTTTAAATTATGATTTTTGTAGTTAATGATTTATTATACATGCAATTGGCTTTTGTTTATAAATCTGACTGTAAAGAAATTTCTTTTAAATGTGTCTGTAGATTCTTTGGAGTTTTTTTCCATAGACACTAATTTGCAAATTATAAATTTTTATTTCTTCCTTTCCAACTGTTATTTATTTTATTCTTTTCATGTCTCACAGCAAGAGCTAGGACCACCAACACAATTTGAATAGAAGCCATCTTACAAGGTGTTCTTTTGTCTTATTGCTGATTTTATTTATTATGTTAGAGACAGGGTCTTGTGCTGTCTTTCAGGCTGGAGTGCTGAAGTTTTTGATAGACACACTTTACTTCCTAAAGAAGCTTATACATTTTAAATGTATTTTTGTCATTACCAGATTAATTTTATCAAATGATATTTTTCTGCATCTGTTGAAACGATCATATATTTCTTCTTCATTTTGTTAGTTTGGTGAATAATTTTTGCCGATCATCTAATGTTAAACTACCCTTGCATGCTTAAGAAACACTCAATTTTGTTATGCTGTATTATCATATTTATATTTTCTTGGATTTGGCTTGTTAGTATTTTTTAGGGGGAGGAGATTGTATATTTATGGTTTTCCATTCTTGTACATGCCTGATTTAGATTTATGTCAAAGTTTTACATCTCTCATAGAGTTATTTTGGGGGGAGTGGTTTCTTATTCTGTGAAAGAATTTGATAATTCATCAAATTTGAAAATAATCCGGGCTTGGCGAGTAAACTATTTAATTAGCTTAATTGTTTAAAGCCTAGGCTTTTCTTTTCATGTTAGTTTAAGTAAATTGTATTTTTCTAGGAATTTATTCATTTGGTTTTGATTTTATTGGTATAAGTTTTTATGTGTACTATTCTATCATTACCTTTTTAACTTCTGCTAGATCTGTAGTTGTGTCTCATTTGTCATTCCTAAAATGCCTTCTTATGCTTTCTCCTTTCTTTGTTGTTGTTGCTCAGTCTCATTCAGATGTTTGACTGGTTTATTGTTATTTTTCAAACAACTGATTTTTCCCTTTGATCCTTTGTGTCATACCTTTCTTTTCTATTTCATTGATTTATGCTCATGAATGTATTGTCTCCTATATTATACTTTTAGAGAGCTTGTTATGCTTTTTTCTTTTGTGTATTTTTTAATTATTATTTTTTTGAATGAGATTATTGGTCCCTCAAACCAAAAGTATTGAACTAGTTTCTAAGGAAACTATTCATTAGAAAATAGAATCTCACAATCCTGATTAAACACATGGAAAACACAGTAAATGATGGCCTGGGATTCTTTATAGCCATTGGGATGACGTGAAATTGAGAAATCTGTTATCTGTCTTTTTTTTTCCTTTTTTTATTGCTGCTCAGGACCCTGTTTATTCAAACTGTGGTCCATCTTAAAGCTTGAAAACACGAGCTCCTACATGTTAGGACTGTTTCACTGGAGTCTCTGTTAGTTTAAATGTCTCCATTTGTCTTCATACTAGAGCTAGTGGGTCTTCCTAATATTTCTAGCTGTTGAGTAGGACGTTTACAGTATGGTTAGCTTTTTCCTCCAATGTATTAGTTTGAAAATTGTCCAACATATTAAGGAGTTGAAAGAATAGTACGACTCCCCACCAGAATCAGTTCCATCCTTGCAGGAAACTTGTTCCCCAACTGGCCACAAATCATCTGCCCTTTCGTTTCTTTTTCAGATAGCAAAGCAGGGCTTGATTCCATCATTTTGGAAGCACGACACGCTCTCACCCATATGCAAATCTATATCCCTAGCACATTTTCCAGCACAGAGTTGAGATGTGCCAAAGGCAGTATTCCAAATGTAAATATTTGGAAAGTTCCAGTCCATTTATTTTTGTCTCAGTTATTAACCTCCAAAACAGTGTACATCTGTCTCCCACACATCTAGGTTTTACTGATTCAGTCCCTGTGTTTATCTACTTAAATCCCGAAACTTTACTTACTCTGACTTTATATGAAGGAAAGCCTTTGTCATCAAAGTGTTTTCAGCACTCACTGTGTACCGGGCACTTCTCTAAGCATTGGTGATCAGCAGTTACTAGGGGCTCTGTCTTCATGGAGTCTGCACTCCGAGAGCAGTAGGATAGTAGGCATAGTGACAGCCCTGAGAAAGGTACTCTTGAGCAGGTGGGGACCTGAGGAAAGATGGGCTGAGAACTTCCTGGTACCCTTAAATCCCTCCAGTGGGCACCCATTTGTCCGCACAGTAACTACCCCTCATTTCGGCCTGGAAGGAGTCAGTCATGGTACTGAAAAGCCTCCATGGGACGAGGTAAGGCAGATGGAGCATGGCAGGGAGAGGAGCCCTGAAAGGAAGTGGCTTTGAAAGGGGGTTGTACCTGGCTCTGCAGATAGCCCCATTCAGCTCTGGCTTGTCCCTGCAAGGGTTGTCTCTCTTCCTCCTGCATGGTAGCCTGCCACTGGGGCCCCTCCCACTCTCATCAGCCTGTGGACCTTTAGGAGGTGGTGGTAGATGTCCAGGAAAGTCAAGATTTTGCCTTGCACCCAACGTGTTTTTCTACATTATGCTGTAAAATTTACAAATATTCAGCAAAGTTGAAATAATTTTACAGGAAGCATTTATGTACAAACCATGGAGATTCTATCAACCTATTACTGTACCTGCTATATCACTATCATATCTATGGATCTGTGTATGGAACTCACCCATCCATTCACCTTCTCTTTTTGATCCATTTCAAAATAAACTGTAGACATCAGCACATTTCTAAATAATTTAGCATGAGCGTCATTAACTACAGTTACATATTTAGTTATAGTTCTTCTTATGTTGAATTTACGTACAATAAAATGCACAAATCTTAAGTGTACATTCACTGAGTTTTGACACATGCATAAACCTATGTAACCAAACTCATATTAAGATACAGATCATCACTCCAGAAAGTTCTTTCATGCCCCTTCTTGGACAATCTCACTACGCAGATACAGCCACTCTTCTGATATTTTCCCACCACAGATTAGTTTTTCTATACTAGAACTTCACATAAACAGAACCAGGCAGTATGTACTCTTTTGTAGCTGCCTCGTGAAATTGGCATAATACTTTTTGACATTCACCCATGTTGTTGTGTGTATTAGTTTGTTTCTTTTCATTATTGTAGTATTTTACTTTATGGATATAGTAGAATCATTCTCTTATGGATGAATAGACACCTGGGATGTTTGCTGTTTCTCACTTCTGTGAGTAGAACCGCTATGAGCATTCTTGTATAACCTTTTTTGTGAGCATATGTTTTTATTTCTCTTAGGCAATTAGTAGGAGTGAAACTGCTAGATCATAGGGTATGTGTTCATTTATTTTTATCAGAAACTGTGACAACATTTTGCAAAGAGATTTCACCATTTTACACTCCCATCAGCAAGCATGAGAGTTCTGGTTTCTCCAGATCCTGGGCAACACTTGATGTCAGTGTACTTAATTGTAGTCATTCTGGTGGATGTATAATGCTACCTCACTATGGTTTCCGTTTGCATTTCCCTGATGTCTAATGATACTTATTTTAATTTAATTTAAACTTTATTTAAAAATAGAGTCATTTGGATCTTCTTGTAAAATACACAGTTACAAGGAGGTTGCCTTTAGCAATGTTTCTATTTTTAAAGAAAGTCTGCACACTCTACTGCACTGGGCAGGCTCCTAGACCTACATGACATGTGACTCACATGACTCAGCGAGTGGGTGAGATCCCCTTCCTGCAGCACGTGCAGTTCACAATCTCAGGTGGACAAACATGTTCTACAGTCTGAATTCCAGGGAAGCTAATTTCCAATATCAGCCCCTGGAATGACTAAAACATACTTTTCAATAATATATGAAAGCTTTTTACATCTTTCATTAAATAGACTGAGGCAGAAACCCAAACTTCTTAAAGCCCAGATTCAGAATAAACATTGACATCTTTTAAATGTCCCGGTAATTGGCATGTAAATACTTTCCTCTTCCCTGTCTAAATGGAGGGTGATTATTAATTCAGCACTTGGCATCTCAAAAGCACTGCGTCAATTGCTTCTTAACGTTTCTCTCGTGCCTTCTGATTGAGCAACAACAGCCACTTGGGTTTTTTTTTAGTTAATATGAATTTAAGTTATTTGAGTCTTGTAATAACTTACTTCCTCAGGAAGTGGGGA
Source organism: Homo sapiens (assembly GCF_000001405.40). Lineage (NCBI taxonomy): Eukaryota > Metazoa > Chordata > Mammalia > Primates > Hominidae > Homo > Homo sapiens. The sequence goes on from NC_000002.12 coordinate 110,994,518, forward strand.
AAGGGGAGGGCAAGAGGTGGCTGTGCTATGGGAAACCCTAAGTGTGAATTAACCCTTCCCCTGGTTGTCTAGGTTATCTAAAGGTTCATGGTGGGTCCATAAAATTGGCATGAAATAGAGTTTCATGATGAAAAGCTCACGAGCTTTTAATTGTGAACTTGGTTGTTTTGAGTCTGTGCTTACCTCTCTTAACTCCTCTGTGCCTCAGTTTCCTCATTTGCCAAATGGGAAAGATGGGAATTGCTGCCTGCTGAAGAAAGCTACCATCTCTGTAGCACATCCTCCCCTGTGCTTGCACACAGCCCTATCACTTCCCTCCAGGGTGCCTCTTGCTTTAAATGCTGATGTTCCCCAACAAAACCTGAGCTTGACTGAGTTCTGCCTGTGTGACCTTGAGCAAGTTACCAAATCTTGCTAAGCCTCAGTTTCCTAAACTCTACATTGGATAATTATAGTATTCTAGAATTATCGAGAAAATTGAATAATTCACAGCAGATAATGAACACAATTCCTGATATATAATATATTTAATAAGTATTATTAATTGATAAATATTTTGTAATAGATATATTTGATTATTAATATCCAATTATAATAATTATAATAAATGCCCAGCAGTGGTTATTATAAACTCACTTGATAGAGCTGTATAGTGGTTGAGTTATTATTATAAACTCACTTGACAGAATTGTATAATGGGGGCCAGGCACAGTGGCTCATGCCTGTAATCCCAGCACTTTGGGAGGCTGAGGTGGGCAGATCACTTGAGGTCAGCAGTTCAAGACCAGCCTGGCCAATATGGTGAAACCCTGTCTCTACTAAAAATACAAAAATTAGCCAGGCACAGTGGCATGTGCCTGTAATCCCCACTACTCAGGAAGCTGAGGCATGAGAATCACTTGAACCCAGGAGGTGGAGGTTGCAGTGAGCCGAGATCGTGCCACTGCACTCCAGCCTGGGAAACAGAGTGAGACTCTGTCTCAAAAAAAAAAAAAAAAAAAGAATTGTATAATGATTGAGTTATACATGAATTGTATAATGGTTGATTATACTTGACAGAAATTACATTGCTGTTAACTAAGAAAGACTATGTAAAATATTGAACACTACTTATAATACAATAGTAAGTGGAACAATTAGGAAACCAAATCATCTCTATACCACAAGGACAACCACCTAGAATAAACTAGAGCTAAGATTACCGAAAAGAATTATGAATACAGTCAGTGAGAGATGGGATGGGGAGATTATGTCTATTGACACTATTTTTCTACAGAAAAAAATAGTTTTAAAAAACAAACCTACTCTATTTCTTTCAAATGAAATTCTTGGTGAGGCCAAAATAATAATGATGGTCACCGTGATTTTCTTTCAGTTTCCTGGCATTTAACATGGACACAGTTGATGATCTCGCCTTTCTGTTGAAAGCAGTGAAATTTCGTGAAAGGGTTCTTCAGCGGGGTTTGGTGGCCAGAATTTATTATAAGGTAAAGATACACTGTGTTATATTTTTCCTTTTGACATGTGTTTAAGGGATATCCTTGCTGGTGAACTATCTGTTAAGTTTAGTAGAGGATGAGTCAGCCTAATGACAAGCTCCTGGAAGCGGCTAGAGTTCCTACGGGCCATTTTGCATGATACCGTTGCTTGCTCTAGAGGCCAGGATGCTTCTGTTTAACCCCCTTTATGTCATCTTGTAGAATTCCACCTGCAGGCATCATGTGGCTGCCATGGGAGTTGATGAGTGGTGTAATTTTCAGCCCTTATCAAAGTTGAAAAATCATTGTTTTATGTGTATAAAGAGTACATCGTTCTCTAAGACAGGGAGGGGAACTGCCTCAGGCATATGTAAAAATTAACATTGGGTTAGTCTAAGATGCATTCTGTCTCCTATTAAAATACCTGTAAAGCTCTGCAAAAGCATAAAACCTTGTGTCAGCATTGATAGAAATCTAGAGGAAATTTCCACCAAGTACAGTGCCAGTGGGGTTAGTTTGAGGGATCACTGTCCACCCTAGCAATATCTGTTTCATCTTCTGATCCGGCACAGAATAGCCAATGGAACCCCAGGAGAAGGCTTTACTGCTCCTATTCTATGTCCAGGCCAGGGGCTCAGGGCTACCATAACAAGAGTCCAGGTTGCTTCTCTCCTTCTGCATGGGAATTAGGTTCCAAGCCAGCCAGAATTGGATTCCTGCAATTCTCCCCTTCCAGTTCACCCCTTTTTATATGAATTTCAAGGTCATGTCTCCTAGTACAACACAGCAGGGGTAGAAGGGAAGAGGATGGATGGTACATGGGAATGGGTATTCTCTTAGGAAATGCTTTGGAAACAGAAGTGCCCTGGAAGCAGAAAGCAGCCAAGATCCACCCTCGTGGAACAAAGCCACACTGGATGAGAACCTGCAGGAAGCCAGGCTAGGAATTGTGTAAATCAATTTTTCCCCCAGGCGTAGATCTGAGGTGAGGCTGTGCCAGACCCCACAAACGCATTCAGTTGGGTTTAAATCACTCCACATATCCTCCACATATCAAACATGGAGCCAGCCAAAATAAGAGATGGATATATCCAAAAGGAAAAATGCTACAGCTGCGGTGAAGAGCAGAATTAACAAGGGAGAAAATGCAATCTGTAAACTGTTTTCGAAGACTATAGAAGAAAAGGCTAAAGACAAAACGATAAGAGAAGAAAACAGAAGCAGAGTGAAATGATAGAAATCTAACCTATGGATAACAAATATTCCTGGAAGTGCTGGGACAAAAGGAGCAGAAATAATAATCACAGACATAGTAGAAAAAGAATTTCCTTCATTTCCATTATGCTAACGGAAAAAAAAGACTTATACTTAGACATAGATGAAAAATCTAGAATAAAGAGAACAGAATGTGAGCAACAAGACAGAAAATAATAGCTTACTCAAAAACAGAAAAAATTAGGCTAGCTGCTGTCATTCACTAGCTCCAAATGGAGTAATAAGTACTCCTCTAAAGAGGAAACTTCATGATCTAAGCATAATATTCCAAGCCAGATTTAATCCCTGAGTACAGCCAATGGAAAGATATTTTTAGATATCTAAGAATCAGAAGCAATTTCACTAATATAGCCTTCCTTAAAAAGTTATCTTAAAATTTACTCCATAGGACACAAAAAAGAATCAAAATGAATAACTCTAAAATAAGGAAGTCAAGATATAAAAAGATTGGCGGTCCCTGTGAAGCCAATACTATATGTTTTTAAAAAACAGTCACGAAATTGGCTGGGCGTGGTGGCTCATGCCTGCAATTCCAGCACTTCGGGAGGCCAGGGCAGGCGGATTGCTTGAGCTCAGGAGACCAGCCTGGGCAACATGGCAAAATCCCATCTCTACAAAAAATACAAAGAAATTAGCCAGGTGTGGCAGCACATTCCTGTAGTACCAGCTACTGAGGAGGCTGAGGCAGGACAATCTCTTGAGCCTGGGAGTCAGTGGTTGCAGTGAGCCAAGATCACACCACTGCACTCCAGCCTGGGCAACAGAGAGAGACCCTGTCTCAAAAAATAATACGGAAGCTAAAAATATTTTTTTTTTGGAAAAAAACATGATTTTTTAAAAAACTTGATAAACTGGTTCTGTAATAGTCTATACGAATTTTTAAGGTAAGATGAAAGACAAAGTAAAAACATACTGAATTTCTTACATTAATTACAGGGTAAGCAAAAGACCTTGTTTTGTTCTGACTTTAGTAATTAGAGAAACATAGGTTAAAATATATGTTTTATTAAATTGAAAGCTAACATAACTACTGAACACAGAATGCTTGTTTTCCAAATCACTGCAGCAGACAAAGCAGTGAAGATAAACAAGTGGTCAGAAGTTTGTGTAATCAGAGCAAAGCAAAGAACAAATCAGAAAGCATGTTCTCAGAAGACTCAAAGACACTCCAGTGCGGCTCCTTTAAGTGAACCCACAGCAAGGCCAGGAGAGCTGTTTAAAAAGTTCCCACTGCGAATTGCGCCTTGGTTTGAGAATTTCTCCGGGATTGCTTCCCTAAATCTGTTTCCCATTAATTGTGATATCCCCTTTGTCTCTTCTAATTTGGCTCAACTCAAGACCCCTCTCTCTGGCCCCAGAAGATTAATGCTTTGATCTTGAACTGAGTTGATCTGGTAATTCCTTGAAAACAACATTTCCATTACAATATGATCCCTTAAGCAGTGGAGAGGCAGCTTTTGATACATTTTCATCCTAGAGAGCCTTAAATCCCTCCAGCTCCCACCTCTGGAAAGTGGGGGATTAGATTTAAAATGGGCTATAATATGAAATGAAAGAGGTTTCAATCCTCCTAGTAAAAGCACAGACTCTCAGATTAGATTAGATTACACATTGTGTATAGAAACAAATCTAATTATATGCATTGATGTATAACTATACACATCAAAACAAAAAATGATATTTTAAAAGATTTTCAAAAGTAAACAATGAGTAAATGTGTGTTGGGAAACAGCAAGATATTTTCAGATATCTGTCAAAAGGTTGTTATATTAGTTAGTTGGGGCTGCCATGACAAAATACCACAGACAGAGTGCCTTAAACAACAGAAATTTATTTTCTCACAGTTCTGGGGGCTGGAAGTTCAAGATCAAGGTTCCCAAAGGGTTGGTTTTCTTTGAGCTTCTCTCCTTGGTTTGTAATGGCCGCCCCGCTTGCTACCTCTCATGGCCATCCATCCATGCACCCACACCCCTGGTGTCCTTCTTCTTATAAGAATACTGTCGTATTGCATTAGGGCCCCACTCTACAGCTTCATTTTAACTGAATCACCTCTTTCAAGACTCCCATCTCTTAAATATGGTCACATCCTGAGGTACTAGGAGTTGGGACATCAATGTTTGAATTTAGAGAGACATAATCCAGCCACTACCAGTTGGCAATATTAATCTTATCAAAAGCATTAACCAGAAAGGCAAAATGATGACCTCATAACCATGAGCCTGTATGTGCCAAATACATTTTGTCCTCCAAGATGGACCCCCAAGAATCCCACCTCCTGATAGTCACAGCCTTGAGTGTCTTCTCCATGCTGTACCAGAGTTGGTCTGTGTGACATACAGCAGAAATAATGGCATGTTGCTTCCAGATAAAATACATTATGACTTCCATCTTGGTCACTCTGTTGCACTCTCTCTCTTTATCTCTAATCACTCTGGGCAAAACCATGTCATAAGAATGCCCTATGGGAAGGCCCAGGTGTCAAGGAACTGAAGCTTCCTGCCCACAACCACATGAGTAACCTTGGAAGTGTACCCTGCAGCTCCAGTCACAGCTTCAGAGACTGCAAGCATGGGACAGTCAACACTTGCTGCAACCTCATGAGAGTCCCTGAGCCAGAACCACACCATCAAGCAGCTTCTGGATTCCCAGGCTTCAGAAACTGTGTGCATAATGAACACTTGGTGTAATCCACTAGGTTTGGGGCAGGTTGTTGCACAGCAGCAGATACCTAATCCAGATTTGGGCACCCAAAAGTTGGGTGCTGACATAACAAAAGCCTAAATGGGAGTGTGGGTTTGCACCTATGCAGTTAGCTTTGAGAAGAGTCCTAGTAGAAGCCTAAAGTACCTTGACGAAATTATTACCAGAAACCTTTATGATCTTAACCTGTGGGTGAGGACTTGTAGGAAAATGAGGTAAAAATTATTGGAAACTGGAGGAGGGGGATCCTTGTTACGTAGTGGCATAGCTGTAGCCACACTGTTGCCTGAAGTTATGTGGAAAGTAGAAAATGTACCCAATCAATGAAGTGATCTAGCAAAGGAGATGTCCATCCCGCAAGTTGAAGGTGTTGCCTGCCTTCTTATTGTGGCTTTCAGTGATGTGCAAGAAGAGAGAGAGAATCTCAAGGAAAGAGCTTTTAATATGCAGGACCTGGCAGTTAATATGGTTTTGAAGATCCCTGAGCTCTTCATATGGTCAATGTGTTCATTTCTGAGGGCTTCTGTGACAAACCACCACAGACTAGGTGGCTTAAAACAACAGAGATTTATTTTCTCACAACTTTGGAGACCAGAAATCTGAAATCATGGTGGCAGCAGGGCCCTGCTCCCTCTGAGACCCTGGGTAGAATCCTTCCTTGCCCTTTCTGGCTTCTGGTTGCTACTGGCAATGCTTGATATTCCTTGGCTTGCAGCCGCATCTCTCCAGGCTCCCCCTCTGTCATCACATGACATACCCATGATATCTCCCCATAAGTCTCTGTTGTCTCTTCCGCTTATCAGGGCACTAGTCATATTGGATCAGGACCCACCCTAATTACCTCATTTTAACTTGATTAGCTCTGCAAAGACCCTATTTCCAAATAAGGTCACATTCACAGGTACCAGGGCTTAGTACTTCAACATGTCCTTTTGGAAGACACAGCTTAACCATATCAGCAGACAGTGCTAAAATTAAAAAATTAAAATGGCTTCAGAGCAGAAGTATAATCCAGGACCCTCCCAGAAATGTGTAATCTAAGGATGAAGCCCAAGGCATGACTGTAAAATTCTTTAAGAACCGAAAAAGATTAAAGGTAAGTCTTAAGTCATGCAAAAGGCCTTCTGAGTTTACAAGTATGTCTTTCAGACTCTCTCAATTATACAATAAAGCTCCTAGGAAGCTTGAGGGCATCCTCTGTCAGCCTTCTCAACACCCCCAAGGGCTTATGTCAAAGAGATTTGTGGGTGTGGCTTTTGTCTAATGGAATAAACCTCCCCAAAGATTCACAGGAAATGCACAAAGTTTCTAAGAGAATTATATCAGGCAAAGATCTTTTGGCTTGTGCTGAAAGGTACAGAGACAATACAAAATGAATAGAGCCACTAAGCTTCTGCAATCAGGGAACAAGTGGAGAAAAACAAAACAAAACAAAACAAAACAAAAAAACCCTAGCTATAAACAAGTGCTCCTTTCATTAAAAAGTCAGGATGCCTCAGAGGGAAGAAGCAAGAACCCAGAGGGTGGAGCCAAGGGTCACAGAGAATCAAACCACCTGGGTGTGCATAGGACTGTGCCCTTATTAAGGAACTTCCAACATTTGCTCAACTGGATGTCAGAATTTATATGGACCACTGATTCCTGCATTATTCCCATTTTCCTCATTTTGGAGTAAGAGTGTATATAACAGTTATCCTGTCCCGTCCCACCATTATATATTGGAGGACAGATAACTTGTCTCCTTAGTTAACAGCCTTCAAAGGGAGAGGATCTGTACTTAAGGAATAACACCTGAGGAGCCTTATTTGCACCTAGACTGAATTTAGATGAGGGGATTCTGGACTGTGAGCTGATACCATAATGAGGTGAAACTTTTGTGGGCCTTGGAAGTGTATGTTTTTAGAGGAATGTGAATCATTAAGGATGATTAGGATGGGCTATGATGGCCAAGCTCCAAGACAGTCTTCAACGATCCCTGCCTCCTGTAGTCACGCCCTCATGGAGTGCCCACATTATATCGTTGAAATTGTCTTAGTCTCTGTCTCTCTGTCTCTGTCTTTCTCTCTCTCTCTCTCTGGAAGCCATGTCATGAGCAGCCCATGTTGCAAATAACGGAAACTTATGAATGCACTTGGAAGTGTTTCCTGTAGCCCTAACCAAAGCTTCAGAGACTGCAAGCCTGGGACAGACAGCCAGCAACTGGACTGTCATCTCATGAGAGAATCTGAGCCAACCATGCAACCAAGATATGCCCAGGTTCCTAACTCTCATAGACTGTGAGATGATAATTTTTTTTATTTTAAGATGCTAAATTTTGGGATAATTTGTTATATAGCAATAGGTAACTAATATAACATCCAAAAACAAACAAACAAAAAACTGTTCAAAAGTTTTGGCATTGATATACACATTTTTGAAGCAAAATATAAAGAGGAATTGCAATATTTTTCAACCAATATTTCCATTTAATAATATAATGTGGTTATCTTTCTATGTCAATAAAAACATGATTGCATGAGGTTCTGATGCTTCTGTGTTTTTAGTTATATGGACAATGTCATAATGAATATCCTTAACAGTATGGCTTTCAGACTTTACATGCTACAAAATTGTTCTTTATAAATGTTGAACTAAATTGTACTTTTCCAGCATGGTATTAGGGTCCACATTTCTCCACTAACACTTTATTTCTCCAACTTTCTAAGTTTTTACCGTTAGGGTTTAGGAGTCTATCATCTTCTTTTCATATTTTCATTTTATTTTTTTCCCATTCCCCCTACCCTCCATATTTTTTATTTTATTAATACAGGTTGAATGCTTGGGACAAGAAGTGTTTCCAATGCAGATTTTTTCTGACTTTGGAATATTTGCGTTATACTTGTGAGCATCTCAAATCTGAAAATCTGAAATCCAAAATGCTCTAATGAACATTTTCTTTCAGCATCATGTCAGTGCTGAAAAACTTTTGGATTCTGAAGCATTTCAGATTTCATATTTTTGGATTTAGGATGTTCAATCCGTATTAGAAAAATAGGTCCATTGTAAAATATCTACCTTTAATTTTATTTTCAGCATGAAATTAGAAGCTCTCTGGTACTTCTTAAATATTCAGAAATATTTTCTGCTTATAGTTGTTCTCTGTCAGAGACCAAATCATTCATTTTTTCCTGTGTGTATTTTCTGATTTCAAGAGAAGAAAACATTTACACACACATGAGTAAGTTTCCCAAACATAAAATAAACGTTAGGCATGTGGGGTGGTGAACAAAATTCAAGGGTTTTAGAATCACTGGACTAGGCTGGGTGCGGTGGCTCACGCCTGTAATCCCAGCATTTTGGGAGGCCAAGGCGGGTGGATCACGAGGTCAGGAATTGGAAACCAGCCTGGCCAACATGGTGAAACCCCGTCTCTACTAAAGATTAAAAAAAAATTAGCTGAACCTGGTGGTGGGCACCTGTAATCCCAGCTACTCGGGAGGCTTAGGCAAGAGAATTGCTTGAACCCAGGAGGCGGAGGTTGCAGCGAACCGAGATTGCACCACTGCACTCCAGCCTGGGCGACAGGGCGAGACTCTGTCTCAAAAAAAAAAAAAAAAAAAAAAAAAAAAAGAATCACAGAACTAGCTTTTACCACTTCCGAGCTTCAGTTCTCACATCTGTAATTTGGGAAAACAAGAGTAGGTTATGATATAAATTTGTTACAAGGATGTATTAAGATAAAATGTATTTTAAAAAGCACTAAAAATTATAAACCTTGCACTCGTGTTAAATATCTTGGTTACTACCATTAATGTAACCATTTTTATGGTCAATTCAAATAAATATTCATTAAGCACAGATAGTTTTCTAGGGCCTGGAAGGGGAAGACCACAAAGATTTTGAAAATATGCTCTTGCCTTAAGATAAGTCCACCTCTGGTTTTAGCCCAAGGCAAAATAAAAGATATGATAAATTAAGGCAAAACCTACGAACTTAGAGGAAAGAATATGGACTTCTACATTCTAGTTTGTATTTTTGGCCCGGCTTTTTGCTCAGCTAGCTGTATATTGGCTCATGTCTACCTGCATTAGTTTGGTGTATCTTGACATAAAATGATTCTGTTTAGCAATTTGAACATCTGACCCAAACAGAGTCTGGGCAATAGTCTTTGGACAGTGTCCAAGAGAGGGTGATTTCATCTAGAATTCTGAGATCTTCTAAAAATAACCCTGTGATTTAGTTCAGAATCTTTAAATTAAAAAGGCAAAAACACAAGTGGGTTTTCTCAGAACCCTGCTTTTCAGCTTTCTAGTAATGGTCTTTAATTTTCTTCAAAAGCACATTTTTACTTTAGAGATGCTTGGCCAAACCCTTCTAGGCACATGGGAAGCCCATCTGCCCCTTACCCGGGAGCAAGTGAGAAGGGCTAGCAATCCAAGGTCAAAGTTGGAGAGTCGAGAAGACCATTGAGTTCTCATGAAAGAATAAGCCTTTGCAATCATTTGATAATGCATTCTCCTGCTTGGTGTAGCCAGAATTTCACTTAAAATGGAGCCAGGAAATGCCCTTCCTTCAATGTGTTGGTGGCCATGGAAGGAGTCCAGCCCCCTTGCTTCCCTTGCTTGCCCCACTCCCTGGTTTTCCAAAATCTTGTTGCAAACAACTCGTCATTACAGTTGCTGCATGATTTCGACATCAGTGGGAAGAAAAAATAAACCAATAAACAATGGCTTGTCATCCAGGAACCAATAGGAAAAGGACCAATAGGATGTCCACCAATCAGGGATCTTGATCCAATAGCTTGGAAATGCCATTGATAATGAAACCAGAGAAAATCCATTTCTGGTCAGCTTATACTGTTCTGAGACTTTGAGGGTCGGGACAGAGAACGGAGAGTGATAGCAGCCACTCTGTGTTTGTTAGGTTTTTACAAACCAATACAGTGGCCCGAATGGCAGATGTTTTACAACAATCTCATGGCACAGAAATATCAATTCTGGTAGGGACTTTTGTAGTTCTATGAGGTAAGTCTATGGAGAAAAAGATAGATTCTCAGTAATCAATCTGTTTAACAGATTTCTGTTTATTTTCAAATGTACCTAACAGAAATTGGGCAAATGGAAGGATGAGAATACAGATGGACTTAAAATAGTTCTAATTCTCCAAGGGCTGATTCCTGTTTTCTCTCTCATCACCTGTGGCATTCTCCCACCACATTGGTGGTGTCCCCCACTTCAGGGTGTATAAGACTCACCTGGGAAAGACTAATTTTCAAAATCTGATACAGGTTGCCCTCCATCACACTGCCAGGCTGAGTCCCAAGCGAAAGGCAAGTCATTTGCAAATGAACATCATTAATGATCCTCAAAATCCAGGGGCAGTAAATTCTTTGGAAACAACTGCTCTGAGTTATTTTTCCTTATTCAGATTTAGAGGTTTGGATGGAGAATTGGTGGAGGCTGGAAATAAGATTATTAGAAACATAACTTTCTAGAGCTTCCTGTATAGAAAAATGACTGCCGCCCACAGTTTTTATTGTTGTGGTCAGTGTGCAACCTGACTACTCTTGTGTGTGTTTGACTTTAAACCTCTTAACTTAGATATTTAAAACATAATAAACCGCAGTACTTTTGTAAAGCCTATCTTTCTAACAGATGCCACCTATTCTGTTATAGTTTTAGACCGACAGTGTCTTTGCTCAGGTCACCTGCTTGGGGTTTGGAGTCTCACCTTAGTTCTCTTCTGTGGAAAATGCAAGCTGTCTGTGTTGGCGATTGGGTGGCACACACATATCAAGTGCCTTGGAAGATCACCAATAGGATGTCCACCAATCAGGGATCTTGATCCAATAGCTTTGGTCAGGTGGTAGCTGCTAGATCTAGAGGAACTCAGAAGTGCCATTGATGATGGACCCAGACAGAGAAAATCCAGTGCTGGTCGGTTTGTACTGCTCTGAGACATTGTGGGTAGGGACAGGGAACAGAGAGTGATAGCAGCCATTCTGTGTTTGTTACGTTTTTAAAAACCAATACAGCGGTCTGAATGGCAGATGTTTTACAACAATCTCATGGCACAGAAATATCAAGAGCTTTATTCCAGAGACAGATCATCAAAGACAGGAAATAAAATTAGTAACCAGATTTTCTGAGCTCACAGTTTGCATTGAGCTTGATGTATTTTCTTACTCCTGTGGCTGAGTTGAGTTAGGAAGATGACCTGATGGAGGGGCTCTCTTTGTATCTTCAGAGCATCGATGGCTGCCTGTGCAAAGGTCACCTCGTGTAAAAGTGAGGTTCCCTCTTTGCTCACTGGGGCTTGAAAGTCCTGTACAGGGGAAACATATTCCCATTACTCAGTGAGAGATTAGGCTTAAAACCATGAAACTCCAGAGATAGGGAAAGGACGATGTCGTAGAAAGCTATGCGTGATGGTTCAGGAAGGGATAGCTGACGATCTGGGGAGACCTAGGAGTGTACAAGCGGGAACATCTGAGGCCAATTGTAACCAACTCCCAGAAGTACAGTGCTCCCAAGCCTTAGCTTGGCACTTCCCTCTTTGTTGTGGCTGATTGTAGGAATGTTCTTCTTTTGTTTTGTGGTGTTTCCCTCTTTTTTTTTTTTCTTTTTTGAGATGAAGTCTCGCTCTGTCACCCAGGCTGGAGTGCAGTGGTGCAATCATGGCTCACTGCAACCTTCACCTCCTGGGTACAAGCTATTCTCTTGCCTCAGCTTCTCAAGTAGCTAGGATTACAGGCATGTGCCACCACGTCTGGCTAATTTTTGTATTTTTAGTAGAGATGGGATTTCGCCATGTTGATCAGGCTGGTCTCAAACTCCTGACTTCAAGTGATCTGCCCTCCTCAGCCTCCCAAAGTGCTGGGATTACAGGCATGAGCCACCGCACCCGGCTGTCTTTCTCTCTTTTCTACTGCCTAACAACCCAGACACCAGTTAATACTAGGAATTGCATTTTCTCTTTTTCCTTCACTTCTTTCTCCATCTTTTTTCTCATAGAGAGCATCCTTAAATTCTCTTCCTAGGGAATCCTGTTATGGAAGAGAATGGAAAGAAAAGAAGGAAGGGGAGGCAAAGATAAGGAAAAGGAAGAAGTTACACTCCTGATAATTACATGGAAAGTACAGTCACTCCCATGGGAGTATGAGAGCTAGAAGAGACCCTGGGAGTCACATAGTGCAACCCACTCATTTACAGATAGGCAACCTAGGATCAAGAAAGCTAATGGTTTCTTCAAGGCAATACAGTCACCAAGGGCAAAGATGCGACTGATATTTGAATATGCAGATACCCTATTTTTCCTCAAACTTTCACCTATTATTTTTAGTATCCATCAGTGGATCTTTTTGGAAACAATTAATACTGTGGTGTTTGCCTAGTAGGGATTTTCTATTTTCCTCATTCCTACCACTTTATTAATGGGAAGCAAGAGTTGTCTCTTCTCCAATTATTTATTTATTCAATTAATTATGACTTATGTCAGCATGCAGTCACAGATATTTATTTTATGCTTTGGGTTACAATCCAATATTATGATTTATTTATTTTCTTGCCAATTGTTCCAAGCATTAACGTTGAGAGCTCCTTCAGGTTGGCCCCTGTGTCCCTTTGAAGTGCCTCTATCCTTTTTTGAGTACTTCCTTACTTTATTTCTCATCTTGTAGTTTCCCTGCCAACCCTGCAGTCAATCATTTCTCCAAGGAGAGCTGGTTCTTTTTCCTAGAGAATGGTATTTAAAAACCAGCATCTGGTCTCTGGGTGTGCTCATTGCTACTGAGTTGTTGCTGCTTCTAGGCCTACCCAAAGCTATGAAGTAAACTCACGTATATTAACTCACGCATTTGCACACAGATCTGTATGCACGTATATTAGAAATCATGAGTTTATACTGATAACTCTGATTCCAATTCAAACAACAGGGCTTTTTTCTAGCCTGCCCTCTTTCCTATTTCAAACATTCTTCTATGAGAAAGCAGAAACCTGGCTTTCATTGTCTATTGTATGTTTACATATTTGCTCACCCCCTGTGTACACAACAAGTAGTTTCAGAATTGCTAACTCATACCCTGGTGAGAGACACATTTACTAACTGGAATACGGTATTTTTCTTTGTGAATTTAACCTTACAGTATCTAGTCAAAACAGTATTTCCGAAGTTTCTTTAATTAGCCTTTTTTTCCCCCTCTTTTGGTGTGGTTTTATTACTTATAACAAGTTAGGTTCATTTGTAACTACTTGCATTTTACTTTGGGTTTCCTCTATATCCTGGTTGCTTTTAGTTAATCATTTTTTGGCTAAGCGAAATATTACTAAGTTTCTAATATTCAGTGCTATACACAAAAGTGTACTCAGAGAGCTACCACTCTTTCCTCATTCCAGCTACCCCCTTTCCATCACTTCCCTTTTTTCCTACATACCTCATGTAGGTGGCAAGATATCTTTAGTCTCTGGCTTATCCTTCCTGTATTTCTTTCACACATAGAGATCTACCTCATTCATTTTTTTACAGCCACAGAATAATCTATGTTATGGATATACTGTAGCTTACTCCACCCCTCTCTTGTGTATTTAATCCTTCCTCCCAACCTTTGGTCATTACAAACAACGTTACAGTGAATAACCTTATTATATAAATTTTAGTGTTGTTTGAATTATATCTTCAGGGTAGGTTTCTAGAAATGTTGTTGTTAGGCTCAAAGGTAAGTGCATTTGTAGTTTTGTTAGGTATTGCCAAATTCTCCTCCAGAGGATTTGTACAGTTTTCATTCCACTGAGTGAAGTCTGTTTCCTCAAAGTCTCATCAATAGAATGTGTTCTAATATTTTTCAATTTTTGCCAGTTTGATAGGTGATCAATGGTAACTTCATGTAGCTCTAATTATGAGTGCTTTTGAGCAGTTTTTCATCTGTATAAGGGTCATTTTAATATGTTTTCAATGTATTGTCTGCTCATATTATTTTCCCATTTTTCCATAGGGTTTTGGTATTTGGTCCATCAATTTTGAAGAGTACTTTCTACATTAAGAATTGTAGCCTTTTGTCATATTGAAAAAATTTTCTCCCAGTTCGTCACTTGTCTTTCGACTTTGTTCATGTTTGCCGTGCAAACTTTTTAAAATTTTTTTATATAGTCAAATGCAGTAATCTATTTTTTTATTGCATCTGGACTTTAACTCACAGAAAAAGCCTTTCCCTTCACTTAGGTTAAAGATAAACTCATTTCATGAAAGCCTCAATATTGTTTTAGGGAGTCAGAAAATGGAGTTTGAGGCTAGGCATGGTGGCTCACGTCTGTAATCCCAGTACTTTGGGAGGCCAAGGTAGGCAGATCACTTGAGGTCAAGAGTTCGAGACCAGCCTGGCCAACATGGTGAAACCCCACCTCTACTAAAAATGCAAAAATTAGCCTGGCTTGGTGGTGTGTGCCTGTAATCCCAGCTACTCAGGAGGCTGAGGCAGGAGAATTGCATGAACCTGGGAGGTGGAGGTTGCAGTGAGCCAAGATCACGCCACTGCACTCCACCCTGGGTGACAGAGCAAGACTCCGTCTCAAAAAAAAAAAAAAAGAAAAGAAAAGAAAATGGAGCTTGAGACTGCCAAGATTAGTGAAAATGAAGGAGGAACATCCCAAAAAGAAAGAAGCCGCAGAGAGGGAAGCTTCAAAATACATGTATGAATACCACTCAAATCCATGACTGATCCCTGGAATATCCATGAGTGGATAAGATGCCAAAGAGCTCAAGGGGTTTTAAAGTTGGAAGCTTTAAAGAGCAGAACAGAGAACTCAACTATTGCCCACCACACAGGAGTCAGAATTTTTAGTCTGAATCCTGCCAAGTTAGAGGGATGTGGTAAACTCATGCCTTAGGAGTAAAACTATGTCTCAGGAAAAGGGATTGCCTAAGGACTGAAGCTACAACCAAAAGAGGCTAAAGGCAAGCCAAAATATATTCTTCCTGACAAAGCATAAAATCAAGACTCTATAAATTCAAGTTTATCTGCTAGTGTTTTAACTGCATGCTAGAATAAGACTCAATACCCTTTAGAGGAAGTCAACAGGATTTAGGGTCAGTATCATTATAGTGTCCACTAGATACTTAAATATTATCAGGCATGGGAAGAAATAGGAACACATGATCCATAGCCAAGAGAAAAATCATCAAGAGAAGAAGACCCCAAAATTCCCAGATATTGAAATTAGCAGACAAGGGCTTTTAAAAAATATGAATTTATAAAAGAGTAGGTGGAACATATGAATAAAAGGGATGAAGAGAGAGGAAATTTCAGGAGATTGTTGAACGATATGAAAAAGGAAACCAAATGGAAATTCTAGAACTGAAAAATACAATAGTATTAATAAAAAAATAAATGGATGGGATTAACAACACACTGGGCAAAAAGAGAAAAGTGTCAGTGAACCTGATTAATAGAAATCATTTGAACTAAAACACATAAAGAAAAATATTGATAAAATAATCAGAGCCCTCATGACCTGTGGGGTAGTAACACACACTCTAACATATATGTAATTGGAGTCTAAGAAGGAGATGAGAGAGAGAATAGCATAGAAAAAGGATTAGCCAAATATTTTTTAAATTTTTATCAATAATGACAGCACATAAATTCAAGATTCTAGCAGGAGAGGATGAAAAACAAACAAATATAAAAATAAGAGCCCATCATAGTATAATTGCTGAAAACTAAAAATAAAGAATAAATCTTAAAAGTTAGAAGAGAACAAAGAACATTAGATGCAAGAAATAATGGTAGAATGATGGTTCACTTTTCATTAGAAATTGTATAGCCAAAGGACAATAGAAAGATATCTTTACCGTGCTGCTGAAAGCAAAAAAGAATCTACCTTGAGCTCTGAATCCAGTCGTGTGTGCATATGTGTATGTATTAAAATGAAATAAAAGCATTTTCAGTAATAGAATTTGTCACCAACAGACCTATACTACAAGAAATGCTAAGGAAGGTACTTTAAGCTAAACAAAATGAAAGTAAATGGAAATGCAGATCTAAAGTAAGGAAGAACACTGAAAATGCTAAACATATAAGGAACTATTAAGGACTACTTTTTTTGTCTTAAGCCTTTTTGAATTCAATTGATGGTTTATAGCAAAATAATTACAATTATTTAGGGTTTATGGCATATATAAAAGTGAAATGTATGGCAAAAATAATGTAAAAGATAGGTTGTAGTGTAAATGGAATTATGCTATTATAAGATTTTTACATAATATATGAAGTAGTATCATATTAATTCAAAGCAGACTGTTATAGGTAAAGACTATAGATTGTAATATAGGAGGTAGTAGACTGAGACAAAAAGGAAAACCCTTAATCTGAAAGAAGACATGGAAGAAGAAACAAAAATCAAAGGAGAAGGACTACAAATAGCAGTATGACAGACTTATACCCAACAATATCAATAATTACATTAAATGTAAATGGCCCCAATATTCTAATTAAAAGGCAAACATTGTTATAGAAGGTTAAAAATAAGCAAGGGTCTTCCATATGCTTTGAATGGAAAGACAAGGACAGGAAAAGATATAGCATGCAATTACTGAGCATGAGAGAGACTATGTTAATATCAGATAGAGGAAACTTTAAAACAAGGAATGTTACCAGGGACCAGGTGCAGTGGCTCATGCCTGTAGTTTCAGCACTTTGGGAGGCTAAGGTGGGCAGATCGCTTGAGCCCAGGAGTTTGAGACCAGCCTGACCAATCTGGCAAAACCCTGTCTCTACTAAAAATACAAAAATTAGCTGGGTGTGGTGGTAACACAGCTGTTATCCCAGCTATTTGGGAGGCTGAGGCATGAGAATCACTTGAGTCCAGTAGGTGGAGGTTGCAGTGAGCCAAGATTGCACCACTGCACTCCAGCCTGGGCAGCAGAGTGAGACTCTGTTAAAAAAAAAAAAAAAAAAAAAAAAGGAGTGTATTACCAGGGATAAAGAAAGTCATTTTTTGATTATTAAAGGATAATTTCATCAAGAAGACAAAATAATTCTACACAGGTATACTCCATAATAGAGATTAAAAATACATGAAACAGAAATTGACAGAACCATGGAAGAAATAGACAAATTCAGTAATTGATGAAATAAGTAGGTAAAAATGTAATATGACTATAGGCATACCTCATTTTATTGTGCTTTGTTTTATTGCATACTGCAGATGTTGTGTTTTTTACAAATTAAAAGTTAGTGGGAACACTGTGTTAAACTGGCCTCTTGGTGCCATTTTTCCAACAGCATATGCTCACTTCATGACTCTGTTAGAATTTTTTTAGCAATAAATAATTTTTTTGAGGTGCCTACTTTTTTTAGACATAACGTTATTGCACACTTAGTAGAATATAGTGTAAATGTAACTTTTATGTGCACTGGGAAACCAAAAAGTTTGTGTGACTTGCTTTATTGACATATTTGCTTTATTGCAGTGGTCTGGAATCAGACTTACAGTATCTCCAAGGTATGCCTGTATAGAAGATGTGAATAACACTGTCATCTAATTCAATCTTCTTGATATTTGTAGGCATTTATTGAAAACTACACCCAGAGCTACAGTGCTGGCCATAAAACAAATCTCAATAATCCTTAAAAAGATTAAAGTAATGCAGAGTGTATTCTATGTTGACAATGAAATTAAATTACAAATTAATAACAAAAAGATATCTGGAAAATCTTCCAAATATTTGGCTATTAAGAAACACAGGTCTAAATAACTTGTGAATAAAAGAAGCAATCACAAGGGGAATTAGAGAATATTTCAAACTGAATGGTAATGAAAACACAACATACTAAATTTTGTGAGGTGCAGTAAAAGGGATCCTTAGAGGGAAATTCATAGCTTGAAATGCTTATCTTAGAAAATATTTTTAAAAAGGTTTTAAATAAATGATGCAAGTTTCTACCTTAAGAAGCTAGAACAAGAAGAGCAAAATCAGTAGAATAAAGGTAACAATAAAGATGAGAGATAATGAAATAGAAAACAAACTATAGAGCAAATCAATAAGCCCAAAAGTTTGTTCTTTGAAATGTTTAATAAAATTTCTTGATCCCTAGCAAGACTGATCAGGAAAAAAAGATAAAGTACAAATTAACAACGTCAAGAATGAAAGCGGATATTATAATGTCATACCACATACTACAGACATTATACAATATGAGAATATTATGAACAACTTAATGCAAACAAGTTCAGTAACTTAGAATAAATTCCTGGAAAAATACAGCTCTCAAAAGTTAACAACAACAAAAAAAATGGGGGCCAGGTGCGGTGGCTCATGCCTGTAATCCCAGCACTTTGGGAGGCCAAGGCATGTGGATTGCTTCAGGTCAGGAGTTTGAGACCAGCTGACCAACATGGTGAAACCCTGTCTCTACTAAAAATACAAAAATTAGCCAGGTGTTGTGGCGGGCACCTGTAATCCCACTGCTTGGGAGGCTGAGGCAGGAGAATCACTTGAACCTGGGAGGCAGAGATTGCAGTGAGCTGAGATCACCCCACTGCACTCCAGCCTGGGTGACAGAGGGAGACCCTGTCTCAAAAAAAAAAAAAAAAAAAAAAAGAAGTAAAAGAAAAGGAAGATCTAAAAATGTCTGTTAAATGAATTTAATTCGCTTTTTTTCTTTTCTTTTCTTTCTTTTCTATTTTATTCCATAACAACAACGTTTCAGTCAAAATGAATTTAATTTGTAATGAACACATTCCCACAAAGAAAGCTCCAGGTCCAGATGGTTTTACTGTTGAATTCTATCAAACATTTAAAGACAAAATAGTATCAGTCTTACATAAAACTCTTTCAAAAACCAGTGTAAGACTGATACCCAAAATTAGTAAGTACAGTACAAAGAAAACAATTACAAACAAATATTCTCCACGAATATAGGTGAAAATACATAATAGAATACATCATAACAAAGTAGTGTTTATTATAAGAATGCGAGGTTGGTTTAATAGTCAAAACATGTCAATAAAATATACAATACTAACAAAGGAGAGAGCATATGATTATATTATGGGGAAAATATATTTGATGAAATCCAACATGAGCTGATGATGAAAAGTCTCAGCAGAGCAGAAATAGAAAGGAATTTCCTCAATTTTTGGAGAGTATATCTACAAAAGAACCTACAGCTAACCTCATACCTAATAGTGAAATATTACACACTTTTCTCCTAAAGACGGAACAAGGCAAGAATGTCCAGTTTACTACTTTTATTTAACATTGTATTGGAGGGCCTAGCCAGTGCAACGAGACAGGAAAAAAGAAATAGAAGAATTTACCAAACTAATAGCTCAAAACAGGGCTACAGGACACAAACTCAATATCTAAAACGAATTTTGTTTTATATGTTATCAAACAATTGGAAAATAAAATTTAATTTACAATATCATCTAAAAACATGAGTTTCTTAGGAACACATTTAATAGTAAAACCAAAACATGCAATATCTGTACACTAAAGACTACGTAACACCCAAGGAATAATTGAAGCAAGCCTAAGTAACTGGAGTAGTATGCTGTGCTTGTGTATGGGAAAACTCCACATTGCCATAATGTTCATCCTCCTGAAATTAGCCTATAGATTCAGCACCATTTCAAGCAAAATCTTGGCAGGAATGTTTGTAGAAACTCATAAGCTGATTTGACAATCACATGGAAATGTGAATGGCCTAAAATAGCCCAAACAACTTCAAAAAACATTGAAGAAATGTAGAGGGATTGTACTACCTGATTTCAAAGCTTGTGCTAATGCTTCAATAATACAGACATGGTACTGGCATCAGAATAAGCAGAGAGATCAATGGAACACTACAGAGTCCAGAAATTGACCCACATGTATATGTTCACTTGATTTTTTGACAAAGGTATGAAGGAAATTCAATGATGAAAAGAATTTTTTAATAGTGCAGGAAACATCTAGATATCTGAAGGAAAATAAATTAACTGTGACCTTCTTTTCTGCATAATACACAAAGGTTAATTTGAGATTGATCATAGACTTCAATGTAAAAGGGAAAAACTATAAACTTCTCAAAAGAAAACATAGGAGAATATCTTTGGGAAGTTGGCATAAACTGAGATTTCTCAAAAAGACACAAAAAGTACTAATTGGTAAATTAAATCTTGATAAATTGAATCTTTTCCAAAAGTGAACATTTTTCTTCTCTAAAAGATATCATTAAGAACATACAAAGACAAACCATAGCCTTGGAGAAATTATTTGCAATACCTGTATCTGGCAAAACACTTCTATCCAGAATATATAAAGAATACCTACAATGCAATAATGTATAGATACAACCCAGGAAGAATTGCACAAAAAGCTTTAAAAGATATCTCATAAAAGAATATAAAAGAATGGTTAATGAGCACATGCAACTTTGCCTAATTTGTGTTAGTCATCCCAGAAATGGAAATTAAAACCACAGTGAAACACCACGACACACCCACTGAAATGATTAAACTAAAATGATTGACAACACTCCATCCTGGCAATGCTACAAAGCAACCAAAGCTCTCATAATGGCTATCTGAAATCTAAAATGGTAATCACCACTCTGGAAGACAGAGTGGCAGTTTCTTATAAGGTTAAAAGTACACCTATACTATGAGCCAGCAATTCCCTTCCTAGATATTTGGCCAAGAGAAATTAAAATATATTCTCACAAAAAGACTTGTACAGGAATGCTCATAACAGCTTTATTAATAATATCCAAAAACCAGAAACAGGAAGCCAAATGTTCAACATGACACTAGATAAATAAACTGTGATATCTGTCATACATTGGAATACTGCTTGGCAATAAAAATGAATAAACTGCTGCCACATGGAACAACATATGTGAATTTTAGACATTATGTTTAGTGAAAGAAGCCTGACACAGAATAGTTAATACTGTATAATTCCATTTATGTGCCATTCAGTGAGGGGTGAAATTAGTTTTGTTTCTGTTTTCTTTTGTTTTAGAGACGGGATCTTACTCTGTTGCCCAGGCTGGAGTGCAGTGGTACAATCATAGATCACTTCAACCTCTACTTCCTGGGCTCAGGCAATCCTCCTGCGTCAGCCTCCTGAGTAGCTAGGACTATGGGCATGTCCCACCACGCCTGGCTAATTTTTTTAATTTTTTTTTTTGAGTTAGGGTCTCACTGTATTGCCCAGGCTGGTCTCAAACTCCTGACCTCGAGTAATCCTCCCTCCTTGGCCTCCCAAAGTGCTGGGATTACAGGTGTGAGCCACTGTGCCTGACCCCAAACCAGTTGATGGTGATCTGGTGATCACAGTCTGAGGGGAGAGGGTGGTACTGCCTGGTGGGGGAGTTCAGAGAGAGGGTATAGGAAATGTTCTGTATCTTGATCTGGGTGATTCCATGGGCATATGTGCATGTAAGGAATCCTGGAGCTTTAAACTTAAGACTTACGTGTGCTACACATCTGACTGTATGTGTTTTCTACTTCAGTGAAAACATTTACAATTATAACTTAAACAGGTCCTCACAGCAGTCAGACAGATTGTTTGCATTACAGGTACTGTCTTTTCATGTGAAAATGGAAGTTTAGAAATCTAGAACAGGCTTCAGCTGCTGAATCTTGATACACCTACTGGGGGAAGAAGCAATGGCTAATGACAACAGCTCACACTCATCACGTGTCCATCCTGGGCCAGGCCCCGTGCTAGGCACTTTGCAGTGTTACATCGAAAAATGGCAGTGGGTGCCCAGGCCAGCCAGCAGCATGGAATCCAGGTAGCAGGGTGACTGACAGATGGTGGGGGTGGTCTGTACCAGTAGCCAGGGTCACAGAAGCCTGGCAAGAGGCAAGCAGTGGAGGGCTGGCCCTGAACACAGGCAGATGGGCCCTAGAGAGTCTGGATATTCTATTCACTGGGGAGGATGGACCCCTGGAAGCAGGGCCCCAGCAAGATGGTGAGGAAGGGCCAGTCATGGAGTTGGGCAAATCAGCCAGCAAGATAATGGGACAAGACAGAGCTCAGTTTCAGAAACAGGCAAATCAATGGGGACATGTGACAAGCTCTGGTCTCATGACTGAAGAGCATACAATTGAAGTGACATTTTCCAGCTTACCCTACACCAATTGCTAGTGAGTTTGACTTGGCGTAAGTGACAACACCGCACTACAGTTTCTTGAAGTTCCCCCCTGATTAGGGAGCAGACTTGCCCTGGGGTGAGGCATTACTGGAGGTGGTGGTATTGGGGTGTGCAGAAATGAGCCTGTTATTCTATTTTGCCCTGTCTGCACAAGGCCAGAGGGCAGGCCCTCGTGGTGAGCTGGGATCACAGACATTTGTTGAGTTCCTGCCATAGCGAGGAACTGTTCAGAGTCCATTGTCTTGCCACATAACCAGCAATCTTACCGCAGAACTGAGAAAAGGGACCCCAGAAAGTTGTCAGACCACACGCCCTCACCATTTCTGCGCAAGCTCAGCAGTGGCAGCAGCTTCCTGCCTCCAGCAGCACAGTAGGGTGGGGACATTTCTGCCACTAGAGGCCAAGTGGGGAGCAGTGGCCTTTATTGGGGAGGAGGCATTTAGAACCAAGCATGCAGGTGACATGCATGATTAGGACACAGCAGAGAAAGAAGTGCAGAGAAGGGAGAGAGGGGAGTCAGATTCATCCCCGTCAACGCCTTCACCTTCTCTGGGGGCAGTGCTAACTCCAGCCTGCCTGCTTGCCAGCTTCGTGGCTTAGCGGTGGAGAACCATGGCCACTTACTGACCTAGAATTCCATGTGGCAGCTCTTGGTGACCTGTTCAGATTCCTGCCCCTCCTTCCCTGCTTGCCAGCACCTTGGGCAGTTAGGTAGTGTGGTTCTGGTTTGGTTAGTGGTATTGTAGTTGTTACTGTTGTTTAATCCCTGATATTGTTTCGCTCCTTACTGGCAGGTATCTGAAACCTCTCTCCCTGCCGCTTGCAAAGACATTCATAAGTTTTCTTGAAGTTCTGAAAAGTGAGTGGGTTTTAGTATTCTTAAAGGCTTAGCCAAAAATGTAAGTCCCTTAGTTACGGTAAAATACATAAAAATGCTTAGTTGAAACTTCAAATATATAGCTAAATAAAAAATTAAGGAACAAAATGACCTGTAAACATTTTTATTTTTGCTGACTAGGTCCTTTAAAAAAAATGCTGCTTACCAGTTCTGAGGTGTGAGGATGACAGTTCCTGTCCCCGAGGAACTCTGTCTGGGAGGGAAGGATGGCAGGGGAAGTGCAGGGAGAGGGGACGGAGGAGGGAGCAGCGGGGAGGGAGGAGGCACATACCGTGGGGTGGGCTTGGTGCATAGGGGCTAGGATAGCCGTGAGACTGGAACTGAGTCTGGAATAACAAATGGCAGAGCGTGCCCTGTCCTATCATCCCCAGGCAGAGAGTGGGACTGACCTTTGAGGCAAGGCATGGGGATGTCAGTGAGTGACTGGCAAGTTCAGCCTGGGCGTGAAGCCCATCAGTATCCCATTGGGTCACAGGCTAGAGAGGCTGACGGACAGGGTGATTGGGTGGCGGATGGGCCCACAGTCTTGTGTGCCCTGTGTGAGGCTGTGGACCTTCCATTTCTCCCTTCCCTGTAGGGGTCATGGCCTGATCACATGGGAGTTCTAGGGAGAGCCTTCTGAGGTCCGTGCTGAGAGAGTGACCATTCAAAGGCCGTAGTAACCAAGGGCCCAGAAGAGTGAGGATGCAGCCCGAGCTTGGGTGGTAGCAGAGAGGCTGGAGGGGGTGTTGGTGGGACTTGGGACGCTGTGATGGGGAGCGAGCTGAGGGAGGGGTCAAAGCTGGGAAGAGAGGATGCCATAGTGGAGTTGGAGACACAGAGCCCCAAGGAGCCCCAAATTGCAGTTGGGTTAGCACTTCCCTTGCCAGTCCCTTCTTCACTGGATTTGCCCCAAACCCCTCATGGGGTGGATTTTCCGCATACTATACCCATCACCTCCCACTCACAGCCCCAAGAATGCCTCCTGCAGCTGCCTCATGGGCCCAGCACCAGCTGAGCTGCTGCAGAGATTCAGGAAACAAAGATCTTGAGGCCTAATTTCTTTCCCATATTAAATGTACATTTTTCTGCCTTATGTCAGCTTTAAGCAGTCACTAAGGGCAGTCAGGTTCCATAACATAGTCTTCAGCTGAACGTGAAGATCATATTATTGAAACAAGATCTTTCTAGCTGACCGTACTCCAAATGCATGCTTTGGTGCCTGTAAAATCTATTTAAGGCCTCCTGATTTTCCCCTTTCTATTCCTCCATCCACCAGGACAGTTAAGGAGGAACTTTCAAAATGAGGAAACTGTTAAAAAATGGGAGAAAGTATCAAACATTTATTTACACATCTGTTGTTGGAAATTACCAAGATCAATTTCAGGAGAGTAGAGTTCAAATGCGTGCTAAATGACCAAAAAGAATGGATCATCCAACAATCATTTTCTATTCCGAAAGGCTCGGTAATGAAAACCGGACTCTTCATTTGACACAAAAGGGAAGAAGGAGGAGAAATTGGAAAGTAATATATTCAATTATAGAAGCCCTTTGCCAAGGCCCTGTTGATTTCATGTTCTGACAGTTTCAGTTAAGCCTCAACAGGGAAAAGTTTCAGAAACAGGTCAGATCAAACACGTACCGTTTCCCACTCCTGGAACTCGTGTGTGTGACAAAAATGGTCAAGTCTTCACCAGGCATAGACTTTGTCTTTGGGGTCTGTTTATATTGCCGGACTCCAGACCAGAGCTTGGAAGACAGCGTGCGTGAAAGAAGAGGCTGCAGAGATCCTGGCAGGCCCCGCAACTGCCGTGCAGTGAGTGGCTGACCCCCTGTGCTGAATTTGCTCTATTTCTCTGCCCTCTGAATCCACACTGAATTCACTTTCTTTTTCTTTTTCTTTTTTTTTGAAACGGAGTCTCCCGCTATCACCCAGGCTGGAGTGCAGTGGCACAATCTTGGCTCACTCCAACCACTACCTCTCCGGTTCAAGCGATTCTCCTGCCTCAGCCTCCCGAGTAAATGGGATTACAGGCACATGCCACCACACCCAGCTAATTTTATATTTTTAGTAGAGATGGGGTTTCACCCTGTTGGCCAGGCTGGTCACGAACTCTTAACCTCAAGTGATCCACCTGCCTCGGCCTTCCAAAGTGCTGGGATTGCAGGCATGAGCCACCGTGCCTGGTGAATCCACTTTCTTTTCTGCTCCCACCTGGTGCATCCATCTCTACTCTCACCACCCATCCGTGGGTGGGGCTTCCTTCATGTGGTCATTGCCTGACCAGGCTCCCCGTGCTGTGCTGGTTGCTGGGGTGGTTGCAGTCCTGCCCCAGTCAGAGCAGCGCTCGCATGGCAGCATGTCAAAAGTTTCTGTGGTGGACATGCCGGCTTGGTGGGAGCTCCCAGGAGGATGCCTGAATCACTCTGGGGATGGAGAGCTGGTGGGGGGCTTCCTGATGAGGTGTCTTACATTCTTGAAACCAGGAGGAGGTAGTTAGGTGGTGGAGGGTATTCTGGTGGAGAGAATTGCATGTACAAATATCTGAAGCAAGAGAGTGATGTGTGCTCTGGATATGGTTCAGGATAGCGGGAAGCCGTGTGTGTGTGCACATGTGCATGTGCATATGTGTGTGTATCTTTGAATATACATTTACTGAGACCCTCCCCTGCACCAAACACCATTGAGAAAGATGATATTTTTGCTGCTGTGAACAAGACAGTCTGCTAGGAGCCCCCTTTGTGAACAATGATGTGGGCTCTCATGCAGCTGTGCTGAACCAGCTGTGTTGGGGCCTGGGGACCAGGAGGGCCAGACAGATCGTATTCTTTGGAGCCATATTTATTTGGGTTCCAGTGTGTGACCTAGAGACAGATGTTGAACTCTTCTGAGACTCCTCTGTAAAAGCAGAATGTCTTTCTTACACAGCACTTCAGTGCAGTGCTTGGAACATGGAAGGTGCTCAGTATGTCCTGGTTGCTGGACCCATTCATAGCATTATCAATGCCATCGATCACTTTGGCATTGTGTTTTTCTAGGAAAATGTGTTGTGAATTCCAGCCTTGCACCTCAGGGGCACGCCTCCCTAGACAGGGACTATTTCACCTGCTCCACCTTGCAGAACTGTCACCTGCCACATTCTGAGCAAAGGGAGATTCTGGTGCAGAGGAGGCTGGGACAGGCAAGGGTGGCAGGGGCGAAGGGTAGAGGAGTGGGCCAGTGGAGGAAAGCACCTTGTACTTCAACTCTGACCTGGGCTCAGCATTTCACTGGGTCTCAGAGACCAGACAAGAATCCTGCAGCTGGCCCCCGAATCCGGGATACAGTCCTGTCTGGGCACTTCTCTTTCTCCGTGGGAAACAAGCTGGGAACTGTGGACATCAGGGTGCTCTCTGTATCCTTTCTCCCATATTCCCTTTTTCTCATATGTAGCAGGATGTTGAGGGAGATTTGTTTACCCTGCTGTCTTGGAATTCTAGCTCAGTTTCAAAGCTTAGGGCAAAGGTGCCAAGAATCCCACATTCTCATCTCAGAAGCCACCAGTGAGCCGCTGGCTACTGGGCCCAGCCCCCTTATTCTCTGGGAGACTCTCCTTGAGGACCTGCCACACCTGCCCTTCAGTACAGAAAGAGGGCATCTCAGAGCTCAGGAAGAGAGGCTGCGGGTGGAGAGGGGAGGACCCTCTTCCCAAAGCCAAGCAGAGGAAACCAAGTTTAATAGAGAAAATATCTAAAGATGAAAGGGAGGAATCATTTGGAGTGCAAATACATGAGAGAAGAGTGGAAGTTGAGACACTTGAATTAACCCAGGAAACAAGAGAGAACACCACAAGGAAAAAGAGATAGAAATACAGGAATAAAAATAAAAACGAGATCTGTTTCTGGGGAATGTAAAAAAGAAAAAAAAGAAAAAACTTGGAAGGACCAAGGAATACAGAAAGGCAGAAAAACACGGCAAAATTAAAAATATAGAAGAGTAAAAAAGTGCTTATGTAAGCCCAGAAAAAAAGACAGAACTCATCTAGACCAGAGAGAGAGAGATGAAAAAATACAGAATAGAAAAAATTGTAAAGACGTAATACAGAAAGAAAAATATAGGAAGGCCGGACGTGGTGGCTCATGCCTGTAATCCCAGCACTTTGGGAGGCCGACGCGAGCAGATCACCTGAGGTCAGGAGTTCAAGACCAGCCTGACCAACACTGGCCAACATGGTGAAACCCTGTCTCCACTAAACAAATACAAAAATTAGCCAGGCATGGTGGTGGGCGCCTGTAATCCCAGCTACTTGGGAGGCCAAGGCTGGAGAATCGCTTGAAACCAGGAGGCAGTGGTTGTGGTGAGCCGAGATCGTTCCACTGCACTCCAGCCTAGGTGACAAGAGCGAAACTCCATATCAAAAAAAAGAAAAAGAAAAATACAGGAAGACAGACAAATATATAAAGACCCCTCCTCACACACACACACACACACACACACACAAAGGCACACACAAGAAAGAAAGTCAAACCGGAAGAGAGACAGGAAGATAGAGATGGGGCTGAGCAGATGAGGGATGGTCCCTTCCTGCCCCTGGCACAGGCAGGGGCGGGCTTACATCTGTCAGGATACCCCCAAGGCAAGCAATGGCATCTGGAGGTGCTTCTGGGGACCCCGAGGAAGGCAGCCGCGTGTTCTGCCCACATCAGCCAGTGCAGTCACAGAGAGGTGTGGGCAGGACCCCCAGGGGCCCCCAGACCTCCCAGCCAGGGCCAACCAGGAGGCAGGGAGGGCTCCTAGGGGCCTGCAGCAGAGGGAGGCGAGGGCAGGTACCACTGTGTTGGAGGTGACCACGCTGGAAGCCCAGGCCACTGGCGACACTTACTACAGAAAGGAAAGAGAAGAAAAGGAAGGAGAAGGAGGAAGAAAAAAGACTCTGTGGCCTGGGAAGATCTGGCTTGCGACATTTCCCGTGACTCTGCAAGGTGGTTACTGGCTAGGCAGTTCAGGGCTCACCCCCAAGAGCAGAAAGTGGGGAAGCAATCATAGTGTTGGCCTCTACTTGTCTATAAAAATATTTTAATGTAGCTGCATACTCCATGTCTGTTGTTGAACTCCATATCTGATGGGCGTCATGTGAGAGGGGCAGCACCTGATGTGTGTCGCAAAAGCTGACATCCAGGCTCCGAGACGTCCTTCTGTCTACCAGGTGGGAGTGCAGTTATTGATCAGGACTGGACTCTTTCCTGATGATGCCACCTCTGTGCACAGGGAGATGAGAGGGGAGCGGGGAGATTTAGGAGTAAGCACGGTCAAATCACTCTAAGGACATACAAATGGATCTGGGGCTAGGTACAAGGGGAGGAATGTTTTAAACGCTGCCCTGGACAGGACCCTGAAGAACTCAGAAGGTGGAAGCAGAAATGATGGCACTGGAAAGGCCTGATGCATTCTGCAGAGGATTGTGCACTCCCTCAGGTTTCTGCTCATCCTGTTTTAATCAAAAAATGGGATTTTTTGATTACAGGGAGACATCTGTAGCCCGTGGAAGTGGTATTGGGCTGGAAGGCTGGCATGAGGAAGGGGCCATCTGTGGGTCCGGATGGGTGTGGGGACGTGTGGGAGAAGGGGCCCCATGGGAAATAGTGAGATGCAGAGCATGCTGCTGAGCGTTAGGTGGTCCTGGGTATGGAGCAGGATGGAGGATAATTGCCAAGAGAGACACTGAGCCCCTCAGCGTGGCTGGAGGGCAGAGTGGGCACAGAACACAGGGCTGGAGGAAGGCATGGGCCAGACAGGGAAATTGAAGCTGTCACAGCTGGGGAAGCTGTCACAGCTGGGGAAGCCACCACAGGGGCCTTAAAATGCTGTGGTTGGGAGAAGACCAAGGACACCCAGACCGAGGAGGGACACTCCTAGGCTGCGATGGTGGAAGGTGGGTGGCTGGGCCAAGAGAACATGCAAGGACAATCTGAGCACTCACTCACTCAGTGAACTGCCACCTCAGGCCCAGTGTTTTGCTAGTGCTGGGCACCCTGGCCTCCTGTTGAACAGGTCAAGGAGGGACTGTGATCACCTTTAACAATTAGGGGAGGCAGAGTGTATCAGCTAAAGTGCTTGTCTGCTGTGGTTTAACTAAAGAGGGGCTTGCTGTTCTCCCCCAATGAGAAGACAGAGGTAGGCAGCCTAGGACTCAGGCTGTGGCTCCATGACAAAGAAGGGCCAGGGCTCTTACTCTCTCCGTCCTCTCTGTCCCCAGGTTGTAGATTGAATTCTGTCCTTGAAAAAGATATGTTCAAGTCCTAACCCGCAGTACCTGTGAATGTGACCCTGTTGGAAATAGGGTCTTTGCAGATGGAATCAAATTAGGTCACACTGGAGTAGGGTGGGCTTTAACCCAATATGACTGCTGTCTTTATAAGAAGAGCAGAGACTCATGGAAGAAGGCTTTATGCTGGTGGAGGCAGCAATGGGAGTGAAGCAGCTGCAAGCCAAGGAATGTTGGAGACCACTGGCAACCACCAGAAGCCAGAAGAGGAAAGAAAGAACCTTCAGAGGTGGCATGGAACTGCTGACACCTTGATTTCAGACTTCTAGCCTCCAGAACTGCGAGAGAATACATTTCTGTTTTTAGCCACTAGGATTGTGGTAAGGAGTTACAGCAGCCCTAGGGAACCAATATACCTCCATAGTGCAGCCTTTAAAACTGTTCTCAAGGTCACATGGTGGCTGAGTTCCAAGCAGGTAGGTGCAGAAAGGACAAAGAGAAAAAGGCGGTATCTTGTTATCAGGAAAACAGTAGCTTTTACAGAGGAGCTTCCCGGTAGACAACTGCCTGTTCTCATTGGCAAGGGAGGTTACATGTCTAACCCTAGCGGCTAGGGAGTATGGGGAGGTGAGATTTAAAAAAAAAGAAATCCATTTTTATATATAAAAATTATATAATATATAAATGTATAATAATATATATTACATATAATTTACATGAATTAAAATTAACCAATTTTAAATGTACAACTAACCAGTTTTGACAAATGCATATGTCATATAACCACCACTAGCATCTGGATATAGGACATTTCTGTCACCCACAAAGTTCCTTTGTGCAACTTTGCAGTCAATCCCTTCCCCATCCCCAACTCCTGGAAACTACTTATCTTTCTTTCATTGTAAATTTGCCTTTTCTATAATTTAATAGAAATGGAACAGCTTAGGTTTGTTCCTCTTTATTGTGAAGTGGTATTCGTTTGTGTAGGTGTATACAATTTGTTTACCCATTAAGCAGGTGGTAGATGTACGCACTGCTTCCCGTGTTGGCTATTATGAATAAAGCTTCTGTGAACAATTTTATATGTGACTTTATGTGGACATATGTTTTTGTTTATCTTGTGTAAATACCGAGGGGTGGAATGGCTGGGTTCTTCTATAGGTATAGGTTTAACTTAATCAGAAATTGCCCAGCTGTTTCTAAAGTGGCTGTAACATTTTACACTCCCATCAGCAATGATTTTAGTTGCTCCACATCCTCACCAATACTCGGTTTTGCAAGTCTTACTCATTTTAGCCATTTTAGTGGGTGCGTAGTACCTTCTCATTGTGGTCTTAATCTGCGTTTCTC
This sequence comes from Homo sapiens, assembly GCF_000001405.40. Classification (NCBI taxonomy): domain Eukaryota; kingdom Metazoa; phylum Chordata; class Mammalia; order Primates; family Hominidae; genus Homo; species Homo sapiens. The sequence continues at coordinate 111,025,565 of NC_000002.12, forward strand.
AGATCTTCTTCATGTGTTTATTTGCTATTCATTTTGTCTTCTTTGGTGAAGTGTGTGTTCAGATTTTCTGTCCATCTGTTAAACTGGGTTTTGTTTTCCTGTGACTGAGCTGTAGATGTCTTTACAAATTCTGTACAGAAATCCTTTATTATATGAGATTGCATAGATTTTTGCCTCATCCATTACCTGCCTTTTCATTTGCTTCACAGTGTATTTAAATTTTGAAAACATTCAAAATTTGTGTCTTATCTCACAAAATCTAAACCAAGGTCACTAAGATTTTCTGTTAGGTTTTCATCTAGAAACTTTGTAGATTTAGTGTTTACATTTAGGTCTATGATTCTCTTTGGGCTAGCTTTTGTATATGGTATGAAGTAAAGGATAAGGTTCATTTATTTCTTTGTTTTTTCATGTGGATGTTCAATTGTTTTAGTGCCATTTGTTGAAAAATTGTTTTCCCCTCATTCAATTACCTTGGTACCTTTGTAGAAAATCAGTAGACCATATACATATGTGGCTCTGTTTCTGAACTCTCTACTGTGTTCTATTCACTCATGTTTCTATCCTTACCCCAATACCGTACTGTTGCGTTTACTATAGCTTTATAGGAAGCCTTAAAATGAGGCAGTGTGAATCCTCCAATGCTTCTTTTCTCAAAATGGTTTTGACTTTTCTAGGTCCTCTGTATTCTTTTACAAATTTTCTAATTAGCTTGTATGGTTCTACCATACTCACACAAAATAAGGTCTGCTGGCATTCATTTTGATTGGCATTGTGTTGCATCTATAGATCAATATGGGGAGAAGTGACATCTTAGCAATATCGAGTTCTCTGACCTATGAACACAATGTATAGTTCTCCGTTTTTTTAAGTGGTCTTTTAAAATTTCGTTCTGTGAAGTTTTTTTAGTTTTCATATATAGATCTTACATTTTATAAAATAAAAATATATTTTATAATATAAATATAAAATATATTTTATAAAATGTATCCTTAAGGATTTCACATTTTTGATGCTATTGTAAATGGCATTTTTATTTTGAGTTCCAGTTCATTGCTAGAATATAGAAATACAATTGATTTTTGTATATCAATCTTGTACTTTGTGCCTTTCTTTAACTCAGTAGTTCCAGTAGCTTTGTTGCCAGAAGATGGGCCTTGATTCAAATCCCAAGAGGGGGTTCTTGGATCATGTGCAGGAAGGAATTCAAGGCAAGTCACAGTGCAGTGAGAAGAGATCATTTATTGAAAACTACTCAGTTACAGAGTAGGGTGTCCTCAGAAAGCAAGAGGAGGAATGTGCAGTCTTTGTGTTTTGTTGTTGTTGTTGGGTTTTTGTTTTCGTTTTTTTAAGATAAGGTCTCCCTCTGTTGCCCAGGCTGGAGTGCAGTGATACGATCATGGCTCACTGCACCTTGACCCTCTCAGGCTCAGGTGATACTTCCACTTCAGCCTCCCAAGTAGCTGAAACTACAGGCACCCACCATCACGCCCAGCTAATTTTTGTGTTTTTTGTAGAGACGGGGTTTCACCATGTTGCCCAGGCTGGTCTTGAACTCCTGGGCTCAAGTGATCCACCCACCTCAGCCTCTAAAGTGCTGGGATTACAGGCGTGAGCCACCACGCCTGGGCCATCTTTGTTTTAAACCCTTCTTATATAGGGGTCTTATCTTTGTAAAGGCTAAGCTAAGTTCTGTCTATGTGTGGGAGAGCTGACAGCATGGCAAAATTTACTATTCTGTTGATTTAAAGAAAATTATTCTTTTTTTTTTTTTTGAGACAGAGTTTCACTCTGTCACCCAGGCTGGAGTGCAGTGCCATGATCTCGGCTCACTACAACCTCCACCTCCTGTGTTCAAGCGATTCTTCTGCCTCAGCCTCCCGGGTAGCTGGGACTACAGGTGTGTGCCACCACACCCAGCTAATTTTTGTATTTTTGGTAGAGACAGGGTTTCACCATATTGGCCAGGCTAGGCTCGAACTCCTGACCTCGTGATCTGCCCACCTCAGCCTCCCAAAGTGCTGGGATTACAGGCGTGAGCCACCGCACTTGGCCCCTTGTTTTTTTTATTGAATAAGTACCTCAAAGCATAAATATAATTATCTTAAAATCATATATCGTTATGGTTATTGGGACATCTGGACTTTCCTTTGTTGTAAGATTGTGTTCTTTCAGGTACATTTAAGCTGTTTTCTCAACTGTAAACATCTTATGACCATGGTTCATGACTGGCAAGGAATGTGCCTTGCTAGTTTTAAGATGGAGTTGATTTTAAAATGATGTCACCTTGGTTCTCCTGTGCTCCTATTTCTCTAACAGCTTTATTATATATTTCTTAGGCTGGGCACAGTGGCTCACACCTGTAATTCCAGCAACTTTGGGAGGCCAATGCTGGCAGATCACTCGAGCCCAGGAGTTTGAGACCAGATCCAGCAACACAGCAAGACCCTATCTCTACTGAAAATTCAGAAGAGTTAGCCATGCATGGTGTTGTGCACCTGTAGTCCCGGCTACCCAGAAGGCTGAGGTTGGGAGGATTGCAAGAACCCAGGAGGTCAAGGCTGCAGTGAGCCATGATCATGCCACTGCAGTCAAGCCTGGGTGACAGGAGTGAGACCCTGTCTCAAAAATAAATAAATAAATAAATATTTCTTAAGATTTTTCTACATAGACAATCATGTCTTTTTGAGTGGAGTCAGTCTTACTTACTCCTTTTTGTTTGTTTTGGAGTTTTTTTGAGACAGGGTCTCACTGTGTCACCCAGGCTAGAGTGCAATGGCATGATCTTGGCTCAGTATACCCAGGCTCAAGCAATCCTCCCACCTCAGCCCTCTGAGCTCCTCGGCCTCCCAAAGTGCTGGGTTTGCAGGTTTAAGCCACTGTGCCTGGCCTACTTATTCCTTTTTAATCTCCTTTAATTTCCTTTTCTTGCCTTATTGCCCTGGCTAGAATCTCCATTTTGGTGTTGAAAGGAAGTGCTGATAACAGAATCCTCATCTTCTACTTGAACTTAAGGGGAAAGCACTCAGCCTTTACCTTTAAGTATGATGTTAGCTGACATTTTTTGTAGATCCTCTGCAGGAAAGTATTTTTTTAATTGGCTGTATGGCTGCCCAAATCTATTTGAGGCTTTTCAAGAAAAGAAAGGCGAATGGATATGGGGAAACTTCTTTATGCATTCAGCTCTTTGTCTTAGCTGTGTGATGCTTTATCAGGAAATAGTCATATCTTTTCATTCAAAGATTTAAGTATGGGATGTTGTTGATATTAAATGTGACCATGTGTGATCATCCATCTTTATAAACAGCATGCTTGGGAGGGGCAGGTTTTGCCAGGGAACTAACTCACTCTCAGTCCATTGGGAGGCAGTGTAGCCCATGGTTAGGGATGTGGGCTCAGAGGCCTGGGCACCCTGTTCCAACTCAGCTCTGCAACCTTGTCCAAGTTACTGAACATTTCTGTGTTGCAATTTCCTACCTGCAAAATGAAGATCTTAATAAAATCTACTTCCAGAGCTTCTGAAGACTTAATGAGCAAATACAATTAAGTGCTTAAAACAGAGCCTGTTTTCTGGTGCATTTTTAAGAAGGACTTAGTTGGCATAAGACTGTATTTACACATAGGTTTTCAGTAGCATGTTTATTGCCTGAAGCAAAGAACAGCCATATCATTTTTTAAATCCCCTCCTGGAACCTCGTATTAAGGTTTTTTTAAGATGAGAGAGTTGATTTCTGTTGTTTCACAATATTGTTTGTGCAATACATATATTTTAAAATCTTGTGCATTGCATAGGCAATTAGAGGGTTATAATGGTTGCCAGCAATACTCTCGAAGTTAATGCTGTCTCTGCACTTGGAGGCCGAGCCAGAATTTGACCTTCTGATGCGTTCATTTTGACCACTTGACAGCAGAATGGTGTGTAGAGCCTATACTGCTCCTAGGTCAGCCCATCTGGGCGTGAGGATCACTGTGAAGCCCGCAGTTGGCTTCAGCCTCTTATTTCCTACCAATAAACTCTAATTCAAGGGGACAGAGGCTTCTCAGTCAGTTGCTTTCCTATTCTAGGAATGCTGCCTTTCCATCAGCATGCCCCAAGACCTGGGTGCTCTTCTTCCTGCCTGGGGCGGGTCTGGAGGTGGGGCCAGGGAGCCTCTTGCCAGCAGGGGTGAGGTTACACTGAGCCTGCTCCAATGTCCTGCAACAGCACCAAGATATTGACATATAAGGAAGAGCACTTGGGAGCTGGCTGGTAGGCCTTCAAGGGGCCTTTCCTCTTCACTTGAACTTGTTGTGGTTTTTTTTCCTTTTTCCTCATACTCTGAGGGGTGCAGTTGTAGCCAGCTTTGCACAGGGCTTTCTGCAAAGTTTCCCACCTGAAGTCCCTTCTTCAGGCAGGGGTCTGCATTGCACAGCCAGTTAGTTTTCTGTCCCTGGTTTTCTTTTGATCAGGCCAGTGAAAAACTTACTCTACACATTGAGTTTAAAAAAAAAAAGCAATTAAAAAGTGCCCTTGATTCTATTTGGACACATGTGCACAGTGTTTTATTCTTCTCTGCCTCCCATGCAATGGTGGGGGATAGTCGGTGCATGATTAGGAGGTTAAACCATATTAACTGGGATTTCCTGGTGTTGTCCTTTACAGTGGAATGGGTAGAGCTTCAGCATCTCCTTCCAGAACTTCCAGAAGTGTCTGGCCAGCTCTTGTCCTCCCCCTGCCAAGATGTTCTGCTGCAGGCTGTTCCCTGAGAGTTGCATGCATCTGCCACACCCTTTCAGTTGTAATTGTGACACCAGTGCAGAGAGATATCAATTCAGGGAGCAAAGCAGACATTATCCTTTCCCTCGATTGTCATGAGATGCCCCAGTTAGGTGTGGATCCCGAGGCACCCATGACATTGTCCTCCAAACTGTGCCTGCGGCCCCAGGTGATGTTGCTAAATTATACATGGGTAGAGGCTTTCAGCAGCGCTGTTTTTCCACCGGAGCACAAAGCACTGTGTTACAGCAGGGATTTTACATGTGGATCTCCAGGCCCCGCAGAAACCGCAGAGCTGCAGGGAAGCAAGTAACTATTTAACTGAGAGGGCACGTCAGGGTGTGAGTTAAATACAAATGAGAAGCAGATACATTGAGTGTAACTTTCTATTTGAGTTATTTCCTTGAGCACAAAAAAAAAAATGCTAAAAGTTTAAGTATTAAACCCATGTGGTTTTCGAAACAAAGAAAGTCAAGAAGGAACAAAGAAAAGTTTTACGGGCCACATTTAACTCTCCTGTCTGGTCAGATAAGAATCTGAGACCTTCAGCTCCTCCTAAATGATGGTAATTACTAGTTTTGTGATTCGGTATCTTTCTGTTCTCTGTGCCTTCTTCATTCTTATTTTACTCTAGTTATATTAATATGTCCTCACTTCCCTCCAACTAAAACACAAAGCAAAGAAAAAAGACTCGCTTCATTAGAGTGATTGAAAGACTATCTTGCACAGAGTAGATGCAGAAAAGCTATTTGTCACATGCATAAATGACATCCCCATCACTCTGGATCCTATCTCCAGGTTTATGTTAATTCCTCACATATATCAAACATGGCAGCTAGTCAGTGCCAATTCTTGAGACATAACATGTTTGAGAAACACTTTGGAAACAAATGGAAGCTCCTGACTGCAAGGGAAGGAAGGAGGGAACGTGGGCTGGTTATGTTGAGGATTAGATTCAAGTAGTTTGTTCTGGTATTTTGAATTCTTCAGGCAGTAAGTGACCCAATCAGAACAGCCTCACTTGATCTGTGCCTGCATTCTCCCCTTCACGTGTTTCTCTAACGTCTGTGACCTCCATTAGTATAAATTAATATAAGCATGGAAACAGGGCTTCTCTACATGTATGATATTTATTCATCTAACAAGCAGTTTTTGCAGGTCACAGAGGCCAGCCTACAGAAGGTTCTGCACTGTGTCCATGCTTAATGTAGTACTGAAAATTTGGATGTTTGCCGTCTGTCTTGCTATTAAGTTAGACTCTCTCACAATATCCTCAATGGTGATTTTTCTTCTGTCGATTGGACAGGTAAAGACCAAGAAGGAGGATTTTTTCCATGCCTGGAACTCGTGTCTGCACCACGTGGCTTCTCTGTCCCTGGCACACACTCACCGAGGTCAGTTGGCTCCTGTTGAATATTTGTAATTGAGTGACTCAGGGGTCTACGGGTCCCTGGAGACACAGCTCTGCAGGGAAAGGACAGTCCCAACACACAGGGAAGGGACAGTCCGTGTGTTGAATTTAGGGCCCCAAGTGACTTACAGAGACTTGAAGCTTGTGGTAAATCAACTCCCAACTTACTAGGAACACTGACCATATGACACCCACAAAGCCTGATGCTAAACCAGTCAGGAACAGCTCACTTAACACAACCTGACAATCACACGAAGCACTTGACAGGAGCCAGTTGGCAAAATGCCTGTCCCTCAGAAGTGGCCCTCTGCCTGACCATGATCTCGTTCCTAAACGGGAGGGTGTGCACACAGATAAAGTGAGAGTGTTTTAACAGGGGTCCTGCCTGAGGAATTTTAAGTGCCAGAATTACTTAGACCTCATCATCAAATTAGCAAGAAACTGGGTCAACCTTCTAAAGCAGTGGTTCTCAACCAGGGGCAATTTTGCAACGTTTGGATGTTTGGCAATGTTTAGAGACGTTTTTGGTTGTCACACTGAGAGGGGTAGTGCCACTGGTGCGCAGTGGGTGGAGGCCAGGGATACTGCTAACATGCTACAGGGCACAGACCGCTCCCCTGCAACCAAGAATTATCTAGCCCCAAATGACAGTAATGCTGAGATTGAGAAACTTGAGTATTCATTTTGGCTTCAGTCGACCAAAATAGCAAAATAAAATGAAACACTGAACACCAAGTAAGATCCATGACGGCTTATCATTGAAATTATTGTTTAATTTCAAGAATCGTCAGTTTGTTTCTCATCATGTCCTGATCTATGGGAAGAAGCTGTTAAAAGAGAAAGGCCAGTTGTTCACTGAGTTGGTAGCTTTATGGGATTTTTCATCACACTGGGTCACTGCTGGCCCTGGGAGGGCTGGGTTTGGTCATACCACAGCTTGCATCTGGGGCACTATCTCATGGGATGGAGATGGGCTCCTCGGTGGGATCAGGGCAGGTATTATGGCCAGGAACCTAGGAGTGTGCCTGCGTCCAACACAACCTCCCAGCCTGACCATCCCCCTTCCTCCCTGACTGGGCAGTTCCAAAAGAGCAAAGTGCATGTGATTCAGTGCCATGTGACTATACCTGCAGGAATGTGTGGGAGCCGCCCTAGGAGCTCTGATGAGAGCTGGATTGGAGTGAGTGCTTTAGGCTCAGACTGAGCCCAGCTTCTTCCTTCCTTCTAAGGACCAGCTCTTGGGACCTTGCACCTTTGGGTGAGCCTCCTAACACAGGGCTCTGGAGTAAACGTGCCGAGAGCACAGGTTTCTCATGGGACGGGAAGCAGGGGCCCCATGGGAACACCTCCCCAGAGACTGGTCTCCACCCAGTGACCACACTCTGAAATGACCATGACCGCATTGGCCTTCCTGATTCTGACTGAGTTCCACTTTCTGCTTCCTGGGACATGGAGGAGGAGCGAGGAGAGGGACCAGGAGCATCAGGGACTATGGGTCATGAAGGCACAGGATTGGGTCCCGTCATTTGCAGACTCAACATTTTTAATGTATTGCCCACCCACAGTGTATCAGGCTCAGAGAAACTGACTTATCTTAATTGAACTCAAAAATGAGTCATATTTAAATCTAAATGCCAGTTTATTCATCAGAAAGAAAATCCAGCCACCAAGTCATCAGTACATGCCCTATCTGTTCTACGAGCATATCTTCAGATAGAATTCAGTTATAATTAGGAGGTTGCAGGAAGTCACACTATCAAGACAGCTCGTGTCCTCAGGCCTGGCTGGAGATCTGAGTGTCCCCTGTGACCTGCTCCAGACCCTAGAGCCCACAGTGTGTCTACTTCCCTGGACTATCTCCATACACTCAGCATCAACCTCATTCCTTTAAGAAATTTATGTAAACCACCCTTCTTCTGTTGGTGGGTTATTTCTTCAGATTTGCCGATCGGGTTGAAACATATCTGGGGTATGAAACAGTACTTGAGACACCCTGATTGAAGGCGACTGTGTCTTGGGCCTTCTCATTCACTGTAGGTAGACTTGTACTGGCTTCACTCTCAGGGGTGGTGTGGCCCTGGCTCCTCCCTCTGGGCCCCTATGTACTGACCACAGATATCGCCCTTCCTGGGACATGAGGATGGACTATATGGACTCCTGGTGCAAAACTTCTAAGCATTCAGAAATGTGATCAAGTTTGAAAAGGAAGGGGGAAGTCAAAGAATCACTGCACAATTCATTTCACCTTAGAAACATGACAGTTGAGCCTTGGGCTGCACAGCCTGCTTGCTGAGAGCACAGTGGAGCTTAGTGAGGACTGAGGATGGGGGCTCTGGAGTCAGGTCACCAGGTTCAGATCCCGGCTTTACCTCTACCAGCTGTGTGACTGTGAGTGAGTTACAAACCCTCTCTGAGCTTCAGTTTCTTCCTCATTTATAAAATGTAGAGAGCATGATATTTACCTCGTGGGGCTGTTGGAAATATTAAATGAGACAACGCTCCAAAGCTCTTGCCTTTGCATCTGGCTCTTTGTTAATGTTTAATAAAACCTTTTTATTACTGCTAATCACTACTCTAGGAAAACCTTAGTTCTTATAACCAAAGTAGAACATTTTCGACCTTGTTCCTTAAAGGGAAGAAAAAGAGGAAAATGAAACAGGTTAAGTCTGAGTGTATGAGGTCTTCACACCCGGAGAAAATATCAAGGATTTGATGATGGCACAGTACAAAATAAATCCAAATCAACCCTGAACCTTTTATTGGTTCATAACCACAGTAGCACAAGTGATTATTTTCAGGAAACTGGCTTCAGGTTCAATGTCAGATAAAGAGGACTTGGAAGTATAAAGAAAGTAATGGAAGAAAAATCATAAGAATTAGTTCAATGACAGCATTTAGAAAGCCCAGGAATGTTTTGAAATCGAGAAATCCATCTGTAATGAGGAGGTCTGTACAGAACGGGTCCTAAAGATAAGGATGCACTAAACATAACACTAGCCAGTAAAATTTCACCAGCGTATCATTACATTCAAATAGCATGTTACCCTCTGGCAGAGGCCTCCAGGGGATGGGAGAAGAAGTAGAAGGAGCCCATCTGTCTTCAGTGACCAGACCCAGATGTTGCCTTTGGAGCCTTTTGAAGGAAGAATGCATAGGAAGGAAGAGAAGGATCAGTCTGTTAAAGCACAGTCTTTTTTTTTTTTTTTGACGGAGTCTCGCTCTGTCGCCCAGGCTGGAGTGTAGTGGCATGATCTCTGCTCACTACTCTGGGGACTACAGGTGCCCGCCACCACACCCAGCTAATTTTTTGTATTTTAGTAGAGACGGGGTTTCACTGTGTTTGCCAGGGTGGTCTCAATCTCCTGACCTCGTGATCTGCCCACCTCGGCCTCCCAAAGTGCTGGGATTACAGGCGTGAGCCACCGTCCCCGGCCTAAAGCACAGTCTTAATGTCACCCCAGATGACAATGAACTCAGAATTTAGCCATTTTTATTAGGAACAAATGGAAAAACACCTTCTGGCATCTGTCTCCGTTTGTCACCTGAAAACTAGGGAAAACCGTGTTTGAAATAAAAATGTTAAGCAGTCTCTGGTGGTTTCCGTAGTGGGATGTAACTGTTACAATGATAAATCGTTATTTTTCTGTGATACACATTTTTGTCTTGCCCTAGAAAGTGCAGCTCTGAAGCCTTGGTGCTGTCTGAACCCCTAAGGGTGTACCAATTCCTAAACAAAAAAGGAGAAAGGAGGCACTTTTATTAAATAAATTACATCCACTACTTTCCAGCTCTGTGCAGAATTGTCTCTTGCTTTTCTCATTCTCGAAGCTTGTGAGTACTTCTCATTATGCAGCAGGAAGTCCTCTTTCTGGTTCTTAATAAAGTGACTAATAATTTAGAATGTTCATATTAAGAGCAGGTTGTAATTATAATTAGAATATATAATAATGTGGATTTCTGCCTATTGGGGATTAATTTCAGACTCCTCTCAAGGATGTATTTGTTTTGAAACAAGACTTTCTTTGTTAATAAAAACATGATCGCATGCATTATTAAAGCATTATTTCTGTATGTTATCCATTAGTGCTTGTTGCAGTATTCTTCCCGGGATCAGCATTTTCCTCTCAGTTGTTAGTGGGGCTATTCTTTATATAAACTACATTCACCTTGGTTTAGCTTTAGCTTTGACATTCATCCTCTAGGAAATTACGGGAATATCCCTACCGCCTCCTCAAATGTGCATTACATTATGCAAGCTCAGATAAACAAAATGCCACAACATCAGCCAGTAGTCCTGTGTGAATCTAGGTACTTTCCCCTTTTCACTCAACTAAATCCAAGATCATGAAGGACAAACCCGACTTGGGGTAGAACCAGAAGTTGTAAGACAACACTTCTCATTCTTTGACTGTTGGGTTTCTGCAGTGTTTTTCTGTTACTACTGGAGGTGGAGGCCTGGAGGGGAGGGGAAGAGTGGGAGGACCAGAGGTGCTAGTTGGCTGTGACACCTGTGTGCCTTCCTCTCCCCCAGTACCCATCTGCTGGTGTGTCTAACTTTAGAGAAGTCTCATGTGGCCCCACACAAGTGGCCTGAGGGAGGGAGGAAGGGAGGGAGGTAGGGAGGGAAGGAGCCCTGGGTGCCACTGCCCCTGCTTCTGGCCCCTGTCTTTGTCTAGCACCCGTTAAATGTGTGGGCAGTGGAAACCAGTGAGAAGGTCTGTTGCACCAAGAATAGGCAGATGGAATTCACTGCCAAATCCCAGTAGACCCAGCATCTTGGAGGTCCCAACATTGGGGAAGAGAAGGAATGTCCCCTGGCTTTGTTTTCTCTACTTCAGTCACACGGCCAAATCCTAGGCCTATGAGCAGTGCCTTTGGGAAAAAGGTGAACCTGGGAGTTGAGGGTCACCATTTCAGAGAGTGTGTGATGGCTGGGAGCAGCCTGGGGAGTCGAGGGAGTCCAGGGACACTGGGTCTCTGATGCTTGAGGTCTGGAAATCCAGGAGCTGGCAGAATATGGAGGGACACGAAAGTGAGAACTCACCTTCTGACTATACTCACACACAAAATTGCTTTGAGAGAGAGCGACGAAGCTTGTGGCCAATTGGAAGTCGGAGGGAGGCGCCTGGTGAAATGGAGACCAGCAGAAGTAGGAGCATGGAGGTCCCTTGTGCTCACATCAAGGAGGGCTCTTAGACAAAAAAGATGAGAAGGAAATTTGACTGGATGGAAGCATCGTAGTATGTAAAAATCTGGCAGAGCATGCCACTTTGCCAAAGTGGATTTTAATTTCATGGCACATTGGCCAAGAGACATGGGAAGAGAAGGTTTAAGAACACAGACTGCCCAACATGCTAGTAGCTCTGTGAAAAGCTCTCCTCTGACATCCTGCAGGTTGTGCCCGTCGGTCTTCATGCTGGGGTTCCCTCCCCAAGCTTCTCCATCTCCCCAAGCCATGTAGTTGAACTTCAGGTTTGGGTCAGCTGGGCCCTAAGAAGACCCCAAATGCTGTTTTCTGAAGAAGTGCTGTCACACCCCTGAACTTGGGAGCTTGTCCCTGAAGAAAGCTGTCTTTAGAGACTTCACTGACTCACTCTCCTTTGAAGGAAGTGAGAAATTCTGAGGTGGTTTTTTATCACCAGTGACCTGAAGACTCTGTTGCCCTGGGGAGAGGGGGAAGAAAGGCAAAAGCAAAGTCTGACACCCGAATGATGTGTGTTTTATGGAGGACTCTCAAGAACAGAAGTTAGTGGCTGTACTTGACCTAGATGCTAATGAAATGCCACCCTTTGAGCCCAGTCTAATGGCCAACACACAGCCATCTGTGTAATAATCACAGCCATCACAGCCATCTCCATCTATAGAAAATATTCTCTTTGCCAAAGACTCGCTAAATGCTTGGCCCTTGTAATTTGTTTAATCTCCACAACAACCTTGCAAAGCCCACTGAGGAAACTGAGGCTCAGAGGGGTGAACAACTGCTTGGGGTCACACGCTAATAAGCTGTGGCGTTATGACTTTGCCCCGGGGCCAGTTAACCCTACAGCTTTCCCCAGACAGACAGTGGAGCTCCTCAACCCCATCCACCGCACTCTTTAAGAGGTTTCTTTCCCACAGATGAATCCCAGAGAATGGGGGTTCTGGTGTTCTTGAGTTTTTGAAAGTCTTTCTTTGTGCATTTATTTATGGTAAAGTTAGCACGTACTGCTTCCTACTACTCTTACTGGATTTGCCTCCGAACAATGCTTCTTGTTTTTTTCTATTTCACAGAGTTTCTGTGAGGATTAAATGAAATAACATGGGTGGAAGCCCTAGGACCGTATGGAGCAAAGGGAGCCAACATTCAGTGAGGGCTCAGCCTATCAGGCCCTGTGCAAAATATTAGGGACAGAGCAACTCTAATCCCCCACTAGGCAGTGAGGAAGGAACCACTGCCTTCTCAACTTTCATCTGAGGAAACCGAGGCACAGAGAGGTTAATGAGTTGTCTAAGGTCACACAGTTAAAAGAGGCAGAAGGAAGACTCAAATCCCAGCAGGCTGCTACCATCTGCCCATGTTGCAGGGCTCCCAGTGCTCGTTGGAGCTGAATCTGGGAGCTCAGCATTTCTAAAGAAGCAAAATAAAATAAAAAATAAAATAAGCCCTTCCCACTTTTTAAATGTGTTTCCCACTTTTTAAATGTGTTTTCGCTCCTTTGTTTCCCACTCTGTGATCAAAAAATTGTACATTGTATGATGGACTGCAGAGATCTGGTCTACAGCCCCTGTTCATTTAACTTCTAATATCTAAGTAGTTTCAAAATATGGTTACATTAGTACCAAAATTGATGGGCAAAAGTAACACCAAAAGTAAAAAAAGAAATTATTTGCACCAAGTATACTGTATTTGTGAGTTTTCCACTGGGAACAGGATGGAGAATAAGACCTTCCAAACGGTGAATAAAAATAAAAGTATAGGAACTCTTGATTTATCATACACACTCTAGATATAATTTTGTATTTAAAAATATTATTCCATACCACATATTGTAAAGTTAAATATGTTTGCAGTAAACATACATTTAAATTTAGGTTTTAAAGGACATGTTCTAATCTCACAAAACATTTAGCAAATAACCTTTGAGCTCACATGAGCCACCCACACAAAAACCAAAATGAACTATAGAAAAAAAACATAGAAAAAGCAACTGTCTGTTGACAACCAGATTTTCTTTCAGCTCTTTGAGTTTTTCTTCTATAAATAATCTGTATGTTTCAAATGTGGCCATCTTCTTTAAAGGTGCCTCCTGGCATGTTCTCATTTCAGTGTGTCTTAAAAACAAGAATTAAATGTGTAAATCATGGAAACTATTGAGTTTTTGGAGGGGAGATCTTTAAGATACATGCTTTTTAGAAACCAAAAGTGTCAAAATGAAGCATTAAGATGATGTATTATTTCTTCAATGCATCTGTTTATCTTTTGTGAAATCTCAAGTTTGATAAATCACCAGAGATAAAAACATCATTTTTAACCTATCAGAGATCACAAGTGCCAGGAGGAAAAATAGTGCTTTGTCTCCTCTTTATGAATTTACCTCTCTCTTTGCTTATGACTTATGAGATTTTATTTGCAGAGAAAACATAATGCTCTATTAACTTGAAAATGATGGCTTTTACTCGAAACATGAGAACCAAAAAGAAAAAAAAAAAGGCAGCGTTTATCCTCTGAGATACAATCGTTTAACAAGTTTTGATATCTACTTAAAGTGGCACAGAATGTTAGAGGGGGAATATGTTAACAAGGTAATTAAAAGTGAGGTTTTCACCAGTATTTCACCTTTGTCTACTGACACGTAGAATCTCAGCTCTGGCTTATCAAAGCAGATATTGAATACTTTTGAATTTTTATATAACATTAGTGTAAGTAGAGATTGCTGGCCCCTATCTCTTGTGATTCTTTTTTGCCCCTGAAAATCACTCAGAAGTTCTCCCTTCATTGGCCACCTGGAAAATAAGATAATTCTCGTAGATTTTTATAACTATGGGTGAAAATTCTTCTGTGTCCAGGAGTGCAGCAACAAAGGACTTTGCAGTAGAGCTGGCTTCTAACCAGTTCTTTCTGTGAGCTAGAAGATTAAAGTGCACGAATCATGCAAGTAGGTTAGTCTGGAAAACATAACACAGCAGAAAAAAATGGCTTTCAAAAATGTTCAGAACAGCTGTTTCTCAGTATGTAAACCAGCCTCTTGGTGCAGTGGATATCAGAGTTCCTTGCCTTGTGCATATTTTATCATTCTTCGATCCTGAGCAGTTTAAGACAAAATAAATTTTATGCAAACCCATTCCAGGCCATGGGCATGCAGTTGAGTTTTTCTAGCAATTGTGCTATTTTAAGGAGACACCCAGGTTCTGCCCTAACACCAGAGGTGCCTAAGGTCGCAGCTGCTCAGGACCTGTGGCAGCTGTGAGCAGCTGAGCTCAGTTTGCTCTGTTCTTTCTTCTTGCAAGAATCACACAGACCATGTTGGTCCTATGGAATAGAATCACAATATTGCCTCAGACCATAGGACCAATACAGCAGAAGGTCCTGAGAAGCTGCGGCTTGCTCCATCTCTCAGCCTCCTACTGCTGCATGAAAAATAAACCTTGTAACTATGGAGCTGCCCCTCCTGAATCTGACATCTACTCAGTTATCCTTCGGAAACAATCCTGATGTGGAGCACCCTTCCTCATTCCCTTATCCACCCTTCTCGCCCCATATTTGTTGAAGTCCTGCCTTGTGCCAAGGACTGTGTTACACTCCAGGAATAAAAGGTCCAGTATGAAACAGCCCCTGCTCCCAAGGAGCACTGGTGAGAACTGAGATGAGAGCCCCCATAGACTAGGAGCCCTGAGAGAACACGGAAGAGACACAAGCTGGGCAGGGGGTGCAGGGTCCACGCGGCTCCCCACGAAGTTCCAGTGAGGCAAGCAGCATTTGAGACTTTGCCTTTTGAAGGGCAGGTAGAATTTAGCTATCTGGAAGGTGGAAAGGACATTCCGAGCAGATGGAAGAACCAGGAGGGAGGCATGAAGTGCGTGGATGACTTGGGAAAGTGCTTGTGGCTTGGTGTGGTCGGGGTGTAGGGCCAATGTGAGGGTGAACAGCAGGGTCCCACAGGGCCTGAGTGCCAAGGCCCGTAGCTGTCATTGTCAACTCCCACTGTCAGTGGGGAGTCTTGGAAAAAGCTTTGGGAAGATTTCTTCAGGTGTGGAGGTGAACAGCTCTGAGGACAGGAACTGAGGAGCAACAGCAGCAGGCCTGCGTGGAGGGGTGGGTTCTGGAGGTGCGAGGGCAAAGGGGCCTGGAGGGCCTCCAGGTGGAGGGTGAGCTATGAGGAAAAGCCAAGGGCTTCTTCTGGGCACCAAGGTGGAGAGGAGAGAACTGGGTCCAACTCAGCTTGGACGTGTGGCGCATGCATGACCTGGGGCCACACATGCAGATGCCGAGACAGGCGCGTGGCAGAGAGGACTGCAGGGCCTCGTAACATCCAGGTCCTGAGCCTGAGCACTATATTAAATGGGAGGGCGAATCGCTGCAAGGTGGAAAACAGGATCAATGCCACGCATGAGGCAATTGCAGCTGTCCTATCCATTATCTTCCCAATTTAAGTGTGACACTGGAGTCCACAGTGTTTGTTTCCCAAAATTGGCTGACTCTTGTTCCGCTGATGGGACAGTGGTGGTTGTGATGGCCTCCAGCTGAGCGTTAGTGTCAAAGTTGTCCTTCCATGCAGGTGAAGGGGGATCTGCAGGTGGGACAGAGCCGGGCCATGGGGAGGCTCACACTGGCTGCTGGAGATGACACTGGGGAAAAGATGTGGTGACAGTGGCTGCCGCCTCTGGCTGCCCCCGGCTCTACACCTTGCTCTTGGCTAAGACTGGAGCAGGCCCCAGGAAGCAGCCTTTGGCCATGGTGAGCCAAGGCCATGTCAAATAGGGGACAGCGTGCCACTGTCCACCTGGGGGAGGGCAGCCCCCTGCACACAGGGAGTCCGTGGGCTCCAGAAGGGGTCCAGATGAGCTGTGCCGTCATCTCTTCCTGAGTGAATGGTGCATTTGCCCCAAGCTGAAAGGGCTCTGCCATTCAGGAAAGCAGGTGACCACTGTGCTCTGTCTCCCGACTTTGTGCCTGAGCCAAAGACTACAGATTGTTCCCTTAGCAACCAGCAGAGAGCCCTAAGAAGGAGGATGAATGTCTCGGGTTTGCAATGCCCCCCATGTGGAGAGAGGGCAGCTGCTTTTCTCCCTGAGCCCAGAACACGGCAGGCAGGTTGGGCTCCTTCAGGCCCCCCAGCCCCTTTGGGAACTGCTCACATCTAGGATTTTGCAACCAGTTCTCCACATTTCACTCCCATGGTGCAGTCTAGAATAAAGACTTCTAAGATGTCAGTCAGCCCCCATTACGTTCCCATCCCTGGGACTGGCCAAACTGGCATTTTGCCTGCCTAGGGAAATACAGTCTTAGTCTTAGTCTTAGTATAGACTCACTTAGTTTATTTGCTTAGAAGGTTTTCAGTACCTCCTATTTGCCAGACTTAGGACTCAGATTATCAGAACAATGTGACGCTTTTCAATCCAGCAGAGGGAATAGGATGTGAACACAGCGCCCACACACACATGGAGCAGGAGAGCCTGTGAGAGGTGCAGGCTCCCTGCACGGCCACAGGCTCCCACGTGGTGTCACAGAAGACCCATTGGTGCTGGGTCTTGAAACATGCATAGGTTCCCGAAGGTGGGGACGTGGCTCTGCAGGATGGGAAGAAGCCATAGAGTGGACAGAAGTGGAGGTGGCAGAGTGAAGGGCTTGAACAGGGAATGACAAGGGGCCTGCCTTATCAGGAGGAAGGTGTTTGGGAGAAAGGCCAAGAAACAATATTGAGAGAATGAGCCTGGAAAAGTGGGCCAGGGTGGGTCGTGAGGTGTGCTGGATGCTACATCATGGAGCTTAGCCTCTGCTGGGCAGCAGTAGCTGGCCAAGGAAGGGAAGGAGTTGGAGAGTGACCATCACACCAGGACTCCCTGGAGGGAAAGTTTCCTGGCTTCGGGGGATGCGGTGCTTTGGAGAAAGAGACCCCAGAGTGGAGCTGGATGGAGGATGGAGACCAAAACAAGTGGATGTGACCAGCAAGCCAGAGGACAAAGATCTGCAAAGAGGTCGTGGCAGTGGGGGTCGAAAGGAGGGTTGGCATTGGAGGAGCAGTGGCCCATTGCCATCCTGGAGGAAGCTGTCCCTTGGGAAGTGCTGAGATCCCAGTGTTCGGAGCAGAAAACATGTTGAGACTTAGTTGTAGACCAAGAGCTTGTCTGCCAGAGAAGAGATGCATGCTGGCTCCTGTGGGCTTTCAGTTGTGGGGCCAGAGAAAAGGAGGGCCACATGTGTCATGCTCTGCCGCTCTCTGGAACAGAGGTGCTTTCTGACAGGGCAGGCTGGGGGACAGTGAGCAGGGCCCTCACCCTCTCGTGGAGGTCCCCCGAGGGCCAGCTCCACACCCCCCACCACATCTCAACGTGCAGGAGACTGGCTGCACCATGACTGCTGGTTGCGAAGAAGTTAAAGGCCCCTGTCAACCCTCCGTGTTGATTCTGAAAACAAAGCCAGAGTTCTTTCTGCAAAACGAAGCCTTTTTGTTTCTCTCTCTCTCTTTCAACATTTCCCTGTTGTGTTATGAAAAAGAGGTGGGTGGGGGACTTCAGAAGCTGTCTGGAGTGGCAGACAGCTCTGCAGGATGAGCTGAGAGCGCCGCAGTCACACACAGGTGGGAGGAGAGGGCTGAGGGACAGTGGGCGCAGTGTCCCACCTCGTGGTGCGGTCAGTGGAGAAGGAGTCATCGATAAGGGGCCCCTGGCCAGGAGCCTCAGATATGGCTGCTGGGGAGCTTGACCCTCAAGGCTCTCAAGGAGAGGCTGGTGAGGAGACGTGGGGCCCTCTACTTCTGGTGCCAGGGAAGCCTCAGTAAGGGAGGTCGCTGCCTCTAGAGAAGGCTGCCTGGTTCCCAGCAATGCTCAGCCATCAAACTCCTCCAGAGGAGCTGTCCATGGAGGGGTAGGTGTCAGCCCCCATATTTCTGCCACAACTAAGAGGAAGCTGGCTTCCTCATCTTCACTGTAGGTATCTGAGATGAGAGCCACATTTCCCTACCAGACTGAAGCTCAGCTGGTGCAATCTCCTCTTTCCAGGGACCTGGTATTTTAGTGCCAGGTCTTCCTTCCCTACCAGGAAGGAGCCTGCCCCTCCTATGTGGGGCCCAGGGCAGAATTACAAAGCAAGCTTACAACATGTTGAAGAAAATCTACTCTGCCCTCCTGCCCTGACAAATGTAGCTTTGTTCATCCAGAAGGCCAGATTCGAATTTAGAATGCCCAGGCTCCTAGCAGTTATGTGAACTCTGCAGCATGGTGAGAAGCAGCCCTTTGGCCCACCTCTCTCTCATTGCACCTCCAGGTCTACCCTACACTGTGCAGATCATCTGGTCTAGACACTCAAGGTCTGTCCACATCCCTGCAATCAGCTGCCCCTTGGCTACCCCATGGGTCTAGAGTGGACACGGCAGTGGTGTGGTTCCCCAGTAGCAACACATCGCAGAAAAGAGGCTTAAGGTATTTGGGTCAGGAAACAAGAGAACTGGTCCCTGGAGGAGTGGGTGCAAGTTCCAGGTGGGCAGTACCCATAGCCCCATGGGCAGGGCCCTCTAAAGCTTAGCCGCAGGGGCAGGGCCCCTATTATCGAGGGCCCTGGCGCAAAGATTGCGAGAGAAGCTGAAAGAACATTCTGAGACGGGATTTCTGAGCACTGAAGCCCCAGGTGCAGGTTATAGGTCAGGGTCAACTGTACCTGCTAACTTAGTGACAGGTGCCCAATCTGACCAGCAATATTTCAAGAGGAAAATCAGTACAATGGTATTGTGGGTTTGCTTTGTTTTGTCTTCCCCCTTATTCGAAACAGCATATTATAATGAAATTTATTCTAGGTGCAACCATTTCCTTGGGTGTTAGGTATCTCCCATTTTGTAAGGTTCTACCTTACAGCAATGACTGCAGGGGATGAGGCCATTGTAGATCATTTACTGCCGACCATTGCAGCAGAGGAAACCTGTTTCATGCTGCTCCATATTTTTTTCTCCCAAATGACCATTGTTTACTTGAATCAGGTGTTTATTTCCCTATGCTTCCTCTCCTTGATCCCCAACCTCAAAGCCACTTGTTATCTAAAAGTCTCTGGTTCTCCCTTCTTTTGTCACACAAAGGTGGAAAAGTCCAACCAAGGAGAACTTAACTCTACTCAGACAGGTGGAAGCCTCAGCCTCCCACTACTGACATGAACAGTACTGGGACACTTAGGCGCAGTTGAGACATGTTGAAGCAAGAAAGTGATTCCGCCAAGAGTCCCTTAGGGAGACTCATGCCCCAGGGAGACTTTGCATTTTGTTGGCACTAGTTTGGCTGTGTATCTTATTTTCATTAGGCAGTCGATCCCTTGAATCAGCAACAAAGGTAGAAGAAAGTAGATACGACAACTGCTTTCATTTTGAGGTTTTTTCCTCCTATTTAAAAGTTGGGGAGGAAGAAGGGAGGGGTCATGAAATGTCAACTTGTCATGAGGCTTCTCTTGCAAGTTGTCACTGAATCAGC
This sequence comes from Homo sapiens, assembly GCF_000001405.40. Classification (NCBI taxonomy): domain Eukaryota; kingdom Metazoa; phylum Chordata; class Mammalia; order Primates; family Hominidae; genus Homo; species Homo sapiens. The sequence continues at coordinate 111,045,382 of NC_000002.12, forward strand.
TGTCAGGGAAAGTGGCCGCACAGACCTGTTCTCATAGTGAGTGAGTTCTCATGAGATCTGATGGTTTTATAAGGGGCTTTTCCCCCTTTTGCTCAGCACTGCTTCGTGCCGCCACGTGAAGGACGTGTTTGCTTCCCCTTCTGCCATGATTGTAAGTTTCCTGAGGCCTCCCCAACCCTGCAGAACTGTGTCAATTAAACCTCTTTCCTTTATAAATTACCCACTCTCAGGTATGTCTTTATGAAAACCTAATGGTTTTCACCCCCTCTTCTCTTTTGGGATTTGGTAGAAATGAGAGTGGGGTGAGGGGAGAGAGAAACCTGCACTGGCATAGTAGCCTGTGTCACACTGACATCTGGGGTGAGGGGAAAAAGCCGAGACATAGGTGCATGCTGCTTTTGTTGGGCCTCTGTTCTGAAGGTTGGTTTTTGTCATCTGTGTAGAAAGGGCTGTAGGCTGCTAGCCCCATAAAACTCAGCCAGCCCACGAAGGGCACTGGACTGAAGTGTGGCCTTGTGTTCCTACACGTGCACTTCAGTCCAGTTCCACAAAACGGGGTCATGGCTGTGGGCATGCTGGACATCATGGGGACAGGACAGAGTCTGGGATAGGATCCAAGCCCATCTCCTGCACCCTCTCCTGAGGCCAGGGCAGCCCGGACATCTAAACACTAGAGACTGATTGGGAAGGAAAAACTCCATGTGTCATGTGTCACATCAAGGCATCGAACAGGGAACAGGGGAGACTTAGAGAAATCTTTGTACAGGAACCTAAGATGGAGTGCAGACTCACTGCCAGCACCGTTTCTTTACACACAGCCTCACACCTGCTCCAGCAAGTGGGCTCCGGGCTCCACACGTCACTGATGAGGAAGCGAGGCTCAGCAAGGCTGTGTGACTTGTCTAAGGACACACAGCTGGAAGTGGCAGAGGGAAGATTTAAAGTCAGGTCTGTCTGATGCCAAACCTGTGTTGAGACTACTCCCCATGCTGGCCCTGGAGAAGGGTGGTATATTAGTTCTTTCTCATGCTGCTAATAAAGACATACCCAAGACTGGGTAATTTATGAAGGAAAGAGGTTTAATTGACTCACAGTTCTGCAGGGTTGGGGAGGCCTCAAGAAACTTACAATCATGGCAGAAAGGGAAGCAAACACGTCCTTCTTCACATGGTGGCAGGAAGGAAAAGTGCCGAGCAAAAGGGGGAAATGCCCTGTATAAAACCATCAGATCTCATGAGAACTCACTATCATGAGAACAGTATGGAGGGTAACCACCCCCATGATTCATTTACCTCCCACTGTGTCCCCTCCCGTGACATGCGGAGATTATGGGAGCTACAATTCAAGATGAGATTTGAGTGGGGATACAACCAAACCATATCAGGTGGGATCCTGGCCAACCTGAGGAGACAGGGAGGGAGTGCATGGCCCAAGATGGAACCCTGCATGAATGAGAGTCAGGAGCCATCAGGGTGGTTTGCACGGGGAAGAGGGGCTAGGCCTGGTGTGGTGAGGAGGAATGCAGGCCATAGGCATAGGGCTCCAGCAGGGCCAGGCTCAGAGTGGTGGCAGCAGTGGGCATGGAGGCTGGGAAAGAGCGAGAAGTTCTCCAGAAATCAAAGTGGCAGCACTACTGTGGGAAAGTGGTGCATCCAAGGGACATCATCGTACAAGAGTCAGCAGGCATGGGGTCCTGAGGGAGAAATCAAAGAATCAGGCTCAGTGGCCTGGTGGCTGGAGGATGATAGTCCCACAGAAATGGGAAAAAGTTGGAAAGGGCTGGCTTGGTATGGAAGTTGACTGGTTTGGATTGGATGTACAGAGTTCAAGGTAACTTGAAGTGGGTGCTATGTCTATGATAACGAAAAGTATCATAGTGGAGTCCAGTGCACAGGCAGTGAGAAGTATGAACACAGGGTCACCACAGAGAGGAGAGAGCTGTCAGTGAGAATCCAGTAGCTCTCTAAGGAAGCAAGTGTTTCAATTTCCCTGACCTGCACTAAGTAAGATTCTAAGTTACAGCATAAACCTTTACCAAATAAAATAGCCACCTTAAAAAGGTGATCTAAAGAAAACCTAGCACCTGAATTTGTAGATTATTCTTTAGCCATCCTCAGACAGTAGTCAGAGATCAATATGTTATCACACCAAATCAGATCACAGCAAAAGTCCAAAACTGAGGACGGAGTTGAGGGAGAGAGGTCTTGCCTCCAGGGTCTTTCCCAGGCAGGTGTATTCTGAATGAGTGACAGCAAAAGCATTCGTGTAAACTTAACACAGCTTGGGCCCTTATCTCAATGTACAAGTTTCTGCTGAGCCACTTTTATAGGCAAAGTTAATTTTTAAAAAAGATTAAATTGATGATTCTATGTAATTAACACTGGTTTCTGCCAATTGAAGACTGGGTGGGTATATGCATTGGAGAGCATGTGGAAGGCAACATTGATCTCTCTATGGATCCCAAGTATGTCTTGACTGGATAGAGCAAAATTTAAACTTGGAAGAAATAATCAGCACCAGATACAACTGATAGCAGTCAAGATGGCATGGAGTAATTTAGTCAGAGATGAAAGCAGTCTAAGGAATTCTATTTTAGAGTAACATTGAAAACTACAAACAACCTACCCAGACAATATTTTCTTGATGAAAATTCATCATTGCTGATATAGTTCTCTTTAAAATATCTGTATTTGTAGACATGACATCCAGGCATGCTTGAGGTCAAATCATTGGAATCAGACTGTCCCTCAGCCTTGAGGCTGAGTTTAGCTCTGCCCACCTTTGTGGGATCTGCGGGAGTTGGGATGGGACCAGAGGGCAATCAATGTCTTTATTGGCTGGATGGGTGGGCTTGGGATGTTCAGTTGGAGGACTGAGTTTTGCTCTACTCAAAGACAAGAGGCAGAACTCTTCCCAGCAGAGAGCAATGAAAGGTCATAGAGGGTAAAGAGTGAACGCAGCTTTGAGTATAGCAATCAAAGGCTAAACTAGTTGGGTTAACTTAGTAAAAGCCTTAATGCGTGTCAAATAAGTGGTTTTAAATCTGAGGGTGGCAGAGAATTGTGGGAGCATTTTCAAGCATGAAACAATGTAGTCAACACAGCCTACAGGAGGGCAGTCTGTGACTTACACCAAAATAAAAATTGGTCACCACATAAGTGAGCCTTTGATGAGAACCTGGCCATAAATATGAGAAGGGGAATGTAATTTTGTAAATTTTCTAGATTAATATTCCTAGAGCTTTCATGGCCAATTTCAATGGATTACTAAAACTTTTTTTTTTTCTCGTAAATCTTCTTGGGTTTCTCTTCCCTATTCTCCTTGAGAAGGTTGGTTGGAGAAAGACGACTTTATATATTTGGGGGAGTTTGTGGGGTTTGAGTCAACACTTGGGGCCATACACCAAGAGAAGAGTTAAAGCCATGGAAATCATGATGGAAGATTGAGATTTTTTAAATTAGCACTGTCAAATTTACAAAGGCAGGTGGAGTCTTCTCAATGAAGGTCCCAGGAAATGGAGATAGAGTGTCATCTCTGGGGACAAGATGACCCAAAAGGAAGCTGAACCCAGGACCTCCTGGCAGTTTAGGGAGGAGCTTTGCTGATGGGAATGGCCTTGTACTCTACTGTAATGACTCTGTCTGATGGGGTGGAGAAGTCACTGTACGGGGGCCCCTGACCCATGCAGGGGACAGTTGGGGAGCTCTGCCATGTCACCAAGGAAGGACGGACAGCATGCTGTTTACGTCTGTTATAACCACAGTGTCCTCCTTCACATCAGAAGGGCTCTGAGGCGGAAGTGAAGTCATTCACAATTTCCATTTCTTCCCTTCCAGTTACCTTAGAGCAGTTCTCCCTAGCAGTGAAGAGCTGTCCTGACCAAGAGGACCAGACTTTGTTAATGAAGGTAGGTTATCAGATAAAGAACTTATTTCCTAAAGGCTCAGAGCGTTTTTATTGCCCTGAGGAGAGTTTCATTTTTACAAGCGGGAGTAAATTTATCATGTCTGAATCGTGTGCTCCAGGGGGATAAGCTTGTCATAGGCGAATTGGAGGGTTGCTGGTTAACGAGCACCACTGCTGCCTGCGGAGTGCGGGAAAGTGACAGGAGAGTGGGTGTCCACATGAGTGGGGAATCTGTTTAACTCTCCAGAGGGCTCAGTTGGTTCTATTTAAACTTATCTGATGGAGTCTTGATGCTTTTTTAGCAGATTTATGAGGCTTGGCCAAATTCCACATCTCCCACTATATTTTTAATTAAGACAAAGGATTCCATACGTTCCCAGTCTGCTGCTTCCTACTTTTGGCACCTTAAGGAATGCTACACAAATTAGACTGTTCATATTCACCACCAGAATGAGCATCTTATGTCATAGATTCCTTGCCCTTGAGTGGAAGACAAGCTTCTTCCCCCCAACCCCCCGCCCCAAGGAACAGTTGTTTTATTTCCTTCCAAGTGACAGGAGCAGAGGCATTTCCAAATGGTATAACCTGCACTTAGGCTGCCTACCTAGGTGAGCCAAAAGTGTGGAAAACCCTGGCAAGCTGCCCACCTGGATTTAATTAAAACTTTGTCTTTGAAGCAGAGAGCAGTAAACAGCAGCAGATCACAAAGGTGCACACACATACTTTCCCACCACTAAGACTCATGCTTTCACACAGAAACCTTGCAGACTGACCTTGAGGTACAAATATTTCCATGATGTCACTTCAGTGCTGTACCACCAGGAAACCGCGTGCACCAGGAATTGCATTTCTTTATCTAAAAACCAGCTTCTTTACCAGGTGTCCTCTGACTTTAGAAATGGGTGGAAAAAAAATAGGGTGTCACTCTGAGGGATTTTCAACTCATTTGCCTAAGATGTGATATTTTTGGTCTTTAAAAAAAAAAAAGCTTTCAGTGATGTTAGTTTTATAATAAAGAAGCGCTGCTCATACCAAGTGTTGGGTTTGTCTGGGAACCCTGATTTTTCAGAGTCCTGGGCGTCTGATACACTGACTTAGAATGATATAGATTCAGGCACATGGGCGTTTCTTGTTTGCCACGCTTAATTCTCTGTTTCCTGCTTTAAGTTCTATTCTGCAAGGACCTTTCCTTCCAGGTGCAGGCTGGCTTTCCATGACCTTGAAGCAGCTCTTGGGCCCTGGATGCTCACCTCTTTTCTCTGCTCACCGGCCTTTGGTCTTTCTTCCCTCTATCCTGTGTTTTCTCCTACCATTTGCTTCTTGCTTCTCTCTTGTTCTTCTCCTACTGTCCATCTCTCCCCATTTGCAGGAGGTGAAGCTCCTGGGCTCCCCTGGAGGTTACATGGGCATCTCAGAGGCATTTTGGGGTACAGAGGGCAGCGACAGAGCCCAGCCCCAGAGACCACACCTCCAGGCCTGCTTCTAGTGGTCCTCATGGCCTCCCCGACTTGGGATGCCGCAGCCCCCTCTGAGTTTCTTCACATCTAGAGTGAGAGGTGAAAAGAGATGTAACCAAAGGCCCCTCCTCCTCTCACCATTTCACCTTCTTGCTGACTTTCATGGTGCTCTGGCTGGCTTCTCTAGCACATTCGGTTAGAAACTAACAGATTGGGGTTGGGAGAGGAAGGCTAAGATGGCCTGAGGTTTCCTGGAATTTGCGTGACCTCCAGTGGCGTTCAGTATTTTGTGTCTTACCTGTTGGTTTCTGCAGACTGTGTGGCCTCAGCAACAGAGGATGATTTATGTGGGCGTTTTCTCAATATTTGCAAATATTTGAACAGGCATCATCAAAGAAAGAAGTTTCACTGAACAAAAACGTGTGCCGAGTTCATATATACTGAAACTATTTTATGATTTTTTTTAGGAGATTGAGGTTTTCTAATGTCACATATCAGAAGGCACCATGTGGGTGTGACAATGGTATGCTGGGTTTTTGTAGATGTTATGTGAGAAAACCTATTCAGGGTGACAGTAGATTATTTTGACTACAGTCAGCCTGCAGGTGATTGTATGTTTGCTCTAGTGAGCTATCCACTTTGCAGACTGTCTGAAATAAATTCCCACATTTAACTTAACCTCATGAAAACTTGTTGGAGGCAAAAAACGTAGATCTGGGCCAAATATGATATATATTTTTTTGAGACAGAGTCTTCTTCTGTCACCCAGGCTGGAGTGCAGTGGCGTGATCTTAGCTCACTGCAACTTCCACCTCCTGGGTTCAAGGAATTCTCCTGTCTCAGCCTCCCCACTAGTTGGGAGTACAGGTGTCTGCCACCATGCCTGGCTAATTTTTTGTATTTTTAGTAGAGATGGGGTTTCACCATATTGGTCAGGCTGGTCTTGAACTCCTGACCTCAGGTGATCCACCCGCCTCGGCCTCCCAAAGTGCTGGGATTACAGACATACGCCACTGCGCCCAGCTGATATTTTTTAAAATTATATTTTGCATGCATTCCTGCATTGTCAAACATTCCAATGTTGCATTCTACATTGTCAAGGGTAATTGAGATCTGAGCACAAATATTTAAAGGGGTACCATTAAAAATGCAGCTTGTATGGCAGGCATGGTCCATGATTGTCCCAGGCAGCCTAATTTTGACTCAAGTCAAAAGCCCCTCCCTCAATCACATAGCTCCACCTTGCCTAACCTGAGAAGATGCTCTATAGACAGACTGCCAAGAAGATGCAAGAGATGAACTTGGTTCATCAGATGGCTGAACCAAGGTCAGATTCCCCTGCAAAGACAAAAACATTGAGATTTTGAAGATGGCATAAGCCAGAACATTCATCTGACAACCAGGAAAAGCAGGAGGGACAGGAAAACAAGTGACTAGCCACCATTGCATAGCTAGTCAGCCGGCAATAGAACTAGGACCAGAAAGCTGGGCTTCTTCCTGCGGGGCCCACTCAGATGAGCAAATTCATAGAAAATTCCACCACTCCACCCCTTCAGCACCATGAGAGCACACACGGGAGGTGTGACTGCAGTGGAACCATGAGGGGTACTGTGGTGGCAGGCTTCTGGAGTCACTCTCAAGGCTTGTTAATCACATCCTTGTTGCTGGGGGTCCTGTAAGACAGGAGAAAGCCAGCTTCTCTGTGACTCAGTTTCCCATCTACCAAGCAGAGGTGGAAGCTGTTACTGGCTTAAGTAACAGACCCTGCAGACCCGAGAAGGGGGCTAGGGAAACGGTACCCAAGGGTAAGATAGCTGTTATCAGGAGTTGCCTCTCAGATTTCACTACAATTTGAACCATAGAACAATATTTAGATTCCATAAATTACTCATTTGACCCTGTTCGCGTTTGATCTCCATACCTACCTGTTTCTTCACTGATTCTTAGTCCTATTTGCCAATTAATCTCTTTGGTCCCTCTCGGTCACTACCTTGGAGAGCCCATTTGCCCTTGGCTCCACCTGCACTCGCCTGTGACTCCAGGTGTCACCTGAGCTCACGTCCAAGCAAGCTCAGCAAGTCTAAACCCCACCAGTTTCTGTCCTCCCACCCCCCCAATCTAGGAACTGTGGGGTAGTCTGTGGCACTTCCCTGTCCCGGAGCTGCCATGGAAGTTTCCATGTGTCTGTTCATCCTCTGCAGCCTCTTTCAGGGTCCTCCATCTCCCTCTGTCCCAGCAAAGAGTACCTGGACCTGACCCCTTAAGGACAAGTTTCTATCCCCACTCTGCCAGCAACTGGAGTGTAACCTTGAGCAGGTCACTTTTATCTCTTTTAGCCTAACGTCCTCTTCCAGTAAAAGAGGAGGTAAATTAGACCACCCCAAAGACCCTTCCAGCATCACACTCTGCAAAGTCATAAGTGAAAATTATCGACAAGGCTGCAATTCTAAATATGCTTGAGAATGAACCAACCTGGCCTTCTACCACTCGTCTCTCTCCTCCAGGCGCTGCCAAGTGAACTTGCTTGGAGCCCCACGTCCTACATGTCACTCTGTGGATGCATTTCTAGCCTAACTCCTTCTCATCTTTGGAATAGGGTAATCACAAAACTTATCATCCAAACATGGATTTTGTGTGTGTGTGTGAGTGAAAGGGGCACCATTAAAAATAGAACTTGGATGGCAGGCATAGTCCATGACTGTCCCAGGCAAACCAGGGCATTGGGTCAGCCTAGATTTGAATCAAGGCCAAAGCCTCTCCCTCAATCACATGGTTTGACTTTGCCTAGCAGGCCTCTTTCTCAGTGCTTGGTCCAGACCCTCCCTGTCCCCACTCCCACTAGGATTGTCCCCTCTTAAAAATCAGAGCCTCTGTTTAGGGTGGAAGTTGGCAGGAAGACAGATCTCCTGGTGACAGTCTGCACTCGCACCATCATTTACTGAATGTAAATGATCACACCTCCTCATTTTGTTCTTGCACACCTGGGAGTTTCTTACATATCTGGCAGCAGCTGCCTCCAATTTGGGTGGGAGATAGCCCCAGCCAGGGGCCTCCATGGGACTAAAACTTCCTGAAGCCATCGCCTGCAGAGCCTCCCTGCCTCCCTCGGATAAGCTGGAAAATATTTAAATAGAATGGTCAGAGGAAAGTGGCCCTTGCTGGTAAATGCTTCTGACCAGGTCAGGAGACAAGAGCTAGTATTGAAGGAGCTTTGGCTGATGGGTTATACCTGGAACAAGACAGTAGAACAAGGGTTGGCTCAGAGCAAGCCTTCCCTGCTCTAGTGATGTTGAGTGAGTGCCTGGAACATTCCCCATGCTACAGTCCCAGCTATGGCCTGGCTCGGTCACCTTGCCAAAGGTACCTGGCTAGAAGCACCATGGGAGGCTCAAGGCAGGCCTGTCTATAGGTGGATCTGATATCTACCACATTTATGGCAGCACACAGTAGAAAAACCAAGCTGCCTGTAGGAAAATAAAGCTTGGCTTATTTATAGCACTGCCTTGAATCTCTGCTCCTAAGTTGCAACCTTTGGCAGGGCTGTCACGCACCAGCAGCAACCATGCTCCCTCTTGTTCTAGGTGGAGGGCTGGCTGAGGTGGGCAGGCTGCTGGTGGTGCAACAGATGATACCTTGATCTAAGCAGACATGTAGAACAGTATTCATAGCTGCTGTCTACCCAGTGGGACATGCAGGGGCCCATCAGGGTCGGTGGGTACAGCTGCCAAGAGCTGCAGCCCAGGTTGAGCAAGCCTGCAGAGACAGCTCCCCAGGAAGGCTCCACTGATGGGAGGTGTGGGGGCTGAATGCTGCTGGAAGCTTCCTTAGGATTTCTTACCAGCCAAGTATGAATGCTGCCCCCAAATGCACAGAGACGCCTGGGAGCGTGTGGAAGGAGGGACGCCAGGCCTCCCTCCACGTCCCCTGCCACCATGGTCTGGCCAGATGCAACCCTTTCTCTGTCTAATTACATTTTAAGAAGTCAGACACATTTGAATCCTCCTGGCAACCAAAAATCTCCAAGAGATCGACATGACTCAACCCTTCAGTCCTCCATGCTTACTGAATACAACTTCTTCCCAGGCGAAGGCATTTTCCCCTAGCCTGATGGAATCCTGTCCAGAATGAGGGTTTTCACAAGAAAAACAATGCCTTTCCCTCAGCTTGGGAATGACTGTGCATGGAGGAGAAAGGGAATTTTCCACATGACTGCTCCACTGCTTCACCTCCCCACAGAAGGTTTAGAAGCACCTCAGCAAGCTGGTTGTCTAATGTTTCTTAAATTGTCATTGTCATAAAGATTCTTTCTGCTTCACTTCTTCCAAAGTTCTCCTCCTCACCCACCCCCAACCTTGGTCCAAGGCATAGTAATTGAGCCATTCAGTATCCAGCATGGGGACTGGTCCTGCAGGACCAGGCAGGTGCCTTTGTCTGCCTTTGTGCTCAGAGAAGGCCTTCACGCCTTTGGTTCTCGTAAGGTGCTCGCCACGGCAACCCAAGTGTCTAAGCAGGGCATTTGCAGGGGACTGTCCCCACCTCACAGGCGGCTAGCAGCAGCAGTTTGAGCCTGTCAAGTGGGTGAGGTGGGGTTTTTCCCTCTTTCCTGCATTCTAACTGCTTTTTCTTCCTTTTCTCAACCTGTGTAGGTGGTAGCTAGTTTAAGCACCAAACCTAGCAGCCAATAATTAACTACACACACCTTCCATCATGCACAGTGCAAACCATGATGTCCTTCCTTCTGCAGGTGGCTCTTGCCATGCCCAAGGACCTCATCTTGGCCCCATGCCATTGAGAGAGTCCTAAGCTCCGACCAGCAAGGGCTTCCCTCTGCCTCTCAAGTGGAGGCACTCAGGGGCTGCCCGTTGTGGCCACACACCCTGTGAATGCATCACATGTACCCACATCACCATTCAGTCATCTGGGGCTGGGAATGGGATTGGGCCTCCACATGGAAAAAAGGGGATTCTTTTCTGGGGTATGACTGCATTTCCAAACCCAGTCCAGGATCAGTAGTGTCAGTCCTTGTTCTGAATTCCCATAACACAGCTGATAAAGAGTGGCAGAGTTCCCATAACACAGGTAATAAAGAGTGGCAGATAAAGAGTTGTGGGTGGGCTGTGGTTTGGAATCCAGCCCTGGCCCCTTCTAGCTTTCCCTCCACCTTCTCTTATCCTCGTAAGCTAGAGCCACACAGAAAGAAGTAAGAGTGTGGCTGGCAGTGTTCCTAAAATAAGTTGTTCAACAAATGTTTACTGAGTCCCTATTGTGTGTCAGGTAGTGTTTTTCTAGTACCTGGCTCACTTGAAGAGTATATTCTAATGTTTTTATATTTAATAAGGGAAAAGATTTGGAGGCTAAGGCAGGAGCATTGTTTGAGCTCAGGAGTTCGAGGTGGCAGTGAGCTATGTTTATGCCACTGCCCTCCAGCCTGTGTGACACAGCAAGACCCCAACTTTAAAAAAAAAAAAAAGTTGGGAGAAGAACTACTGGTGACATAGAAATCAGGTTTCAGACCTACACTTCTAGCAACAAATGGTTTTCTCTCATTCCTATGCCATTGAAGCCCGGGATACTTCACTCTCTTCACTCCTAGAGGTCCCCTGCAAGTGCCAAGCCTATGTCAAGTATTCTGCAAAGCTCAGCTCAAACCAACCCCCCAAATTATTGGTAACAATTATCCCTCCTAATGAGCTTCAGTTTTGGAAAGGGATCTTTGAGGCATAGGGCTAACTTTTTAACTCAAAAAAATATATATATATTTAGGCCAGGCATGGTGGCTCACGCCTGTAATCCCAGCACTTTGGGAGGCTGAGGTGGGTGGATCATGAGGTCAGGAGATAGAGACCATCCTGGCTAACACGGTGAAACCCCATCTCTACTAAAAATACAAAAAATTAGCCGGGTGTGGTGGCACATGCCTGTAGTCCCAGCTACTCAGGAGGCTGAGGCAGGAGAATCGCTTTAACCCAGGAGGCGGAGGTTGCAGTGAGCCGAGATCGCACCACTGCACTTCAGCCTGGGTGACAGAGCAAGACTCTGTCTCCAAAAAAAAAAAAAAAAAAAATTTCATGGTAGTATGCCAGGCTCCATAGTAAGTCAGCAAAAGGGTCATTTTGGTGGCTTTCTGGACGCAGCTGGCATGGTCCCTCTTCGGAAACATTTTTGAGTGCCTACTATGTGTCCAGCACTGTGCTAGGCACTGAGGGCACAAATATCCATAAAATGTGGCCCTCACCCTCAGGTAGCTCCTTGACAAATAGGTGAGACAGACACTTCAGCACCTTGGAGTGGGCTAAGTGCCGAGAGCAAAGGAATTTGGGAAGCTAGTGGAGCACTCAGTTGGGCACTCAACTCAACCTGGGTTTAGGGAAGACTCCCCTGAGGAGGTGATATTTGAGCTAAGTCCCCATGTCTCTGCAGGAATTTAAATTTAACCAACTGTGTGGGTTCCACTGTGCATGCTGGTGGTGTCGATGTGACACGTTGTGTTCTGACTTTTCCATTTATAGAGTGTTTCAGGTGCACTGATGCATGCCTTGAGAGCTGACTGCCAAAATAGGGGCCCCAGACAGCTGCCTTCCCAGGGGAGGGGTATCCAGAAACTTCCATTCTTGCTGTGCACATTTCCCCAGCTGACCTATAGCTGTCTTGAAATTATAGCATTCAATATTCCTTCCTTGGCTCGGAAGACTTTACGGGCCTTCCAGTAGTTAATGTCAAAGTTAGGTGTCTCTGGGAGGGAATGCAGCAGAAGCCATCAACAGCTAATAGTTGCTCTAGAATTATTCTGAAAGCATGGTGTCCAGGCCAGGGGCCAGGAGTAGAGAGGGAGAGGGGTGGTAGGGGATTAGGAGGGGGAAGGCAGAGGGGTTCCCTCTCTTGCCACAAACAGATCTGCTCTGCTGTCTGTGCATTTACACTTCGCCTAGCTCCTCCACAAAGTTCTGCTATAAGGAGAAATGGGCCAATGTCTTTCCAATCCAAATGCCATCAGAAGCAAGCTCTACATGTGCCCGACTGCCTAAGAGGAGCATATGAGCGCACAGATGGCAGCAGTATATGAGGACATTACACCTGCTCTGCTCCTTGATACTTCATTGTCAAGCATCTAAATAAGTATCTAAATGGAGAACCAGCTAGGAAGTACAAATCCTGGTGTTCAGAAAAGCAGCGAGCCGCCCAGGCGTGGAGGGTGCAACGCTTTGGGGATGCCTACCCATGCGAGTCTAGCACGGCTTGCGGGTGGGGTGTTCCTTCTTGAATGATCTGTTCTCCATTTCCTCTGTGCACAGCTCTGGGGGCAGATTTCATTTCAGACTGCTTTAGAAGACAGGACAGCAGGAGAGGAAATCACTAGAGACAAAAGAAAATTAGAAGGATTTGGTAGAAGTCATATATAGGAAACTGAGAGCAAAATTTGGCTCTCGGAGACTAAAGTTAGTGGGAGGAGAGAACAGGGCCTGGCCAAGACTTATCATTTCACCATTTAAATAGAGATCAAGATGCTAAAGTTCCCAGGAGACATCTCTTTTGTGACTTGCCAAGAGCACGGAGAAATTCCATCAGGGAGCTTCTGAGATATGGATCCAGACTAGCAGACATTAACAGAATTACCAGGTGTCTAGGGGGATCCCAGACTTTTCAGCACACAGTGAGGGGGATGTAAACACTAAAGTTATATGGGAAGTCACGCTGGATGGATTGACGAAGGCAGCAAAGCCTAGCAGTCACACTGAAGCAGCTCCCTGCCGTCAACCAACCACATTTGCACCCTGATTAAAAACTGGAAACGTTAAGAGACTTGAAGATTTCTGCTCTCTGCACCTGCTTAACTCTTCCTCTTGCCCTTACTAAATTTTAGCTGCTTTCTTTTTGGCTAATTTCACAATGTTCAAAAGTCTATTGGAAAAAAAGAAACCCACAAAGCACCATAGATAAAAACTTTGAGATGGGGAAAAAGAAAAATACTGGTTTGATCTGCTCCCTTCCTCTCCCAGAACCCAGGAAAATGCCCAGTACACAAGAAGCAAGGAAGGGAAGGATAAAAAAAGGAGGGAGGGAATTAGTTCTGGATGAAATGTCAGAAAAATGGCCACCATGAAGGCCCCAGTCAACCAATCACTTCCTCTTCTTGGGTCTCCTGATGGAATGTTTTCATCTTTGGGAAAATCTTTCCACCTTTATCTCTTCTAGAACTGTAAAAATGACAGGATGAGCCAGGGCAGTGTCTCATGCCTATAATCCCAGCACTTTGGGAGGCTGAGGAAGAAGGATCACTTGAGGCCAGGAGTTCAAGACCAGCCTGGGCAACATAGATCTCTACAAAAAATTCTAAAAAGTAAATTAGCCAGGCAAGGTGGTACATGCCTGTAGTTCCAGTTATTCAGGAGGTTGAGGCTGGGGAATCACCTGAACCTAGAAATTTGAGGTTACATTAAGGTATGATTGAACCACTGTACTCTAGCCTGGGCAATACAGCAAGACTCTGTCTCTATAAAATAATAATAATAGTAAAAAACTGGAATTGGGATGGGAACAAGGCAACTTGGTGTGTTCCTGAAAACCTTGCCTGATGGAAAGGGCAGCTAATAACAGCCTATTGATAATTGATTAATGTGTTACATTTTGAAAGTACACAAAACATAACATTCAATATCAGGATTAAGATTTATTACATAAGTGAGACAAACCTTCTATTAAAAGTGGAAGGCTCTCAGATTGGATGAAAAATAACACCCAACCATACAATATATATTTCAAAAATGCACATTTTTCCCAGGAAGATGCTGGAGACATACTCATCCCTATTCCTTCTGCTAAGTCCAACTAAAAACACTGGACATTACGTTTAAAACAAACATAAAAGATTCTGAAAGGTAAGAACTAGAAAGTAGACCAAGCTAGGAACCTCAAGACCCAAAGAATGACACAGCAGGAACTCCCTGAATTTTGTTTGTGCCTCATACATTCCAGAGTTAGAGCTGAAGAAGCTGGCAACCTGGAAAAAGCTAACGCACACAAAGGAAAAAAAAAAAAGAGAGAAGAAGGGGTAGAAGAAGGAGGAGGAGGAGAAGGAAGAGGAAGAGAGAAAGGAAGAAGAGGAGAAGAAGAGGAGGTAAATGAGGAGGAGGATAAGGAGGAGAGGAGGAGAAAAAAATGAGGAGAAGAAAGAGTAGGAGAAAGAGAAGAAGGAGGAGGAAGAGGGGAAGGGGTAGGGGAAACAGAAGACTCCTCCTGCCAGGCAGCACAGAAAAATATGTGGTCCCACCTTCACCCATGCCAGGAAAGGCCCAGTGGGGAGTGCAGACTCCACACTCACGAGACTACAATGAGGCAATGCAACCTCACCACTATGGTTGTCAGAGGAGGCCTAGTAGGGAGCTGGGGTTTTCATCTCCACTTGGCAGTAATGAGGCCTCCCTTCCCCTCCTGCCTCACTACAGTGACACTGGAGACCATCTGGGGAGCCTGGACTTCTTCCTCTACCCAGCAATAATAGGTCAGTCTGCCCCCTCCCCACTGCGGTGGTGTCAGAGAAGGCCAAATGGGGAGAGTCAAGACTTTAACCACTGGCTCCAATAGTAATGAGGCCACCCCCTGGTAGCGTCAGTGGAGACCATCTGGGGAGCAGAAATTAGGGACCTCTACCCTTCCCAACCAGAGTGGGATCAGCAGGGGCCTAGTGGGAGCCAGCACCCCACCCCAGCAGCAACGAGGAGCATCTCCCAACCTTGGTGGTCACAGAGGTTGCAGTGTATCACCCTCCCCTGATGGTGCAGCATCACAGGATGTTACCTAAGACAAGGTTTAAATAAGATCCAGAATTTCATCATAGAATACCAAAATGCATAGTTTTCAATCAAAAAATCACTCACAATACCAAGAACCAGAAAATATCAAACTGAATGAAAAAAGCCATCGGTAGACACTAATATCAAGATGACAGTGATGCTAAAATTATCTGGAAAAGGTTTTAAAGCAGTTATTATAAAAATGCTTCAATGAGTAATAGTGAACATACTTGAAACAAGTGAAACAATAAAAAATCACCAATAAAATCATCTCAGCAAAGAAACAGTAAATATAAACAACCAAATGGAAATGTTAGAACTGAAAAATATAACAACTGAAATAAGAATCTCAGTAGATGGGCTCAACAGCAGAATGGAGAGAACAGAGGAAAGAATAAGTGAACTGGAAGATACAATAGAAATGACTGACTCTGTACAACAGAAAGAAGATGGAATGAAAAACAAAGAGAGCAGAGCCTCAGGGACCTGTGGGACTATAACAAAAACTAAATTTATATCATTTGGGGTTCCAGGAAAAGATAAAAAAAGAAGATGGAGCTAAAAAAGTACTCAAAGAAATAATAATTGAAAAATCCCCCAATTTGACAAAACCCATAAACCTACGGATTCAAGAAGTGAATGACCAATAGGATACATCAAAGAAATTCACACCAAGACACATCCTAATTAAAGTTCTGAAAACTGAAGACAAAGAAAGTCTTAAAAGCAATGAGAGAAACAACATTTTATCTCTAAAGAGAAAACCAATTCAAATGACAGCATATTTCTCATCAGAAACCACAGGGGTCAGAAGAAGTGATACAACATTTTTAAAGTGTTAGAAAAAAAGGAACTGTCAACCAGAAACCTATGTCCAGTGCAAATATCATTTAGGAATTAGGAGGAAGTCAAGCTATCCTCAGATTAGCTTGATTACCCAAATAAGTACACTAACAAAGTGGAAAGAAGTTCTCTAAACAGAAGGGACATGATGAAAGAAGGAATCAAGAATCATCAGGAAAGAAGAAAGAATTCGGTAAACAAAGATGGTAAATTCAATTAGCTCTCCTTCTCCTTTTGAATTTTCTCAATTATGTTTGATAATTGAAGTGAAAATTATAACACTGATGTGATTCTAAATAGATGTAGAGAAAACATTTTAGACTATTATAAACAAGGGAGGGCAATAGGATGTAAAGGATGGTAAACTTTCCACACTTCAAACTGTTGATGCACGTAGACCATGAAAAGTTATATATACAAAATGTAATACCTGGAGTAACTACTAAAAAACTACTCAGAGAGATGCACCCCAAAGCACCATGTATAAATCAAAATAAAACTCTAAAAAATGCCCAAGTCATGCATGGTAAGCCAAGGAAGAAAAAAAAGAAATGAGAAAACAAGGAGAACAAACAGAAAACAAGAAATAAAAAGACAGTCTGAAACTTAATATATTAATAATTATATTAATTTTGAATAATGTAAAGGCAAAAATTTAAAGACAGATGGTCAGAGTGGATTAAAAAACATGAACCAATTATATGCTGTGTATAGGGTGATATAGATAGGTTGAAAGCAAAAGGGTCAAAAATAACACATCATGCAAATATTAATTAAAAGATAGCAAGAGCGGCTATATTAATATCAGATAAAGTGACATCAGAACAAAGAAAATAATTGAGACATAGAAAGACAGTCTATATTAACAAAAGTGTCAATCCACCAAGAAGATAGGGCACTGCTAAAGGTATGCACCAAACATGACAGCTACAAAATATGTGATGTGAAAACTGATAGAACTAAAAGGAGAAACAGACAAGTCTACAATTACAGTTACAGACTTCAACACTCCTCTCTCAACAATTGAGAGAACAACTAGACAGAAAATCAAAACACATAAAAAATCTTAACACCCTTAGCATATAGGATCTATGGACATTTTTGGAACACTCTACCCAACAACAGCAGAATGCATTATTTTCAAGTGCCCAAGAACATAAACCAAGATGGACTGTAACATGGAACATAAAGCAAACCTCAAAAAATTTAAAAACCTCAAAAGAAATAAAAATACGTTGAACAGAATGAAAATGAAAATACAACACGTCAAATTGGTGGAACATAGCCAAAACAGTGCTGAGAGGGAAACTTACAGCTTATTTTAAGAAACAGAAAAGTTTCAAACCAGTGACCTAAGCTCCCACCTCAAGAATCTAGAAAATATAAAGAGAAAAATAAATGCAAAGAATGCAGAAGTAAGTAAATAATAAAGATAGGAGCAAGAATCAATGAAATTGAAAACAGAAAAATAATAGGGAACAACAACGAAACAAAGAGCTAGATCTTTTAAAAGATCAATAAAAGTGACAACCCTCTGGCAAGACTAACAAGAAGACACAAGCTACTAGAGTGAGACAGATTATATTAGTATATACTCTGTGCACATCAAAATGGTAGTAAGATAATACTAAGGAAAATTCTATGCCCATAAATTTGACAATTTAGATGAAATAGACTATTATTCGAAAACACACAATACCACAGCTTTCTCAACATGAGATAATTTGGATAACCTTATAACTATTGAGTAAATTAAATTCACAATTTTAAAAATTCAGAAAAAGAAAATTCCAGGCCCAGATACTTTCAGTGGTTAATTTAGAGAAGAATATCCATCAGTTCTTCACAATATTTTCCATAATGTAGAAGAAGAGAGAACTTTTACCAATTCATTTTTTGAAGTTAGTATTCTCCTGATACCAAAATCAGACAAAGACAGAACCAAAAAGAACTACAGACCAATATACCTTATAAACATAGACATAAAAAATCCCTAACAAAATATTAATGGGTAGAATTTAGCAATATATGAGAAGAATTATACACTGACCAAGTGTGGTTTGCTCTGAAGACGCAAGGCTGGTTCAATTTTTACAAATAAACCAATCTAATTCTTCATATTAACAGGAAAAAGAGAAAAAAAAATCACATTATCATTCCAATTGATGCAGAAAAAAGCATTTGACAAAATTCAACAATTACTCATGATAACAACTCCTAGACAAATAGGAAGAAAGTGGAACTTCCCCAACTTGGAAAAGAGTATCTACAAAATTCCTATAGCTAACATTATACTTAGTGGTGAAAAATTGAATGCTGTCCCCCTAACACTAAAAACAAGGCAAAGTTTGGTCTTACTATTTCTATTCAATGTAGTACTAGGAGTTCTAGCCAGTGCAATAAGGCAAGATACAGAAATAAAAGACATATCCTTTTAGATAATAAAGGGAGACAAAAGTAGCCCTGTTTGCAGATGACATAATTGTTTATGTAGAAAATTCCAAGGAATCTACAAGAATGAAGCAAGGAAAGAAGGAAGGAGAAAGAAATGAACGAAAGAGAGAGAGAAAGGACGGAAGGAAAGCAGGCAGACAAGGAAAGGAATTCCTAGAACTAAAAAGTGACTCAGCAAGGTTGCAGATACAAGGTCAACGTTCATTCATTGTATTTCTATATATAGTTGTCCCAAGGTATCTGTGGGGGATTGATTTCAGGATCAACACTCAGATACCAAAATCTAGGGAGGCACAAGTCCCTTATATAAAACTATGTAGTAGGCGGGGCACAGTGGCTCACGCCTGTAATCCCAGCACTTTGGGAGGCCAAGGTGGGTGGATCACGAGGTCAGGAGATCGAGACCATCCTGGCTAACACAGTGAAACCCCGTCTCTACTAAAAATACAAAAAATTAGCCGGGCGTGGTGGCGGGCACCTGTAGTCCCGGCTACTCGGGAGGCTGAGGCAGGAGAATGGCGTGAACTTGGGAGGCGGAGCTTGCAGTGAGCCGAGATTGCGCCACTGCAGCCCGGACTGGGCGAAAGAGCGACACTCCATCTCAAAAAAAAAACAAAAAAAAAACAACAACTATATAGTATTTGCATATAACTTATGCACAAAGATACCTACTTTGTCATCCCTAAATTACTTACTATATGTAATACAATGTAAATGTTATGTAAGTAGTTGTTGTATTGTTTAGGGAATAATGACAACAGAAAAGACTGTACGTGTTCAGTACAGACACAACCATCCTTTCGTTTCCCAAATATTTTTGATCTGTGATTGATTGAATCCATGGATGCAGAATCCGTGGATATGGAGGACTGACTTTACTAGTATCGGACACCTGGAAACCAAAATTTCAAAAAACACCATGTACAATGTCTCAAAAAATTAGAAATACTTAGGTATAAACCTAACAAAACATGTAAAGGACTTGTATGCTGAAAACTACAAAATGCTAATGAAACAAATCAACGTAGAGCTATAAAATGGAGAGATATACCATATTCATCAATTGGAAGATTCAGCATAGTAAAGATATTATTTATCCCCATATCGAATACAGGTTTAACCTAATTTTTATCAAAATTTCAGCAAGATTTTTTTATTGCTATAGACAAACTTATACTGAAATTTATATGGAAAGGCAAAGGAACTAGAATAGCTAAAACAATTTTGAAAAAGAATAAAGTGGGAGGAATCAGTCTATCCAATTTTAAGACATATAACTATAGTAATGAAGACTGTATGGTATTGGCAGGTGAATACACACATAGAACAATGGATAAAAATAGGGAGTGCAGAAATAGACCCATACCAACATGCCCAACTGATTTTTTTATGAAATGGCATGAGCAACTCCAGTGAAGTAAGATAGCCTTTTCAACAGATGGTTCTGGAATACTTGAACATCCATAGGCAAAATAAGAAAAATTAAAGAACCTTAATCTAAGTTCCACATTTTATATGAAATTTAACTCAAAATAGATCATGGACTTAAATGTACATAAAATGTAACACTGCAAAAACTTTAGAAGTAAACATATAGAAGAAAACCTTTGGCAACTATGGTTAGACGGTGAGCTCTTAGGGTTCACACCCAAAGCGTGATTCATAAAAGGAAAAACTGATAAACAGGACATCATCAAAATTAAAAGCATTTGTTCTGTGAAAGACTATGTTCAGAGTCTGAAAAGACAAGCTACAGTCTGGGATATGTTTGCAAAGCACATATCACACACTAAGGCATAGTACCTACAATATACAAGGAACAATCAAATGTAAACAGGTTTTTAAAAATCCAGTTAGGAAAAGGGCAAAAGATAAAAACAGGCGTTTCACTCATGAGGCTAGAGACGGCAAATAACGCATGAAAAGACATTCAACATCATTAACCATTAAGGAAATGCAGATTAAAACCATAATAAGATGAACTCTTTCCCCCTAACACTATTGACCTATCAGAATGGCTAAAATAAACAACAGTGATAACACGTAATGCAAGTGAGGATGAAGAGAAACTGGATCATTCATACATTGCTGGTGGGAATATAAAATGGTACAGCCACTCTGAAAAAGAGTGTAGCAGCTTCTTAGAAGACGAAACACATGCTTACCATACAGCCCAGAAATTACACTCTTGGGTATTTATCCCCCCAAAAATGAAAACTTGTGTTCACACAAAAACTTGCATATTAATGTACATAGCTGCTTTGTTCAGAATAACAAAAAATCTGGAAACAAACCCAATTTTCCTTTAATGGGTAAATGATTAAGGAAACTGTGGTATGTGCATACCATGAAATATATATTCTTTTGCAATGAGAAAGAATGCACTATTGATACATTCACATGGGGAATCACCAAAAAATTTTGCTGAGTGGAAGAAAAAAATACCAAAAGGTTACATACCATGATTCCGTTGATATACCAGTCTTGATATGACAAAATTATATGGAGAGATAACAGATTAGTGGCTGCCAGTGGTAAGGATGAGGAGATGTTTGCAGAAAGAGGAAGGAAGTAGGTGTGGCTGTAAAAGGGCAACATAAGGGACCTGTGTGGTGATGGAGATGATCTGGATCTCATTGTATCAATATCTATATGCTGGTTGTGATGTTGTACTATAGTTTTTTAAGATGTTACCATTGGGCGAAACTGGGTAAAAGATACCCAACATATCTCTGTATAATTTCTGACAATTGCATGTAAATCTACAATTATCTTGAAATAGAAAAATTCATTTAATTACATAAAAAAGCTTAAAAATGCACTGAAAACAAAGTTTTTCAGAAAAGTTCAAAGAAACAAAGAATGATCAAGTAAATAATAACAATAACAACAAAATCAGGGTTATTGTATTAAATACTGAGCCAGGGTTGAATTCAAGACAATAAAAATTATTGAATGAGAAAAGACACAATAGTATAAAGGTCATAGTCTCTAATGGGGATTTAACTCTCATACATTTTACGCATGATATGAAATAATACAATTATACATAAAACAAGACACAACTATAGGAAAATCCAGGAGAAATCCCAGAAACTGCATAGTTCTATGAGAATTTTAACTCATCTCTTACCAAGCCATGAAAAAACTTTGAATGATAAAAATAAAGTTGAGTAACGGACATATATTGAATTTGGTTCCTGACAACAGATACTGCATCTTCTTTACAGAGTCTCATAAAACTTACAAAAATGGATCATATATTAATCTATAATGAAAACCTCAGTAAATTCCACAAAGTAAAAATAGCTTGAGTGGCATCCTTTGCATCAATGAGATAACACTAGAAATAATGAAGTAGAACCAAAAAACCCCACCTTAGTCACTTACAAATTTGGCAGTCTTTTAAAACTCATATTTGATCAAAGCAAAAATTAAAATATAAAATTCTAAATAGCTAAGAAATAATGATAATGGAAATGTAAACCAAGCAGAAAATAAAACATACCTTTAAACTTTGAGAAAGGATGAATCAAGTATCCAATTTAAGGTGCATTTTTATAAGTGCTATGAAAAAAATAAATATGAAAAACACAAATACATTAGAAAACAGTAGGTTGGATTTTTTAAAGTCAAGCTAATTCTCCGGAAAATAAATGGGCAGATAATGAACTAGAGAAATCACTGACTCGCTTAGTCAAGAGAAGAAGGTGAGAGAACATACTCTGAAGTAGAAACAAAAAAGTGGAGATAAATACAGGTACCTAGAGACTAATAAGTAATATGGAAGAGTATTCTGTCACATTATTTACAGCCAAAATTCAAATGTTTGGTGCAATGGGTGGTTGCTTTAGGAAAATATAAGTTGCTGGAAAAAATGGAAAATCTAAAAGTTTCATAACAATGGAATCAAAGTAACAAACCAAAGTATCAAAGAACAGTGCATTCTACAAATATTTATTGAGCCTCTGTTATATGCCAGGGCCTTGGGAAGTCCAGGGGAGGGGGAAATGGCCCTGCTTTCAGGGAGCTCTCTGTGAATTGGGAGTGCGGGGAAGATAAGCCCTCAGTGTCATAAGAGGTCAGTGGCCAGGGGCCAGATGGAGGTGGGAGAGGGAGAATCCTGTGTGCCATGATGCTGCCCCGTGCCCCTCTCTTGGACTGTTGGGAGAATAAAAAATCATGGGGTCCCCAGGGCCTGACACCTAAAAAATACCCCACAAATGGAAGCTGCTCTTGGCTCCCCACCCACCCCCTATACAGTGAAAACAGAGGAGGCGAATGGGGGCTGTCCTCCCAGGCCATCCGGGATAGCTTCCCAGGGCATCTATGGATCAGAATCTCAAAGGATGAGTTGGAAGCAGGAGAAAAAAGGTGTTGGAGGCTGAGGAACAGCATGTGCAGCAGTCATTAGGTGAAGAAACGGTGTGCGTGCTGGAGCTCCCCACATGGTTTTCTATGACTGGAGCACGGGGGCGTGACCTGGGGGTATGGTGGGGCTGAGGCTGGGGCCGGGTCACAGAAGGCCTTATATGCTGTGGTGAAGAGGTCAGCAAGATTTAGCTGAATGTTCTTAGATACACAGGTATAAAGGAAACCCAGGTGAGCCTTGAAATTTCAGCACCCAAAGGAGCCCATCAGTGAATCCTCTTAAGCTGCTCTGCATAGGTTCAGGATAAGCCTGAAGTGGCTGGTTTTTAGATGCAGAGAAGGCTCTGACCTGCATCCACATGGCCCCCAAGGCTCTGTGGCCTGTGGTCTAGCTGCAGAGGATAGGAGGAAGCTTTTCAAGTTATTACTGGATGGGCTATGCTCAACAGGTTTTTCCAGTTCTGCCTCTAGGGAGTCTTGCCCAACAATTAATCCAGATGGTCACCGACGGGTTTCTTTCACCTATAAATCCTTGAAGCCTCTTTTTGACCCCAACACCACTAATGCAGGCTTCCTCTGTTTTCCCATAGGATTTAGAGGATTCTTCTCAGCTCATTCTGGCCTTTCTTTTCTCACTGCTGTCATATTTGATGACACAGGAAAAATTAGCAAGGAAGGATAGAATGGTGGATGAATACATACATACATACGTGTATAAATGGCTGTGGCTTGAGGGATTTTTCTGAATTTTCCTGAAATACAAGTGGATCACTGGAATGAAAATGTTCCGTGGTCATTGCTTCCTGAATTCTAATGTGCTCCCTATGGTGTATTTTTTTGCTAGGTTGTTATAACAAAATATGGCAGATGGCCGTCTTCTCGCTATGTCCTGGCCTTTTCTCTGTGCATGCACGTCCTTGATGTGTCTCCCTCTTCTTTTTCTTTTTTTTTTTTTTTTTTTAATTTGAGACAGAGTCTCTCTCTGTTGCCCAGGCTGGATTGCAGTGGCGGGATCTTGACTCACTGCAAACTCCGCCTCCCATGTTCAAGTGATTCTCATGCCTCAGCCTCCTGAGTAGCTGGGATTACAGGTATGCGCCATCACATCTAGCTAACTTTTGTATTTTTAGTGGAGATGGGGTTTCACCATGTTGGCCAGGCTGGTCTTGAACTCCTGACCTCAGGTGATCTTCCTGCCTCAGCCTTCCAAAGTGCTGGGATTACAGGCATGGGCCACCACACCTGGCCTCCCTCTTCTTATAAGGACATCAGTTATTTTGGATTAGGGCCTCACCCTAACAGCCTCATTTTTACTTAATTATCTCTTTAAAAATCTTATCCTCAAACACCACTGGGGGTTGGGACTTAAACCTAACAATTTGGGAGGGACACAATTCAGTCCATAACACACAGCTTTTAACCTTCGAAGTAAAGACTCTAAGTCCAAAGTCAAGGACAGATGGGGAATTGGGGGTGACAGTAAGTTGAGTTGAAATCAACCCAATTTTGGATTTTAAAAAAAGTCAGGGAGAAGAGCCTGGCCATATGCTCCTCCATGAATCACCTCTCTGCATGCAGAAGAGGTAGGTATGATTCTGAGCCAGTCTACACAGTAGGTTATGTAGGAGCCCCAAAGGGAATAACCTTGCCTCTGCTTGCAAAGCTGTGCTTTTTGAATTTGCTCCTTCCCATTGGACATGGTAAAGGCACTGCAACACCACAAGGGGGACAGTGAGTTTGCCAAAGCATGGTAACCCACAGGTGCTGCAGCCAGCCCTGTGACCCCCCAAATAGAAGAAGAAGCATGTCCGTCGGCCTGCCCTCAGGACTCAGAAGCAGCAGGGCTCCAGTCCCCTCTCTGTCCAAGCGTATTCAGCATGCCAGTAAAAAGATGTCTTTGAGCTAAAAAACAGAACTACTCTTCGACCCAGCAAACCCATTACTAGGTATATACCCAGAGGAATATAAATCATTCTACCATAAAGGCACATGCACGTAAATGTTTATTGCAGCGCTATTCACAATAGCAAGGACATGGAATCAACCAACGTAGATGCCCATCAATGGTAGACTGGATAAAGAAAATGTGGTCCATATACACCATGGTATACTGTACAGCCACAAAAAAGAATGAGCTCGTGTCTTTTACGGGAACATGGATGGAGCTGGAGACCATTATCCTTAACAAACTAATGCAAATACCAGAACAGAAAACCAAGTACCACATGCTCTCACTTATAAGTAGGAACACATGGACACATAGAGAGGAACAACAGACACTGGAGCCTACCTGAAAGTGGAGGCTAGGAGTAGGGAGAGGAACAGAATAACTACTGGATACTAAGCTTAGTACCTGGGTGATGAAATAATCTTTACAACAAACCCCTGTGACACAAGTTTACCTATATTACAAACCTGCACATGTACCCACGATCCTAAAATAAAAGTTAAAAAAAAAAGTCTTTGCTTACCTTCTCCAGAGCTTTCCTCTGTCTCCCTTTGTGCTTGTTGATTTTACTTCTTGTAGATGGGTTTTCTGTACTTTTCATTTCCCGCCAGTTGAAGCGGCCAGGATACAGCTATGTTTCATCTTTTCAGTAAGGCAGAAAATAGCATGTGCCTTGGGTCTGACTGTCTGTGGCCTGTTCCTGCTTTCCCTCGTGGCCTGTATGTTTGATCCATTTCACCAGCGCATGGCCCACCGTTGCCTAACTGTGATACTCAGCTCCCCAACCTCAGGAAGAGAAATAGTCACCCCTGCTTCAGAACATGGTGGTGAAGAGAGCCATCTTGGGCTACTCAAAATCCAAAGACTTAGAAGGAAAAGCTCAGATTCATTCTCAACCCTCCTCTCCCCAGAGCACTTGGCTACCAGAAAGATCCAGCTGCCACTGCCTGTCACCTTTCTAAAGAAGCATAGTTTTTAAGACACAAGACTATTGAGCAGGTTGGATTTTAAAAATTGGGAAACATCTCCAAGCAGTTTGGAAGGAAAAGAGACTCTGATCTTGAATAACCTCCTCAGGGGATCAAAGAAAAAGACCCACTAAGATGAACATCCCCCCTCTTGCCCCATTCAGGTTAAGTATAAATAAGACTTGCCCACCTTGGGAGACCTGAGCTCACACCTGCTGCTGATGACATGGAGGAGACTGAGCAGGGGAGCCACAGGGATTAGAGATGGGCATTGTTCCAGTCTGGCCCAATTTTTATTCACTTTCCTATTGCAAGGAATGCCCTTAGAAATTGCAAAGCCATTGCATTTTGCTAATGCTAACAGAAATTCCTTAAACTAGGAGATTGTGCCACTGCCCATCAATTTTACAAGGCAATAATGCAGATCCCAAGTGGCTAAAGTCTGAGGCAGAAGGCAGAGCACTTCATCACAGTGAGAGAACTGGGTTGTTGCTGGGGGAAGCTGTTCTGATATCACGCTGGTATTACCATGCATTAATAAGCTTTGTTCATCTTCTCTGACACTGGAGGGCCAACCCTTTTGCTTCATCTTCCTGCTTATTATGCAGCTCAGGCCATGGAGATGGGCTGCCTGCTTGTCATAAATTGTAGGCAAACTCCCTTCGTTCTGTTGTTGGTCCCAGTGGGCTTGAGCTCCTGGGAACCAAGGCTTTCAGTTCCACAAATGCACACTGAGCCCTGATGCCAGGCTAGGCCCTGTGGGGAACTCCAAGATACATGAGCCACAGTTCCTGCCTTTGTGATCGTGTTGTGGTCAGGGAGAAAGTCACATGGCCTAATAATTATACCAACAGGCAGAATGTGTAACAGACAGGAAAACAAACAGCTGTGGGAACTCAGGAAGGGAAGGAGTAACTTTCAATGAAAGAACAGGGAGATCCTTGGACAAGGTTTCAGTACATAGACACTTAGAGAATGCAGCCGTTTCAGCCTGGAATTTGCCATAGCAAAGAAGAGGGAGCCCAGAAATAAGAAGATGACACACGAAATATATGTATATGTAACCAGAATAATTTAACCATCCTAAAATAATCCTTTATGCTATGGCTCCATAATTGTTCTCTCTCTCTTCCAGCAGCCCCTGGTAACCAATGATCTATTATTCTTCATCACTATAATTTTGTCTTTTTGACAAAATTCCATATAAATGTAATCATACAATCTGTAAACTTTTGATATGGACTTCATTCACTCCGCATGATGTCTTTGAGATTCAGCCAAGTGGTTGCATTCATCAACAGTGAATCATTTTCATTGCTGAGTACTGGTCCGTTGTGTGGATTAGCAGAGTTTGTTTTTCCATTCACCCTTTGAAGGACATTTGGGTTATGTCCAGTTTTTGACAATTGTGAGTAGAGCTGCTATAAGTATTCATGTACAGATTATTATGTGAACATAAATCTTCATTTCTCAAGGACCAAGTTTCTTACCTCAACATTGGCACTGCCAACCTTGACATCTGGGGCCAGATACTTTGTTGTGAGGGAACTGCCATGTGCATTGCAGAATGTTTAGTTTATCCCTGGCCCCTACTGATGCCAGTAGAACTCTGCCAATTGTGGCAATCAAAATGTCTGCAGACACTGACAAATGCAAATATCATCCACACCTGAGAACCACTGCTCTTGGTTAAATACCCAGGAATGAATTTACTGGATTATATGGCAAGCATATAACTTTAGAAGAAACTTTTTGTTCCTGATGTATGAGAGATCCAGTTACTCAGCATCCTAGCTGACACTCAGTATTGTGTATTTTTTATTTTTCCTATTCCAATAGATATATAGAGGCATCTTACTGTGGTTTTAGTTTGCATCTCCCCAGTAGCTGATGCTGTTGAAAATCTTTCGATGTGCTTGTTTGCCATATGTATCCCCTTTAGTGAAACTGATAAAATCATTTTCCCATTTTTAATTGGATAATTTGTTTTCCTACTGTTGAGCTTTGAGAGTTATTTATAGATTCTAAATACAAATTCTCTTTTGGATATGTGACTTTTGCAAATATCTTCTCCCATTGTATAGTATGTATTTTCATTTCCTTATCAGTGCCTTTTGCAGAGAAAAGTTTTTTATTTTGATGAAATCCAATTTATCCATTTTTCTCTTTCATGAGTTATGCTTTTGATGCCAAACCTAAGAACTCTTCGTTAAACCTCAAGTCATGAAGGTTTTATCTCATTATTTTTCTAAAAGTTTAAGAGTTTTTTTGTTTTACATTTAGATTTATAATTCATTTTGACCTGATTTGTCTGTAAGATGTGAAGTTTAGGTCAAGATATGCTTATCTTTTGACTATTGTGATATCAAATTGACTATTGTGATATCTGTTGAAAATACTATCCTTTCTTCATTCAATTCCTTTTGCATCTTTGTGAAAAAATATTTGGACATATTTGTGTAGAATTATTTCTGGATTTTTATATTTTGTTCCCATTGACCTACGTGTATATTTCTCAACCACACTATCTTCATTAGTATAACTTTATACTAAGCCTTAAAATCAAATAAGATAATTCCTCTGACTTTATTCATCTTTGGCAAATTGTTTTAGTGATTCTAGTTTCTTTTCTTTTACATGCAAATTTTAGAATCATTTTGTCTCTATCTACAGAAAATTCATTGGTGATTTTGATTGGAATTATAAAAAATCTATGGATCAGTTTGGGAAGAATTAACAAATGTACTATGTTGACTCTTCCGATCCATTTTATTAGTTCCTCTTTGATTTCTTTAATCCAGATTTTTTATTTCCAGCATAAGGATGATGTACATGTTTTTGTAGATTTATAACTAAATATTTCATTTTGGGGGAAGCTGTGGTAAAAAGGTATGTTGTTTTAAGTTTTGCTTTCTAGTTGTATGTTGCTAGTATTTAGAAATATAATCAATGTTTTAATGTATTGACCTTGTATCCTGTAACCTGCTAAGCTCGTTATTAGTTCTAGAGGATTTAGGGCATGTCGGGGGACATTTACTGTGTGTTGTTTTTTTTTTTTTCTATGTAAGCAAGCATGTTGTCTGTGAATAGCAACAGTTTTATTGTTTCCTTTCCAATTTCCATGGCTTTGTTTTCTTTTTCTTGCCTTGTTGCATTGGCTAGGATTTTCAGTATGTGATGAATAAGAGTGATGAGAATTGACATCCTTACTTTGTTCCAGATCTTAGGCAGAAAGTGTTCAGCCTTTTGCAACTAGATATGATATTCTCTACAGGGCTTTCTGTGTGTATGTGTGTTTTTCTCTTGTAATTGTCCTTAATCAGGATAAGACAGTTCTCTTCTATCCCTAGCTTCCTAAGAGATTTTTTTAAATCAGGAATTAATGTTAAATTTTGCCAAATGCTTTTTCTGCATCAATTGATATGATTATGGTTTTTTTTTCTTTTTTAGGTTGTTAATATGATAAATAACAATGTCTTTTGATTTTTTTTTGGAAACCAGGTCTCATACCATCTCCCGTGCTGGAGTGCAGTGGTGCCATCACAGCTCACTGCAGCCTTGACCTCCTGGGCTCAAGTCATTCTTCCACCTCAGCCTCTCAAATACCTGGGACTATGGGTGTGTGCCACCATGCTTAGCTAATTTCTATATTTTTTTTAGAGACAGGGTTTCACCATGTTGTCCCAGCTTGTCTCAAACTCCTGGGTTCAAGTGATCCACTCACCTTGTCCTCCCAAAGTGCTGGGACTACAAGCGTGACCCATCTAATGGTTTAGTTTTGAGTATGCAACTGGCCTTGCATTCCTAGGATAAAGTCTACTTGGTCATGATGTATTATTCTTTTTATATATTGCTGCATTCCATTTGCTAATAAATTGTTGGGGATTTTTGCATCTATGTTCCTGAGAAATCTTGGTCTGTAGGTTTTTTTCTTCCTGTACGATCTTTGCCTAGTTTTGGTATCACAGTAACACTGGCCTCATAAAATGAGTTGGGAAGGGTTCCCTCCTCTTCTGTTTCCTGGAAGAGATTGTGTAGAATCAGTGTTATTTTTTATGTAAATATTGGGTAGAATTCACCAATGAAACCATTAAGGCCTAGAGATTTCTTTTTTTTACAATCTTTTAACTATGAATTACATTTTCTTAAACTTTAATGAGATGATTCTTGTTATGTATTTCATTTCGTATGATCCTTGGTAACATGAAATATTCAAGGAATTACTTCATTTCAGCTGTTACCAAATTATGTGTGTAAGGTTGTTCATAGTGTTTTATTTTATCCTTTTGATTACTGTGAGGCTGTACTGCTTTCCCTTCTTTCATTTTTGATTTCAGTAATTTGTGTCTATTTTTGTCTTTGTAAATTTGTTAGAACTTTATCAATTATCTTTTTGAAGAACAACCTTTACTTTTACATTTATTTTTCTCTATCATATTTCTATTTTTATTGATTTCTGTTTTTATATTTATTATTTATTTTCTTCCAGTTGCTTTGGGTTTTACTCTTGTTTTTCTAGTTTCTTGAGGTATACTTAGATTATTGATTTTAGACTTTTCTTCTTTTCTCTTGTAAGCATTTTATGCTATAACTTTGCCTCTGAGTACTACTTTTCCTGCACCCCACAACAACTTATATATTGCATTTTCATTGTTCTCCACTTCTAATTTCCCTTGAGACTTCCTCCTTGACCCATGAATTATATATAGAATTATATATAGAAGTATGAGGTCTAATTTTTAAGTGTCTAGAATTTGTCCTGTTCTCTTTATGTTATTGATCTCAAATTTATTTCTATTATAATCAGAGAAGATACCATGTCTAATTTATGTTTAGATTTTTTTAATTGTCAAAATTTGTCTTGTTACCCAGGATATGGTCTATCTTGGTGGATATTTCATTTGTCCTTAAAAAAATGTGTATTTGCTATTGTTGAGTAGAATGTTATAATGTCAAGAAGATCTAGTTGGTTGATAATGTTCTTCAGTTCTTTGTATCCTTGCTGATCTTCTGTCAATCAGCATTCTGTCTATCGACTGATAATCTCAGTCCTATCTATTACTGAAAGAGTAAAGTGACATATTCAACTATGCCTGTGGATCTGTCTACTTATCCTTTCCATTCTGTCTGGTTTTTGCTTAGTATATTTTAAAGCATTGTGTGTGCATTCACATTTAGCATTATTACATCTTCTTGTTTCATTAGCCTTTTTATCATTATGTAATTCCCTCTTTATTCCTGGAAGTTTTCTTTTTTCTGAAGTCTACATTGTCTGATATTAATATAAATACTGCAGGCTTATTTGGATTAGTTTTTGCTTTGCATATTTTTTGTCCTTTTAGTTTTACATCTATCATTTTATTTGGAGTTATTTTTTGGTACACAACTTAGGTTTTTTTAAAACATTTATTTTAAAATTTGTCTCTTGATTGGTATGTTTAAACTATTTACATTTAATGTGATTATTGATATGTTTGGATTAGGTCTGTCATTTTATTTGTTTTCTGTTTTCTCTTCTTTTCATTCCTCCATTTCCTCTTACATGTTGTGTTAGTTTCCTATGGCTACTGTAACAAACTACTGCAAGGTTGATGACATAAAACAACAAAAAATTATTCTTTCATAGTTTTAGAGGTCAGAAGTCTGAAATCGGTATCACTGATCCAAAATCAAGGTGTTGGCAGGATTGCGCTACCTTTGGAGGCTTCAGAGAATAATCCATTCCTTGCTTCTTTCAGGCTCTGGTTGCTTCTGGCATTCCTTGACTGTGGCCAACTCGTTCCAGTCTCTCTCTCCGTGGTCACATTGCCTCCTCCTCTTCTGTCTGTGAAATCTCTCTCTTATAAAGATGCATGTGATTGCATTTAGGACCTACCTGAATAATCCAGAATAATCTCTCCATTTTAAGAATCTTAACTACACCTGTAAAGGCCCTTTTCCCTTATAAAGTAATATTTGCAGATTTCAGGAATTAGGATCTGAAATTAGGATTCAGGAATTTGGATGGCTATCATTCAGCCTGCAACACTTACCTTCTTTTGAATTACTTGAACATTCTTTAGAATTTCATTTAAAAGAAATTTAACTATATCTCTTTGCATATGTGTTTTTCTGTTTAGTAGTTGCTGTAAGAACTACAATATATATACTTAACTTTATAATTTACTTAGAATCAATATTTTATCTCTTCAAGTGGAATGTAGAAACCTTACCACCATAGTGTTCCTCTCCCCTCTTTCTGTCATATGCATCTTATCAGTACACCTACATACCCTGGAAACCACATCAGACAATATTTTGCTTTCAAATTTTGCTTTCAATCATTAAACATGTTTTAAAAGAATTATGAGAAGAAATAGTTTATCATATTTATTCAGCTGTTTACCCTTTCTGTTGCTCTTCCTTCGTTCCTGATTGGTATTTACCATTTCCATTTTTCCTTCCTTCATTTTGCTTCTGCCTGAAAAACTGCTTTTAACAATTTTTTTAGAGCAGATTTGCTGGCAACAAATTCTGTTTTCTCATTGGTAATTTTTTAAATCTCATCCTAATTTCTGAACGATCATTTACACGATATATAATTCTGGATTGACAGTTGTTACTTTCAGTACTTGAAAAATCTTTCTGGTCTCTACAGTTTCTGATGAGAAATTCAATCATTCAGATTGTTTTTCTCCTAGAGGTAATGCGTCAGTTTTTCTTCAGCTGCTTTCAAGAATTTTTCTTTGTTTTTAGATTCCAGATGTTTGATTATGATGTGTCTAGGCATAAATTTCTTTGTGTTTATCCTGTTTGGGGTTCACTAAACTTCTGAAACCTGCACATTTGTGGGGTTTTGCCAGATTTAGGGAGTCTTTTGACATTATATCTTCAAGTACTGCCTTCTTTCTCCTCTCCTTCCGTGATTCCAATGACATGAAGGTTAGACCTTTTGTTACAATCCCACAGGTCCCTGGGGCTCTCTTTTTCTTTGCCAGTCTATTTTCTCTCTGTTGTTCAGATAGGATAATTTCTATTATTCTATCTTCTAGTTTACTCAGTCTTTCCTCTGTCTCCATAGTTCTGCTTTGGAGCTCATCTTTCTTTTAATCAGGTTACTTTTCAGTTCTAAAATGTCTACTTGATTCTCTTTTATGTTTTATATTTCTTTCTTTCTTTTTTTTGAGACAGAGTCTTACTCTGCCGCCCAGGCTAGAGTGCAATGGCGCGATGTCAGCTCACTGCAACCTCTGCCTCCCATATTCAAGCAATCTCATGCCTCAGCCTCCCAAGTAGCTGGGATTGCAGGCACCCACCACCATGCCCAGCTAATTTTTGTATTCTAAGTAGAGGTCGGGTTTCACCATGTTGGCCAGGCTGGTCTTGAACTCCTGACCTCAAGTGATCTGCCCACCTCAGCCCCCCAAAATGCTGGGATTACAGGTGTGAGCCACCACACCTAGCCTGTATTTTCTATTTCTTTACTGAAATTTACTATTCTACCATTTGTTTCAAGACGGTTTGTGATTGTTCATTAGATAATTTTTAGAATGGCTACTTTAAAGCTTTTGCCAGATAATTCTAACATCTGTGTCATTTTGCTGTTGGCATCCGTTGATTGACCTTTTTCATGCAAGCTACATTTCTCTTCTCCTTCATATGCTGAAAAATATTGGATTATTTCCTAGACCTTTTGAATATTATGTTATGAGATTCTGGATGTTGTTTAAAACCTATGGAGAATGTTGATGTTTTTGTTTTAGCAGGCTATGTACCTGGTTATGTTTGGGCTGCAAATTTCAATGCACCTTCTGTTGATTGTGATTCCAATGTCGGTTTGGCCCTCAAACCTTTTGCAGCACTATTTAGCTATGTTCCGTGTATGCACCACTAACAGGCCAGTCTGGCATCTGAATTCTCATCTGTTTACTAGTTCAGTTATCAAGGCCTTTTTTTAAAAGCTGTACATGTATTTGTTTACTTATTTTAAAAGTTTTTATAAATTTATGGAGTACAGTGCAATTTTGTTAATACATGCATATATTGCATAGTGGTAAATTCATGGATATTAGGGTTATTCCTTGGGTATTCAGTAGGGTATTCATCACCCAAATAATGTACATTGTACCCATTAAGTAATTTCTCATCTATCCCCCCAGCCTCTCGACCTTCTGAGTCTCCATTGACTGATTCCACATTCTGTGTCCTAGTGTATATACATTATTTAGTTCCCACTTATAAGTGAGAACATGTAATATTTGTCTTTCTGTGTCTGTTCAAAGTCTTTTGTATGCTAATTAGCATGAAATCCATGCATGAAGGCCTCAGGCTGCATTCAACATTTCGTAAACAACTTTCTGGGGCTGCTTTCCCAAGTCCTGCCTCTCCATGACCATCCTGATACTTTCTGGTTCCCTCGGGCTTCCTCTCCTCATCCTCCAGCCAGAAAGCTGAGGTTTAGTTATCCTACTCTGCTGCACATGCTTCCAGGGACATGAGCAGCATGAGGAAAAAGAGTTAAACTCACTGCCAGTTTTGGAGCACTTTGAATTCTGATCTTCTTCCCTAATCTACCTGCCACTATTTATTTTTCAGAGTCCTCAAGTAGCTTCTCCATGCACTGTGTCCAGAAATTATGGCTGCATTCAGTGAAAGAGATGGGGGAAGTCATCTCTATGTTACCCAGAACCAGAGCCCATAGCCTATACCTTTAGTAAGAGTCACCTTTTTTTTTTTTAATTCTGAAAAGTGGAGGTACTACAGTGTGAAAGGCCAAAAAAAAAAAAAAATCTTTGATTTCTGAAAGAATTAATTCCATTCAGGGATTCAACTTCTTCCTGGTTTAGTCTTGGGAGGGTGTATGTGTCCCAGAATTTATCCATTTCTTCTAGATTTTCTAGTTTATTTGCATAGAGGTGTTTATAGTATTCTGTGATGGTAGTTTGTATTTCTGTGGGATCAGTGGGGATATCCCCTTTATCATTTTTTATTGTGTCTATTTGATTCATCTCTCTTTTCTTCTTTATTAGTCTGACTAGCAATCTATTTTGTTAATCTTTTCAAAAAACCAGCTCCTGGATTCATTGATTTTTTGAAGGATTTTTTGTGTCTCTATCTCCTTCAGCTCTGCTCTGATCTTAGTTATTTCTTGTCTTCTGCTAGCTTTTGAATTTGTTTGCTCTTGCTTCTGTAGTTCTTTTAATTGTGATGTTAAGGTGTCAATTTTAGATCTTTCCTGCTTCCTCCTGTGGGCATTTAGTGGTATAAATTTCCCTCTAACCACTGCTTTAGCTGTGTCCCAGAGATTCTGGTATGTTGTGTCTTTGTTCTCATTGGTTTCAAGAACTTATTTATTTCTGCCTAAATTTCATAGTCATTCAGGAGCAGGTTGTTCAGTTTCCATGTAGTTGTGTGATTGAGGCAATAATTAATAGCCTATCAACCAAAAAAAGCCCAGGACAAGATGGATTCACAGCCAAATTCTACCAGAGGTACAAAGGGGAGCTGGTACCGTTCCTTCTGAAACTATTCGGAATAGTAGAAAAAGAGGGACTCTCCCTAACTCATTTTATGAGGCCAGCATCATCCTGATACCAAAACCTGGCAGAGACACAACAACAACAACAAAATTTCAGGCCAATATCCCTGATGAACAATGATGTGAACATCCTCAATAAAAAACTGGCAAGCCAAATCCAACAGCACATCAAAAAGCTTATTCACCACGATCAAGCTGGCTTCATCCCTGGGATGCAAGGCTAGTTCAACACATACAAATCAACAAACATAATCTATCACATAAACAGAACGAATGACAAAAACCACATGATTATCTCAATAGATACAGAAATGCCTTCAATAAAATTCAACATCCGTTCATGCTAAAAACTCTCAATAAACTAGGTATCGATGGAATGTATCTCAAAATAATAAGAGCTATTTATGACAAAACCACAGCCAATATCATACTGAATAGGCAAAAGGTGGAAGCATTCCCTTTGAAAACCAGCACAAGCCAAGAATGCCCTCTCTCACCACTCCTATTCAACATAGTATTGGGAGTTCTGGCCAGGGCAATCAGGCAAGAGAAAGAAATAAAGGATATTCAAATAGGAAGAGAGGAAGTCAAATTCTCTCTGTTTGCAGATGACATGATTGTATATTTAGAAAACCCCATCGTCTCAGCCCAGAATCTCCTTAAGCGTATAAGCAACTTCAGCAAAGTCTCAGGATACAAAATCAATGTGCAAAAATCACAAACATTCCTATACACCAATAACATACAAACAGAGAGCCAAATCATGAGTGAACTCCCATTTAAAATTGCTACAAAGAGAATAAAATATCTAGGAATACAACTTACAAGGGATGTGAAGGACATCTTCAAGGAGAACTACAAGCTGCTGCTCAACGAAATAAGAGAGGACACAAACAAATGGAAAAACATTCCATGCTCCTGGATAGGAAGAATCAATATCATGAAAATGGCCATACTGCCTGAAGTAATTTATAGATTCAATGCTATCCCCACCAAGCTACCATTGACTTTCTTCACAGAATTAGAAAAAAACTACTTTAAATTTCATATGGAACCAAAAAAGAGCCCGTATAGCCAATACAATCCTAAGCAAAAGGAACAAAGCTGGAGGCATCACACTACCTGACTTCAAACTATACTACAAGGCTACAGTAACCAAAACAGCATGGTACTGGTACTAAAACAGATATATAGACCAATGGAACAGAACAGAGGCCTCAGAAATAATGCTACACATCTATAATCATCTGATCTTTGACAAACCTTACAAAAACAAGCAATGGGGAAAGGATTCCATATTCAATAAATTGTGTTAGGAAAACTGGCTAGCCCACAGAAAACAGAAACTGGACCCCTTGCTTACACTTTATACAAAAATTAACTCAAGATGGATTAAAGACTTAAATGTAAGACCTAAAACCATAAAAATCCTAGAAGACAACCTAGGCAATAGCATTCAGGACATAGGCATGGGCAGAGACTTCATGACTAAAACACCAAAAGCAATGCCAATGAAAGCCAAAATTGACAAATGGGATCCAATTAAACTAAAGAGCTTCTGCACAGCAAAAGAAACTATCATCAGAGTGAACAGGCAACCTACAGAATGGGAGAAAATTTTTGCAACCTATCCGTCTGACAAAGGTCTACTACCCAGAATCTACAAAGAACTTAAACAAATTTACAAGAAAAAAAAAAAGAAACAACCCCATCAAAAATTGGGTGAAGGATATGCATAGACACTTCTCAAAAGAAGACATTTATGTGACCAACAAACGTGAAAAAAAGCTCATCATCACTGGTCATTAGAAAAATGCAAATCAAAACCACAATGAGATACCATCTCATGCCAGTTAGAATGGCAATCATTAAAAAGTCAGGAAAAGACAGATGCTGGAAAGAATGTGGAGAAATAGGAACACTTTTACACTGTTGGTGGGAGTGTAAATTAGTTCAACCATTGTGGAAGACACCGTGGTGATTTCTGGTTCTAGATTCCAGTGATCTAGAACCAGAAATACCATTTGACTCAGCAATCCCATTACTGGTATATACCCAAAGGATTATAAATCATGCTACTATAAAGACACATGCACACATATGTTTATTGCAGCACTGTTCACAATAGCAAAAACTTGGAACCAACCCAAATGCCCACCAATGATAGACTGGATAAAGAAAATGTGGCACATATACACCATGGAATACTATGCAGCCATAAAAAAGGATGAGTTAATGAACTTTTCAGGGACATGGATGAAGCTGGAAACTATCATTCTCACCAAACTAACACAAGAACAGAAAACCAAACATCACATGTTCTCACTCATAAGTGGGAGTTGAACAATGAGACCGCATGGACACAGGGAGGGGAAGATCACACACTGGGGCCTGTCAGGGGGTTGGGGTTAGGGGAGGGATAGCATTAGGAGAAATACCTAATGTAGATGATGGGTTGATGGGTTCAGCAAACCACCATGGCACGTGTATAGCTATGTAACAAACCTGCACATTCTGCGCATGTATCCCAGAACTTAAATTATAATAATTAAAAAAAAGAATTGATTCCAACCCTTACTCTATCATTTAACTTTCTTTGAGCCTCTGTTTCTTCATGTGTAAAAAGGGGGCTGTGTCAGGGGTCCCCAAGACTATCCTCAGGTTCAGGGATTTGCTAGAATGTCTCATAGGATGCAAATAAGCTGTTATATTCATAGTTATAGTTTATTACAGCAAAAAATACAGATTAAAATCAGCAAAGGGAAAAGGTACAGGGGGTAAAGTCCAGGAGAGATCAGCAAACTTCCAATTGTCCACTCCCAGTGGAGTCTATAGACAGCATTTAATTCTCCCAACAATGATGTGTGATAACATGTGCAAGGTGGTGGCAACCAGATCACCCAAACCTTGGAGTCCAGGGTTTTTTTGTTTTTTTTTTTGAATAGTCACATAAGCATGTAGCATTCATATGACTGACCTCAGCTCCTCAGCTCCTCAGACCATATCGCACAACTACCCCAGAGGTAAAAGTGATGCACCATGGCCCAAAGGTCCAGGCATACAAACACACTCATACCAGGCAAGATACTACAAGAGCTCAAAAGTCTCTCTCCCAAGAGCCAGGAAAGGGCCAGTCCTGAAAACTTTGGGTTTGTGCAAGATTTGAGCAGCCCAGACCTGTTAGCTCTTTCCTGCACAGGTCTACAACTTTTAGCTTTCGGAATTATTATGAGGACTAAATGAGGTGGATATAAAATACCTTATAGTGTCTGACACATAGTAGGTGTTTGATAAATATTAGATATTAGACTCTATAGACAGAGACTTCAAAGGGGCACATGGACTTGTCAGGAATAAAAACAGAAATGTCATTCTGACAATACTTCCAGAAAAAAAAATGTGATTTGGGGCCAGGAGTGATGGCTCATACCTGCAATCCTAGCACTTTGGGAGGCCAAGGGGGAAGGATCGCTTGAGCCCAGGAGTTCAAGACCAGCCTGGGC
Source organism: Homo sapiens (assembly GCF_000001405.40). Taxonomy (NCBI): domain Eukaryota; kingdom Metazoa; phylum Chordata; class Mammalia; order Primates; family Hominidae; genus Homo; species Homo sapiens. Next base: position 111,084,140 of record NC_000002.12, read on the forward strand.
AAGATGGCAAGACCCCATCTCTCCCAAAAAATAAAAAACGGTTATGATTTGAGACATACTTATAGAAACCAGGGTAGGAGTAGAGGGACTGCTGTCTTACGGACACAGATCTAAGGAATACACACACACACACACACACACACACACACACACACACACACACACACACAAGAAGTGGAAGGATTGTGGGGGAGACATTTGTCCAAATATAAACACAAAGCATTTAATAAATGTCAGTAGGGCCAAACCCCAGCATAACATGAGGCTTGACAAATAATCTTATAAAAATTTAAAAGGCCATTTTTAGCTATATTCAAGATGTGAAGAGATGGACTCTTGGTTTAGGCAAGAAAAATTTGGTATTAATACATGGCAAAAAGAAAGCAAAGCTACTTATCTCCTATTATGTTCCCATCTTCTCTCTGAAGCAACATTGTTCTCAATTGGAAAGGACTTATGATTGACAGAGATTTCAAACAAAGGAGGACAAAAGAAATCCCGGAAAATTATAAATGAGCAAATGTCCACCTTTTCAAAGACAGCTAACAACACAATGACAGGATCAAATCCACACATATCAATACTAACCTTAAATGTAAATGGACTAAATGACCCAATTAAAAGGCACAGAGTGGCCAGCTTGATAAAGAGCAAGACCCAATAGTATGCTGTCTTCAAGAAACCCATCTCACATGCAATGACACCCATAGGCTCAAAATGAAGGGATGGTGAAAAATCTACCAAGCAAATGGAAAACAGGAAAAAAAAAAAAAAAAGCAGAGGTGGCAATCCTAATTTCAGACAAAACATACTTTAAACCAACAAAAATTTTAAAGACAAAGAAGGACATTACACAATGATAAATGATTCAATTCAACAAGAAGATGTAACTACCCTAAATGTATATGTACACAACACAGGAACACCCAGATTCATAAAGCAGGTTCTTAAGAGACCTATGAAGAGACTTACATTCCCACACAATAATAGCAGGAAACTTCAGCACCTCAATGACAGTATTAGACAGATCACTGAGGCAGAAAAAACAAAAGTATTCAGGAGCTGAACTCAACACTGGATCAAATGGACCTGATAGACATCTACACAACTCCCCACCCAAATACAACAGAAGATACATTCATCTCATGGCTACATGGCACATACTCTAAAATTGACCACACAGTCAGGCATAAAACAACACTCAGCCAATTCAAAAACACTGAAATCATACCAACCATGCTCTTGGACCACAGAGCAATAAAAGTAGAAATCAAGACTAAGAAAATTCCTCAAAACCATATAATTACATGGAAATTAAACAACCTGCTCTGAATGACTTCTGAGTAAACAATGAAATTAAGGCAGATTTCAAGAAGTTCTTTGAAACTAATGAGAACAGAGATACAATACAGCAGAATCTCTGGGACACAGGTAAGGTAGTGTTAAGAGTGAAATTTATATCACTAAATGCCCACATCACAAAGTTGGAAAGATCTGAAAATAATTACCCAACATTACAACTAGAGGAACTAAAGAAGCAAGAGCAAACCAACCCCTAAGCTAGCAGAAGACAGGAAATAACCAAAATCAAAGCAGAACTGAAGGAGATTGAGACATAAAAAAATACAAAAGATCAACAAATCCAAAAGTTGTTTCTTTGAAAAAATTAATAAGATAGCTAGACTAATAAAGAAGAAAAGAGAGAAAGTCCAAATAAACACAATTAGAAATGACAAAGGGGATGTTACCACCGACTCCACAGAAATACAAATAACCATCAGAGACTACTATGAATACCTGTATATACACAAACCAGGAAGTCTAGAAGAAAGGGATAAGTTCCTGGACACACACATCCTCCCAAGGCTGAACTAGGAAGAAACTGAATCTGTTAACAGACCAATAATGAGCTCCAAAATTGAATCAGTAATAAATAGCCTACCAACCAAAAATAGCCCAGGACCAGATGGATTCACAGTTGAATTCTACCAGATATACAAAGAAGACCTGGTATCATTACTACTGAAACTATTTCAAAACATTGAGAAAGGACACCTCCCCAACTCATTCTATGAGGCTGGCATCATCCTGATACCAAAGCCTGGCAGGGACACAACAACAAAAAAGAAAACTTTAGGGCAATATCCTTGATGAACATAGATGCAAAAATACTCAACAAAATCTTAGCAAATCAAATCCAGCAGCATGTAAAAAGCTAATCCACCAGGATCAAGTAGTTTTTATCCTTGGGATGCTAGGTTGGTTCAACATACACAAGTTAATAAATGTGATTCATCACATAAACAGAACTAAAGACAAAAACCATATGATTATCTCAGTAGATGCAGATGAAATTCGATAGATAGATGTGAATGGGATTGCATTCCTGATTTGGCTCTCAGCTTGGATATTGTTGATGTATAGAGGGTTGGCTGTTGGTTTATTGGGGGTTTTTAACATGAAGGAATGTTGCATTTTATTGAACATCTTCGACAAAAGGCACTGAAGGAACATACTTGAACATAGTAAGAGTCATCTATGAAAAACCCACAGTCAAAATCATGCTGAATGGGCAAAAGCTGGAAGCATTCCCCTTGAAAACCAGCACAAGACAAGGATCCCTTCTCTCACTACCTCTGCTTAACATAGTCAGTCCTGGCCAGAGCAATGAGGCAAGATAAATAAATAAAAGGTATCCAACTAGGAAGGGAGGAAGTCAAACTATTCCTGTTTGCAGACAACATGATTCTATGTCTAGAAAAACCCTATGGTCTCTACCCAAAAGATCCTTGAGCTAATAAACAACTTCAGCAAATTTCAGGATACAAAATCAACATATAAAAATCAGTAGCATTCCGATACACCAACAAAATCCAAGTTCAGAGCCAAATCAGGAATGCAATCCCATTCACAATGGACACAAAAAGAAGAAAATACCTAGAAATACAAATAACCAGAAATGTAAAAGATCTCTACAATGAAAATTATAAAACAGTGCTCAAAGAAATCAGAGATGACACAGACAAATGGAAAAACATTCCATGCTCATGGATAGGAAGAATCAATATTGATAAAATGGCCATCCTGACCAAAACATTTACAGATTTAATGCTATTCCTATCAAACTATCAATGACATTCTTCACAGAAGTAGGGAAAGCTGTTTTAAAATTCATATAGAACCAAAAAAGAGTCCAAATAGCCAAGGCAATCCTAAGCAAAAGGAACAAAGTTGGAGGCATCATATTACTCAACTTCAAACTGTATTACAGATACAGTAACCAAAATAGCATAGTACTGGTACAAAAACAGACACATAGACCAATGGTACAGAATAGAGAGCCCAGAAATAATGCTGCACACCTACAATGCAGCACACCATCTGATCTTTGACAAAGCTAACAAAAACAAGCAATGAGGAGGGGACTCCCTATTCAATAAATGGTGCTGGGATAACTGACTAGCCATATGCTAAAGACTGAAACTGGACCCCTTCCTTACACCATATACAAAAATCAACTCAAGATGGATTAAAGACTTAAATGTGAAATCTAAACCTATGATAACCTGGGAAATACCATTCCAGACGTAGGAACTGGCAAAGATTTCATGACAAAGATGCCAAAAGCAATTAAAACAGAAGCAAAAATTAACAAATGGGATCTAATTAAACTAAAGAGCTTCTGCTCAGCAAAAGAAACTATCAACAGGGTGAACAACCAACTTACAGAATGGGAGAAAATATTTGCAAACTATACATCTGACAAAGGTCTAATATCCAGCATCTCTAAGGAACTTAAATTTATAAGACAAAAACAAACAACCCCATTGAAGAGTAGGCAAAGAACATGAACAGACACTTCAGAAGAAGACATACATGTGGCCAAAAAGCATATGAAAAAATGCTCAATATCACTAATCATTAGAGAAATGCAAATAAAAACCACAATAAGATACCATCTCACACCAGTCAAAATGGCTGTTATTAAAAAGTCAAAAAATAACAGATGCTGGCAAGGTTGCAGAGAAAAAGGGAACGCCTATGTACTGCTGGTGGGAGTGTAAATTAGTTCAACCATTGCTGAAAGCAGTGTGGCAATTCCTCAAAGAACTAAAAGCAGAATTACCATTCAACCCAGCAATCCCACTACTGGGCATATACCCAAAGGAATATAAATCATTCTACCATAAGGATACATGCATGCCTGTGTTCACTGCAGCACCATTCACAATAGCAAAGACATGCAATCAACCTAAATGCCCATTAATGGTAGGCTTCGTAAAGAAACTGTGGTATATATACTATGCAGCCATGAAAAAAAATGAGATAATGTCGTTTGCAGGAACATGGATAGAACTGGAGCCCATTATCCTTAACAAGCCAGCCCAGGAACAGAAAACCAAGTACTGCTTGTTCTCACTTTTAAGTGGGAGCTAAATAATGAGAACACATGGACACACAAAGGGGAACAACAGACACCGGGGCCAACCTTAGGGTGCAGGGTGGGAAGAGGGAGAGGATCAGGAAACATAACTATCGGGTACTAGGCTTGGTACATGGGTGATGAAATAATCTGTACACCAGACTCCCATGACATCAGTTGAACTATACTCACACATATAGCCCTGAACCTAAAATAAAAGTTAAAACAAAAACAAAAAAAAGTAGATATGGGAAACTATACAATCTGAGATTAATATAAATCCAAGTTAAAATTCTACGAAAGACTATTCCAGATAGTTTATGTACAAATAGAAAAGGGACCATCACTAGAAGGCTGCCTAGTTAAGTAAGGATAAGTAAGGATTAATTAAGTAAGGCTTATCCTTCCTTTCTTATACTTCCTTTCTTAATCAGATTACTAGAAGAGAAAATTTGGACCCAGGCACGGTGGCTCACGCCTGTAATCCCAGCACTTTGGGAGGCCGAGGCAGGTGGATCACAAGGTCAAGAGATCGAGACCATCCTGGCCAACATGGTGAAACCCCGTCTCTACTAAAAATACAAAAACTTAGCTGGGCATGGTGGCGTGAGCATGTAGTCCCAGCTACTCGGGAGGCTGAGAAAGGAGAATCGCTTGAACCAGGGAGGTGGAGGTTGTAGTGAGCCAAGATTGCCACTGCACTCCAGCCTGGCGATAGACCGAGACTCCGTCTCAAAAACAAACAAACAAACAAACAAACAAACAAATTTGGAAAAATTGATGATGTGTCTTGATTTTGGCCAACATTTTGCCAAGCTAGAGAAACAAGAGTCAGGTAATATTCCATTAAATAAGTTTCCAGAGAGCTTGAATCAAGTCTCAGCTAACTTGAATTCAGCTGATGTAGACCTATCAGCTGACAAGACTTTACAAACTTGAAAATGACAAAACATGTCAGGTGACTTAACCAAGAGTCATAAAGAACTCCTTGGGGAGTTCAAGGTAGGCCATATAAACAAGATGACTTTAAAATAAATTTAAAATTAAAATCATTCCCTTAGGGATGTATATATGTATGTATGGGTTAGTTGAAAATAGTTTATGGGGGGAAAGGCTTAGTTAGGAATGTCAAATGTTCAAATGCTTGATATAAACCAAATGTGCATGGTTTTCTTTCACTCATTTATTCAAAAATATTATATACTAACTATAAAAGCACATTCTGCCTTGCTTTGCATGTAAAAGTATAGAATCCAAACCTAGGGCAGTAATGGTGCTGCAGATGCCATAGTGATGAGACAACACTGGATATTGCTTTTAGTTTTATAAGACACCTTGGAGAAGAGAATTAACCATCCAGACTAGGCCACCAGTTTCAAGGTGGCCCAAGAGTTGAAACCAAGTGTTAAGAGGAGATTGACGATCTGTTGAGGCTGATCATCCTGAAGGGTGGAAGACTAAGTGGAGATGTGAAAAATATCTTTAAATTTTTTAAAGGCTATTGTCTGGAAGCTTTCATAGACTGCTGCTTGGTTCCTTAGGTAGCAGAAGTTGTAACATCAATAGCTATGAGTTATAGGAAATTGGGTTTCAGCTAATATCATACAGTGTGTCAGCTCCTTTACCAGACCCTAGGCATATAAAGATGAGCAGGACAAGATCCCCTTCCTCACAGTTAATCCATAAATTCATATTCCATATAGAGAAGTGGCTCCAGACACAATGACTCTTCCAACAGTGAGATTCATTAGGAAATTGGATGCCTCTTAACACACTGAGCTCCCATCTCTGGAACACAAAAGAAAGACATTTCAGGTACTGTTTGGGGGACTGAGACTGGGCTGATGGTACCTGTGCCTAGCTGTGGTGTTCTGGTAGCCACCAAGAACCAGGACTCCTATTTACCAGGACAAGCAAAGGGGGTAGCCCAAGGAGAGTCTGAGCTGTGTTCCTGGAGGAAAGCAAAAGATTAAAGCCAAAAACGTGGCCCTGAGAATCAGGTACACAAAAGCCACAGACTGTCAACAGGAGAGCAATTCTCAAGTCCAAAGAAGGGAAGAGCAGACATAGTCAGGATGCATGGTGTGAGCCTGGGGAAAACCATCATTTGGGAACAGCCTGGGAATGCCGGCCAGTTAGCAGCTTGTTGGGAGCTCTCTGTGATCAAGCAGGCTTTGGCTTGGATCAGATGGGACTGGACAAGACGCTGAATGACCCTCTGTCAGGGGTGTTAGAGATGTGACTTGTGATAGATGTCTTCCATTTGCCTCTGTAGCTCTGCTCACCACTCTTCTCTACCCTGTGTGGATCTAGGAAGTTGACCTACATTGCCTGCATCCATGGAATCCTCGCCTTTTGGACTTAGTTTGGTTTAGATAACAGCTAGAGCAGTGGTTTGGAGTCTTTGAAGAGGTCCTTCACATCCCTTGTTAGCTGAGAACAGCTAGAGATTAAAGAGGGAGGAAGACAGCAGAGTTAGGATCCCCCTGCTCCCTGCTTGCCTCACTATGGGGTCACCTTGGGATTGCTGTTTTTCTTGGCTGAGGGTCACAGCTCCTCTTAAAATGTCCCTGTTTACATAGCTTTTTCTTCCAGGATCCAGCAGCCACTCCCTGCCCTCTACCCTCTAAGCCTAGAAGGTGGTAACAGCTCCAGTTACCAGCTCCAGGGTACTGCACTATCTCTTAGGGGTCTCCTACATCTTGTCCATCCTATTTAAATGCTTCTTATATTATACTAATGTGAATGTATCATCTGTTTCTTGGTTGAACCCTGGCTGATACAGGATTCTGGATTGAGTGAGAAGATGGACTAGATTATTTCTAAGAACTCTTATACTTCTAGAGCTCTGGATTTCTTGTCACTGATCTTATATTTTTGTATACCTGAGCGATGAGGATTAAATTTCTGCACCTAGAAACTCACAGCAAATATTTTTGTAGCACATAAGAAGTTCATCTAGAGACTCATGATTTGGCTTAACCACATAATTTATATGATTTATTATTTTTATAAGAATTTATGTTTTCAGTATGAATTGCAGTTCATAGTCTCAGTTGCTCACACTATCTGAAGGGTCAGCTAACATCTTTATTGGTGTCATGTAAAAGACCCAAAGGGCACTTAATCTGGCCAAGGAACTACTGTCCAGACTTTGGTAATTTCATAAAAGAGCTGAAATTAACCTTAAATATCTTTCATAAATAAGCTGCTCAGCCATACTGTGACACTTTCTGGGAAGACTGAATAGTTGAGGCTCCTCATAATGATGCTGTTCCAAGGATACGCCAGAACCCCAAGAAAGGAATGAGGAGACCACAGGGTCTGCATGACTGTGAACCACATGACTGTGAACCACATGACTTCTGAGTCTGATAAGCCATAGAAGGCAAATTGTCTTCTAGTGGGAAGATCATTTCTATTTGACTCAGAATAAGAGGGTTTTGTTTTTGCTTGGTTTGGTTTTGAGGCTATCTTACTTCTAATGTGTCATTATCTTTTAGAGATACACAGTGAGATATTTGTGGGTGAAATGATATGACTGAGGTCTGCTTTGCAGTGATACAGAGAAGGGGAATAGGTGGGAGCAGAGTAAAAACAGGATTCGCGATGAGTGGATATGGGTGATGGAGACATGAGGCCCATACTATGCTCTCTATTTTTGCGTGATTTTGAAATTATTGAATATCGAGAGTTACGTGAATAAACAGTTAAATAAAAAGTGACTTCTTCCTACAGGGAAACTCATTTATTGTTGCTTGGTGCCCATGATGTGATGCAGAAGCTCTGTGTGTAGGTTTCAGAAACATAATAGGAAAAAACATACTGAAACAAAATGTAAATGAGGAATGCTATTTTTTGTGAAAGTTTACCCAAACCATGCTCAATGGAAAATATCAAGATATTATTATTCAGGATGTACCTTTACAGTATCTTTCACGTGGACTTTGCTGTATGGACTTTGCTCCTAAATAACGTGGGCTAGAGGAGAACCAGGTAGGTTACATATGAAATAAGGTTGGTTGTGAGTTAAAATTTCTTGAGTTTTGGGGAAGGATATATGGGAGTTCGTTATGCTATTTGTTCTACTTTTGTATATGCTTTAAATTTTTCATAGAATTCTTTTAAAAAATAAAACCTATACTGCACATCCAAAACATGGCCATTTTACATTAGGAAAGTATTAACTTTTACGATTTTATGAAATGTAATATTATGTTATTTCTCTTTCGCCTCCTTAGATTTTGTGTTTTCTAATATATTGCTATTTGTCCATTTCTTTTGTTTTCCCCCACCCCTTAGTTTTGTCTGTTGTATGGAACCAAGCTGGTGTTTCAGGAGCGGGCCTGGTATTTAGAACATAAATACTTGACTCCCATGGCCAGCACGAGGATCAGGAATCAGGTAAGGTCCCTGGGGTACAGAAAAACACTTTGTACATCAGCCCTGGTCTCCTTGCTTTCTTAGAAAACAGTCCTGCCAATCTTCTATCAGTTTCCACTCATGGATTTTTATGCCTCTGGGACTTCACATGTATATTTTCATTACCTATCATGATCGTATTACACTTAAGAGTTTAGGTGACAAGGGAGTGACTCACTGTACATGAGTTTTCTAACATGAAAAGGAGAGGAAGGTATCAAAATGTTTTCCTTGTCTTGGCCAAAAAAAAAAAAAAAAAAGTGTTAGTGATTTCTTTTCTGCTTCTTACCAAAGCCTATTAATACATTGTTTATATTAAGAAGAAAGACCCGGGGTATTTTTATGTCAGTGGTAGCCATGGGGAATTCAATACAATAGCTACGGAGCACCTGAAAAAGAAGGTGAGGCCAGTATTCACCACGAAAATGCTACTGCAAAGAAAAAGAATGTGAAACAGCATACTCATCAGTAAAACACATTTCTGATTACATCCTTTCTGCAGGAGAGATGCTGAAACACAAACAGGTATAAGACTCAGTCTCCACATGAAGGGAGCTCATATCCAAGGACACAAAACCACTTTAAAAACATAAATACTGGCCAGGTGCAGTGGCTCATGCCTGTAATCCCAGCACTATGGGAGGCTGAGGCGGGCAGATCTCCTGAGCTCAGGAGTTCGACACCATCTTGGGCAACATGGTGAAACCCTGTCTACTAAAATACAAAAAAATTAGCTGGGCGTGGTGGCATGTGGCTGTAGTCCCAGCTACTCGGGAGGCTGAGGCACGAGAATCGCTTGAGCCCTGGAGTTGGAGGTTGCAGTGAGCAGAGATTGCGCCACTGTACTCCAGTTTGGACTACAGAGTGAGACTCCATCTCAAAACAAAACAAAACAACAACAGCAAAAAACAACAAAACAAAACACAAATACTCTCACAGGGCATGGAGGTTTTCGAATGAACTTGGCCATAAGAATAAATTCAGAGTTGACAGAACAGACGTCTTAGGAATAAATGCCATTCTTATGCTAGACCTTGAAGAGTAGAAAATTAAGAGATGGTGGCCCAATTGAGAGGGGAAAATGCAGTTGAAACTTCAGACAGGGTTGATAAAGTGAGGACGATCATAGACATGGAGTACTTAGACATATTAATAAACAATAAAGACTTTACCTGTCTAATGGAAAACCTGGAGAAGTCGTCAGGAACCAGACTACAGTGGACCCTGGAGAACCTTGAAGAACATTTTTCCTTTTCAGGAAAACGGAGGTTACAGAGAAAAGTATATGTAATGATGCTACAGTAATGTATTTCTGTATAACAAATGACTCCAAACTTACGACTTAAAACAACCACCACTTATTATTTGTCTTGGTCCATTTTTTGCTGCTGTAACAGAATACCATAGACTGGGTAATTTATAAAGAAAAGACATGCATTGCTTACAGTTCTGGAAGATGGAAAGTCCAAGGTCAAGGGGCCCACGTCTGGCAAAAGCCTCCATGTAGCACCATCCCATGGAAGGGAAGAGCAAGAGAGGGTGAAAGCGAGAGAGAAGGAAGGGAGGGGTTGAACTTATCCTTTTATTAGGAAACACTCCTGAGATGACAGCATTAATCCATTCATGAGGGCAGAGCTGTCATGTCCTATTCACCTTCTAAAAGTCATACCTCTCATCACTGTTGCATTGGGGATTAAGTTTTCAACACATAAACTTTGGGGGATACATTCAAGCCACAGCATCATTTCTCATGATTTTGCATTCTAGACAGAGTTCAGCTATTAACAGACAGTGCTTCTGCTCAATGTGGTGTCTGCTGGGGCTAAGGGTTCACAAAGACTTCTTCATTCTTATGGCTGGCAGCTCAGCTAGGATGACAGGAACAGACGGGTAATTGTCTCCTTCCATGTAGCCTAGTTTGGGCCTATTCACAGTAGGGTAGTTTCAGGGTGGTCGAATGTTTTATTTGATGGCTTCCAGGAATGAGAAAGTAGAAGATGCCAGCCTTCATAAAGGACAGGCCCAGAACTAACAGTGTTACTTCCACTGAATTCTATCAGTCAGAGGAAGTCACAGTGCCAGCACAGATTCACAGCTGGAGGAGAGACTTTACCGCTTGATGTGAGGAGTAGCATGTACATGCTGGGAAGGAAAGAATTGATGGCAGCTATCTTTGAAGACTATTTCCCACAAAGAGAGTGCCCACTTTGGGAAGATGGAAGAATACTTTTTAATTAGAAAAAAAAAAAAAAACCTACATAAGGGAAGATTTTAAATCTGTGCCACCAGGTATTTCAGTGACACAGAATTAGATAAACAATATGCAATATATCAGAGGAATATTTAGTGAAGGAAATGAACTTTCATATAAAACATTGAAGTGCTTTTGTATTTATTTTTCTTTTTCTTTTTTTTTTTTTTTTTTGAGTTGGAGTCTTGCTCTGTCACCCAGGCTGGAGTGCCGTGTCATGATCTCAGCTCAGTGCCACCTCGGCCTCCCGGGCTCAAGTGATTCCTTGCCTCAGCTTCCTGAGTAGCTGGGATTATAGGCACCCGCCACCATGCCTGACTAATTTTTGTATTTTTAGTAGAGACAGGGTTTCGCCATGCTGTCCAGGCTGATCTCCAACTCCTGGACTCAAGTCATCCGCCAGCCTTGGCCTCCCAAAGTGCTGGGATTACAGGCGTGATCCACTGCACCCGGACTGCTTTTGTATTCTTACAGTGCCACATGCTTTCCACACTTCTCACTTATTGGATCCTCTTAACAGCCTGGGAAATAAGCAGGCAGGAGCCAGCCACTTTGGAACAAGCTTTATCTGTAGGGCTATAGGACATCTCAAAGCCTTCTTTGTCACATCTCTGAGCTGGCAACCCTGAGTACTCATCCCATTTGCTGGTGTCCCCAAAGGGGAGAGGATAGTAGAACTGGCACAAATCCTTCCTTTCCCACTGCCACCATACCTCTTTGCAGGGATCTCAAGGCTTTAGAGAAATGATTTGCAGCCATTCTTCACAAAAAATATCTGGGACCCTTGGTCAATTGAAAGTGCTAAATGAGAATGTGCTTGCAAAGAAGATTAGAGGAGGCTGGGCTGATTGGTATTACTAACAAGGGTCCAGGTGTTTTCACATGATAGCTCTCCACATTTACTGATTCTTTCTTCAGATGCATCTAACATTCTGGTTACCCCATCCTCCCAGTTTTTAATTCCAATTGTTAGAATTTTTATTTTTAAAATTATTATTATTATTATTATTATTATTATTGAGACAGAGTCTTGCTCTGTAGCCCAGGCTGGAGTGCAGTGGCCTGATCTTAGCTCACTTCAACCTCTGCCTCCCGGGTCCCCATTCAAGCCATTCTCCTGCCTCAGCCTCCCAAGTACCTGGGATTATAGGCACGTGCCACCACGCCTAGCTAATTTTTGTATTTTTAGTAGAGACGGGGTTTCACCATGTTGACCAGGCTGGTCTTGAACTCCTGACCTCGTGATCTGCCCCCCTCAGCCTCTCAAAGTGCTGGGATTACAGGCAAAAATTTGTTTTTATATCATGCATGTCACTTTTTCGTTTCCTGTTCCCCAAAGATATATTCAATATTGTATTTTATTTTTTATACGTTGAAACTTAGCTGTTTTATAGTCTGTAGCTAATAATTCCGATACCTTAAAATCTTTACAAGTCTATTTATTTTTGTGTCTTGTTTCTTCTGTGTGTCTGGTTGTCTTTTATTGTGTGTTGGTCATTTGTTTTGAGAAATAATGTGTAAGATGTACATGAAGTCCTAATCGAAGGTAATTTTCCTTTGAAAGGCCTCTGAAAACACTCTCAGTTTGACACCTACCTTAAACCAAATTCAAGGCTTGGGCTTTTCTGGAAGACTCAGATACTCACAATAAGGGTAGCAATGTTTTTACCCTCCCCCTGTGGATATAGCTCTTTGACATCCCAGCTTGTCACGGTGAGGATCTGCTGTCAAATTTCTTGCTTAGTGCTGACCCTGATTTTTTACTATTATTACCTCCTGTCACCTGCCTGACCACCATCAAGCTGTCAGTGAAAATTCAGATTTTCTGGAAATGGCAAACACCTTCAGGGAAAATGCAATTTTCTGACTTGTTTATTTCTCTGGGTTCCCATTTTCCTATAAATTTTGGCTTTATTGTTTTGTCAGATCATTGATGCTTTGAAGATGTTTTCTGTATTTTCTTCAAATATTTTGGTTGTTTTCTGCAGAAAAGTTGGAAAAAAAAATCTAGCCCCCTGTTCTCAGAAATAGAAAGTTGCTTCATTGTTATTCTATATGACCCCACAACAACCCGGTGAAAAATTTTCATTACTCTTACACAGAGATGAGAAAACTGAGGCCCAAAGTGGCCAAGTAACTCACTCAAAGTAACACAGCTAGCAAAAACTCCTATCTCTCTGACTGCAAACATTTTCATTTATTTTATCTGGATAAAAATCACCATCAGAACAACAACCACATCCAGCACCCAGTTCTTGATTTCTAGCACCGTCCTCCAATAAAAGGAACCAGGGTCCTTGGAGAAATAGCTGATTTTAGGGCTGGCCAGTGAATGCACAAGATGAGCCTGGAGCATGTTCTGGTGTCAGAAAGTAAGAAAGTCCTTGAAAAACAAACAAACAAAAGCTTGTGATGATGGCAGTATGTTCCAGGGACACAGGAAGGAGCCAACTGAGAGAGCTCCTTCCCAGTGACCAAGGCTGGAACAATTTGAGCAACAAAAATAATGTAATATTGGGTTATAACTCCAAGTATATAGTAATTAAGCCCAAGTCCATAATGATATGAATAAATGATTAAGCAAATAAATAAATGGGGGAAAGACACATCTTCCTTGCAGAAGAATCCCAAATAATATTTGTAGGTATTCCTCCCTCCAGGAGGTAAAGCTTAATTCCCCTTCTCTTTAGTGTGGGTTGGACTTTAGCAACTTGCTTTTATTTTAAAGAATAGATTATGGAAGAGAGAAATACTTATTTTACAATGGAGAAACCTGGTAGATCCTAACCAAGTGATTAAGGTACATATCAAATGATTAAGGTACATATCACCAGTGATAACATCATGTTGATAGCATGTACTCTGTGGTGTGATATGATGAAAAGAACACTTCCCTCTTCCCTGAAACCCATAACCCAAATCTAAGCGTGAGAAAACACATCAGACAAAACAAAATGGAGGAACGGTCTACAATTCAGGGGTGTCTAATCTTTTGGCCTCCCTGGGCCACATTGGAAGAAGAGTTGTCTTGGGCCCCACATAAAATACACTAACACTAGTGACAGCTGACGAGCTAAAAAAAACAAAAATCACAAAAACATCTCATAATGTTTTTTAAAAAGTTTATGAATTTGTACTGGGCCACATTCAAAGTTATCCTGGGCCTCATGTGGCCCATGGGCTGTGGATTTGCCAAGCTTGTCCATAATACCTGCCTAGTACCCATTAAAACTGACGATGCATGGAAGACGAGAAAAGACTGAAGCCATCACAGAGCAGAAGAGACTCAGGAGATATGGTAACTAAATACAATGCAGTATCATGTATTGAATCCTGGGACAGAAGAACATGAGTAGAAAAACTGGTAAAATCTGAATAAAGTCTATAGTTATTAGTAATGCATTAATATTGGTTTCCTAGTTTTTACAATGAGCCATAGTTATGGGGAAACTGGGTGAAGGGCAAATGAGAACTCTTGTTATCTTTGAAACTTTTCTGTAAATTTGAAAGTATTCCAAAATAAAAAGTTTACTAAAAAAACAAAAAGTTAGCATAGGGAGATAGCAATCAGCCTAAACTGTTTCTAAATAAATAAAACTTTCCAGAACACCCAGGACTTATACCGACGCTCCAGTCTGATGGAAATTAGAAATGCATATATATACTTAAAAATTATCTCATTTCATTCTCATTAAGACCTTCAAGGAAAGTAAGGCTAATATAATCCCCATTCAACAAATGAGTAAAACTAAGAAAGAGAGACATTAAATGACTGTCGAAGATTCTAGCTGAACACAGAAACCAGAGCTCCGAATCCCAAATGGAGGTGGGTTAAGCTCCAGGCATCACCCATTTGTAGTCCTCCTTGTTCCTTTGGCACACTCTAGGGCACTAGATGCCCTGAGGAGTTCATATGCTTCTCCAAAGCAGGCAAAATCCATCCACATATTCAGAAGGCAGTGCAAGTGCCCAGTTGTTCAACCGAGGCCCCACAAGAGAAGGAGTTGGGTTGAGGTTTATTTTTAAAATTCCAATCCCCCACAGTCCTTCAAATCAGATAACTAATGCCTATTCTTTTGTCTGGAACTTCAGTGTTGTCAGAGCAGGTCCATATTCATTCTTATATCATCCTCACAAGCACCCTTTAGTGTGAACAGCTGTTACTCCCCTGTAGGCACAGAGAAACTGAGGTTGACTTGCTGCTCAGTGAGCAAATAGTAAGCTGGGGCTTCTATGGCAGATTTCGGACTCCACTCCACTGCTGTCCTAGTGTCTCCCTAGCTGGGGAGGAGGATGAGCTGCTCCCCCTTGCTGCCCTCTCTGTGAGACCTTGGCTCGAAGGCCAGTGGTGGTGCCCCCGGGGCTCCATCCTAACAAGGTCTCTAAGTACACAAGATTCCTGTGTCCTGGCCATTAAGCATTTTTGCAGGGGTATGTAGAGAACAATTGTGTTCCTTGTTCTTGGAAAATTTAGTGTCCAGGCATTATCCTGTTTCAGTCTTCATTAACCCAGACATTTGTATTTATTTTGCTTCAGATAATTATCAGCATTAGTGAGTAGCTATCAGCTGAGACTCATTTTAAGGAAGAAAGCCTTTCAAAATGACCCAACAGTTAACAATTGTATATCTCCATTAAAACTGACTTCATTTTGCTTTTTAAAAAATAAAGCAAAGATCTCAGCTTCTTAAAGTGGAGAATTTTAATGCAAATGGCTATTTGACTGATAATCTCTTACTTTATTTTACACCGTGCCTTGAAGTTGACTGAAGTTACAGTAGCCTTATTTTGTTCCCTGAACTCCTGGACACAGCTGTCCTGCTCTGCCAGTGCCTGCCTGCATTGGGACGTATGGAAAAGAACAAGTACTTGTGAACATGTGGTCAGCCCATGCTGAGAAATCAATGCAGGAGGAAGCTTTTCAGTCTACCTGTGTTGAGAGAACCACAGCCCAGCTGTGGGTTGCAGATCAAAAAAGGACCCTATTCAGTGTGGTGAAAATAATACTTAGCAAAATGTTGAATCAGGTTCTATTTCCTGCCATGAGCTCAAATAATGGAATCATGTGAGCATGCAGGTGATGAAGGACCCACAGGGAAGTGAGGCAGGCTGTGTAACCCACGCACAGCAGGGAGGAAGGCCACTCCACCTCCCAGGGAACGTAGTGAATTGCCTGTAAAATTAGCAGTATTGAAAAACCAAAAACTCGTTCACTAAGAGAGAAAATAAATACTGATTGTAACCATGTCCAAGAAATCTGGACACCTCCCCCATATTTGATCATATTTACACCCATAGCTGCTACTCTCACCCACATGTTGCCTTCACGTCCTATTTGAGTCATGACTGTCAACTCTGAGATGCATCGTTTCTGTTGGCACCTTAGTGCACCTGAGGCTTTCTCCATGCCTCTAGGGCTGTTTTCATTTTGGTGTCCCCCTGATTTGCTAGGTGAAGCCCAGATTCACCAGCACAAGCACAAATCCTGTTTTGCACCCTTGCTGGGAAGTGGACACAGGAGCAGTTGCATCAGCCAGCAGCCTTCGTCTGCCCTACTGAAAGGAGCCATTCGTTTCCTCCCTGAGTGAGGGAGAGCTGCTCAGGAGCCCAGCTGCAATAAGGAGGCCAAGGAGGGCCTGCTGATGACATGTGATTGAGATTCTGACTGTATCTGCTCAAGTCTAAAATGACCACTAGGGTTGGGTTTTAGTTTCAGTTCAGTCAATCAAACCGTTGAATCATAGAGGAAGAAGAGCATTCAAGCCTGTTGATTGATGAGTCATTCAAGTAGTTCTGAGTAGACATTGCCAATGGCATCTTGCTTTATTCTCAGGAGATGTGGCTTGGAGGAAGAATGCGCAGAAGTGTGGTAGACACCAGGCCCCCAAGCCAGGATGCTGCTTGGCTCCTTTGAACGTAGAAGATGGATTACACTCGTTTACTATTTTAATCTAAGCATAAAGTATAAATGCAGTCACTGCTTAGTGTCACAAAGGCTTGTGATTAAAGAACACACAAAAAAAAATTAGGAGAGAGTTCTAAGCTGGAAAGATGGTGCTGGGATATAGCCCTTCTCAAATCTGAACTTCAAGAAAAACAGATAGCCCACACCCATACCCGCCGGGCTTAGAAACAGTACATGTGCCCTGAACTTCCTACAAATGCGGTGTTGGTTGTTTTCCATGCCACATTGAATGTTTCTTTTTAATGAACACTCAGATTTCCCATCCTTCTATTTCTCATTCCCCAGACCACCTGGATCAAGAGACACATTCAGACGCTAGAATTGAATGTAACATGAACTAAGGTTTAGGCACAGCATATTGAAAGCATTCATTGGAGTGGGGAAGAGAGATGGGGTTTCTCGGTCACTCACCTCCTACCCATAGACTTCTGTTTTTCTCTGTAATGAATTTGAGGGAAAAAAAAAAAAAACTGTTTCCCTCACCTCCACTCCATTCACCCCACCCACCCCATCCAGTAAGGCCCATCTGATTTGGCTTCAAGGCAGTGAGAACCCCTGGCTGTGTCATCCTGACTGAAGCTGGCATGAGGTGTAAGCACAGGGACCTACTCTGCCAGGGTGGGAAGGGACAGCCCCTGGCTGTGGTCAGTGAGTTGAGGATGTTATTGAAATGACATTGAAATGGAGTGATCATACCGGAAATGCAACTGGGAGTCACATTTTTAAATCCTCTTTGATTTGAAAGCATCCCCAGAACTGGTTTTAACCTAGCTTCACATCTGTAGGACTCCTGGTTCACCACCTCTTGGAGACAGCAGGGACCAACTAGAATGTGGGTGTCTCCTGTTCCACCTTCTCCTCCCAGTGCAAAAGACTCTAAAACAGGGAAATAGGGAAAATATGAGTACAAACAGTGTCCTGCTAAGAGACGAGAAAATCTCTCTTTTCCCTTCCCCCTTCCATCTGCTCCTGACCTTGCATGCTCCTCAGTGGTATAAAATACATTGCTGAACCTATAAATGCAGACCATTCAAGTCAGGTTAAGAAAATCTAAATGGGATTTGGTTTCTTCAGTTTGGCCAGTAAAAGGGACCCTGAGGTCACCCTGCTGCAATCCCTGTTTCCTCATGGCAGCCACCTGGTCCACTCTCATGCTATGCCTCACAGTACAGCTTTGTGTATCTGGAGACTGAGCTGGGATCATTCTATTTTCTTCATTCAAGGGTAACTAATAAGCACAAGAGAGGGCAAATTGTTTTGCTGAGCTCCAGCCTCTGAGTTTCTCTGGCAGCTGCATTGTCCTGGTCTCCTTGGGGAGATGCTTAAAGTGCTGGGAAATTGGGTGCCCTTCTCCGTGAGTGTCTTTGGGTTCATACCCTCGGTCCAGGATGCACAGTGAGAATTTCTGACTGGTGAAACTTGTACCTAAGAATAGCCATGTTGCACAAAAAAAAAAGACCTCTCAGGAGATGAGACTCATCTGAGTCCAATCAGACTCCAGTAATGCAGTTAAGGATAGTGGATTTTATTATGATTCCAGGGAATTTAAATAAATTACTGAACTTGAAACAGAAATGACCCCAGTATATCCATTTTTGTATAAATTGATATTCTAGCTAGAAATCAATAATTTTTATAGTGTAAAATGTGTTTGTAGTTGCTTTTCTTTTTTCTGATGGTAAGTTACCTTTTCCCTTTGATTTTACAGACGAGACATTGCTGTGGCCTGTTCCATTTCACTTCTCTTCCCTTCTCTGGGGGACTCAAAGTGTTTGGTACTTAGTAACCATTAAAAGATAGCACATAGGGGCCAAGCGCTGTGGCTCACGCCTGTAATCCCAGCCCTTTGGGAGGCTGAGGAGGGCGGATCACTTGAGGCCAGGAGTTCAAGACCAGCCTGGCCAACATGGTAAAACCCCATCTCTACTGAAGAAAACATGAAAAATTAGCCAGGCGTGGTGGCATGCGCCTGTAATCCCAGTTACTAGGGAGGCTGAGGCATGAGAATCACTTGAACCTGGGAAATGGGGGTTGCAGTGAGCCAAGATTGTGCCACTGCACTCCAGCCTGGGAGACAGAGCTAGACTGTGTCTCAAAAAAAATTAAAAAATAAATAAATAAAATAAAAATAAAAAAGCATGTAGGGGTGACCGCATTTTAAGACACAGAGAAGGGACAGGACTTAACTTGTGAGAGCCGATACATCTGTGGAAGGAAATTAAGGACTCTTTGCATCTTCCTTTCCTGGACAGCTAGTCATTCACATCACAGATTGTGGCCTTGAACCGCTAGGCATTGATTCCATTAACCTAATTGGCTATTGCTGAGACAACATAAGTAAAAATGTCCAGTTCAGGTGTATGACTTTTTCGGGACTTTGGGGATGCAGGTGTCCTATTAATCTGCATAACGGTTCCATGAGTGAGTTCCTTTTGTGATAATTTAGCAAGCTGCTATATACCTATTATGCTTCACCTAAAAAGCATAAAAGGAAACAAAAAATAATCTCCTGGTGCTTATATAAAACATTTTTGTTAAAATCTAACTTGAAAGTTATTCTGTGATTTTTTTTTTAATGAAGGTCTTTTTTAAGAGAACCATAAATTCACAATAATGCAGAGATTTCATGTCCCTTTACTTAGTTTCCCCCATTGGCAACATCTTGTACAACTATAGCTTTACAATATCACACCCAGGATTTTGATACAATGACATTGATACAGTGAAGATACAGAGCATTTTTGTCACCACTTGTGGCTCCTATAGCCACACCCTCTTCCCTTCCTTTACCCTCTCTTTAATCCCAGGTGACTACTAAGCTGTTCTCCATGTTTATAATTTTGTCATTTCAGGAACGTTGTATAAATGAAATCACATAATATGCAACCTTTGGAATTGGCTTTTTTCACCGAGCATAATTTTCTGAAGATTCATCCAGGTGGTCGCACATATCAATGGTCTCTTCCTTTTTATCGCTAAGTAGTATTCCACACTACACATGGACTGCAGTTTGTTGAACCACTCACACATTGAAGGATATGTGGATTGTTTTCAGCTTCTGACATTTAGGAATAGAATAAATAAAATAAATTTCATTTTCCCATACAGGATTTTGTGTGAATATAGGTTTTAATTTCTCTGTAGTAGATGTTCAGGGGTTCCATTGCTGGGTCGCACGGTAGGTGCATGTTGACATTTTTAAGAAATTACCAAACTTTTTTTTAGAGTGGCTGTAACATTTTACATTCCCACAATCAGTGTAGAAGTGATCCAGTCTCTTCACATCCTCACTAGCATTGGGTGTTGTCATTACTTTCTATGTTAACCATTCTGATATGTATGTAGTATATTTCATTGTAGCTTTAGTTTGCATTTACTTAATGGCTAATGATGTTGAGTATCTTTTCATATGCTTATTTGCCATCTGTATGTTCTCTTTGTTGAAAAGTTTGTTCACTTCATTTGCCCATTTCTAATTGGATTGTTATTTTTTTAAACTGTTTATATGTTCTAGATACTAGTCCTTTGTCAGATATGTAGCTTGCAAATATTTTCTCCTAATTTATAGCTTGCCTTCTTACTCTTTTAATATGGTCTTCAATAGAGCAAAAGTTTTTAATTTAATAAAGTCTAATTTATCCATTTTTCCTTTTATGGACTGTAATGTACTTTTACTGTCAAGTCTAAAAACTTTTCACCTATTCCTAGATCCTGAAGGTATTATCCTATGGGCTTTATCTAAAAATTTTATACTTTTACATTTTTCATTGAGCCATGATCCATTTTTAGTTACTTTTTATATAAGGTAGGAAACTTAGGTTGAGATTCCTTTTTGCTTGTTGGTTTTTTTGTGTACCAATGTCCAATTGCTCCAATACTAGTAGTTGAAAAGGCTATATTTCCCATGTTAAATTGCCTTAACACCTTTAAAAATTAGTTGGTCGTATTTGTATGGTTCTATTTCTGCATTTTCCTACTTTATCTATGCATCTGTGTGTCTATCCCTTCACCAATACCACATGGTCTTAATTAATATAGTTACATAAGTCTTAAAATATGGTAGTTTGATTCCACCTCTTTATTATTTTACAAAATCACTTTAGCTATTCTAATTCCTTTGCCTTTTTATAGAAATTTTAGGATAATCTTGCCTATATTTACAACAAATCTTTCTGGGATTTTGATAGGTATTGCATTAAACCTGTAAGTTAATTTGAGGAGAAATTTCATCTTACTGTGCTGAATCTTCCAGTCTCTGAATATGGTATGTCTCTCTACTTATAGAGATCTACACTGATTTATTTCGTCAGCATTTTACTGTGTTCAGCACACAAGTCCTAGTCTTCTACATGCTTTGTTGGATTACATCTATGATTGTAAATGGTATTGCATATTTAATTTTAGTGTCTGCATATCCATTACTATTATATGGAAATAAAACTATTTTTATATGTTTTATATATTTTATATGTTTTATCAACATATATTTTATATGTTATCTTTTATCCTACGATCTTGCTCAACTTGTTGAATCTAGAAGTTCTTATAGATTCCTTGGAATTTGCCATATAGACAAACATGTTATCTGCAAATAGAGACAGTATTTCACTGTCTGTGTTGACAATTCTTTTCTTTTAGCACCTGAACACATTTCTGGCTTTCATAGTTTCTAATGAAAATCTGCTGCCAATTGTTTTTTTCTCCCTTGTAAGTAAAATGTCATTTCTCTTTCTCTGCTTTTAAGATTAAAAACTATTTATGATGCTATTTATGATGTGCCTTTGAATAAATTTCTTTGGATTTATGCTGTTTGGGGTGGGCTCAGCTTCGTGAATTTGTTGCTTTATCTCTTTTGCCAAATCTGGGGAGTTTTCAGCCAATTTTTCAAGTACTTTTCTGCCCAGCCCACTTCCTCTTCTCTTTTCAGAACACTGATGACACTTAGGTTAAATCATTTTTTAAAAATAATTACACACGTTCCTGACCCTCTGTTCATTATATATTCAGTCCATTTTCTGTCTATTATTGAGGTTCAGTAATTTTATTGTGCCATCTTTCAGTTCACCAATTCCTTCCACTGTCCCCTCCATTTTGCTGTCAAAACCATCCACTGAGTTTTTAATTTGGGTCATTGTACTTTTCAGTTCTATAATTTCTATTTGGGCTCCTTTGTATCTACTTTTCCATTGCTAAGATTTTCTGTTTCTTTGCTGAAACTTTTTTTTTTCATTGATTTCAAGTGTGTTTATAATTGCTCATTGAAACAGTTTTATAATGACTGCTTTAAAAACTTTGTCAGATAATCCCACTATCTCTGTCATGTTGGCATTGACATCTATTGATTGTCTTTTTTCACCCAGTTTGACATCTTCCTGGTTCTTGATAGGAAGTGACTTTTGATCGAAACATGAACATCTTGGCTATTAAATTATAAAACTCTGGATCTTACTTAAATCTTCTGTTTTAGCTGGTTTCCTCTAACACTGTTCCAGTGGGGAAAAGGGGGTGCATCGCCTCATTACTGCCTTATAGGGATAGTAGTCTAGGTTCTCTACTTAGTCTCTGTTGACATCCAAAGGGCTGGGGACTCCTTGTTATTTCTGGGTGGAAGTGGGAGTTTTAGTTACTAACTAGGCCTCCACTGACATCTCACTGATGGGGAGGGCAGGAAAGCCACATTACGGTTCCCTAAAGGGCCTTTACTCACACTGGCAGTGACTCTGTTACCGCCATGTGATGACTAAGTCTTGACTCCCACTAGGCCTTCTCTGACAGCACCCCATCTGGTAAAAGGAAGGATGCCTCTCTACTTCCAGGTTGAGGTGGAGGTACCAGCTCCCCATGTGGTCTCCGCTGACACCATGGTGGGTACCTCACTATAGCGTGTTGTGGCTGTAAGAGCAAGCTCCCCCATTTAGCCTTTAGAACTATGGCAGAGGTTGGGGGCATGGAATGCACAGTTTGTTCAAACTAGGCTTTTGTTAGGATTTTTGTGTACGTCTGTTGGTGGTTCCAGGTTGCCAGCTTTTTTTAGCTCCAGTGTGGGATACATGAGGCAAAAAGAAAATGCAAGGAATTCACCACTGTGTCATTCCTTGAATCCTATGCTTCCTAGATAGCCTGATTTCTCTTCACCTCTCAGAATCTTCTAAGATTTGTTTTACATATAATATCCAAGGATTCAGTTGTACTTAGTAGGAGAAATAGGGAAAAACATATCCATCTTCTTAGAAGTGACTTTAACTATAGTTTTTTTTGTTGTTGTTGTTGTTGGTTTTTTTGGTTTTTGTTGTTGTTGTTTTTTGAGATGGAGTTTTTGCTCTTGTTGCCCAGGCTGGAGTGCAATGGCACGATCTCGGCTTACCACAACCTCTGCCTCCTGGATTCAAGTGATTCTCTTGCCTCAGTCTCCCAAGTAGCTGGGATTACAGGCATGTGCCTCCACGCCCAGCTAATTTTGTATTTTTAGTAGAGACAGGGTTTCTCCATGTTGGTCACGCTGGTCTTGAACTCCCGATCTCATGTGATCTGCCCGCCTTGGCTTCCCAAAGTGTTAGGATTACAGGCGTGAGTCACCACGCCCGGCCTTTGACTACAGTTTTTGAGAAGAGAAAATGGTATCTGAAAGGACTGGAGAGCTTTCTGAGTTCGTTTGGGCCCAGATCAGTGTTCTCCATGGAACTTCAATTTTTTGAGCCCCATTTGATTAGAACCACCCCAATCCCTCTGTCCTCATAAGAAGTCTGCCTTTAACTGTTTCTTCCAGCAGCAGTACTTACTTGACTTTATGTAGACAATCCTTTCTAATCTTTGCTGGCTTGAGAACCATTCAATCTTGATTCCTATGAGTCTAAGCCAGTAATTTTCCTAGGGAAAGAGTTGACCTTTCTATGGCAAAATTAGGGAAATAAAATGTATCGGGTTTTTCATAATGCAAGATAAGTTTTCTTTAAGAGATTATATTATTATATTCTCCCTATATTTTAGGTGCTGAAAGTTACCCTTTAAATAAAATAATAATCATAGACAGTTCTTTTTTGTTATCCTTACTTGACAAAAGAGATAAGTTGGCAATCTCATGTTGGTTCCCCCCAAATTGCTTTGTTTCCCTTTATTTTTCTTTTAATTTTAAAAATAGAGGTCTATTTATATACATTGAAGTGCATGAATCTTTTTTTTTTTTTTTTTTTTTTTGGAGACAGAGTTTCACTCTTGCTGCCGAGGCTGGAGTGCAATGGCACAATCTTGGCTCACCTCAACCTCTGCCTCCCAGGTTCAAGCGATTCTCCTGCCTCAGCCTCCCAAGTAGCGAGGATTACAGGCATGTGCCACCACGCCTGGCTAATTTTTGTATTTTTAGTAGAGACAGGGTTTCTCCATATTGGTCAGGCTGGTCTCGTCCCGACCTCAGGTGATACCGCCCGCCTTGGCCTTCCAAAGTGCTGGGATTACTGGCGTGAGCCACCATGCCCGGCCGAAGCGCACAAATCTTAATGGTGCAGTTCAGCGAGTTTTGACAAATAGCAGACTGTATAATGCAGATCTCAGTCATGTTAAAGAAAGTGTCCATCACCCAATAAATTTCTCTCAGACACTTTTCCATCAATTCCTCACCCTGACCCCTGAGTTTCTAACTTTATTATAAGAGCTCAGTTTGCCTGCTCCAGAGCTTCGTAGGAATGGAAGCAGATAGATGTAGGTTTCTTTTGCTCAGTATAATGTTTCTGAGATATTTGATGATTCATTCCTTTTTTAAATTAATTTGTTTATTTTTGCTGAGTAGTATTTCATTGTATCGGCTCAGCCCATCTGTCCTCCCAAATGCTCATCTCTCTAGAACTCACCTAATCAGAGTCTCCAGGAACTGGCCTTGTTACCTCCAGCTGACCTCAGCTGCATCATTCCATAGGTATTAAGGTGCAGTGTTACTTATACTCATCTGTGGGAAGAAAAAATAACTGAAGACTTAAGACTCACTTCTTTTTTCTTTCATTAACACAGTTTGTATTGAAAAAAATGTTTATTCTCCTATTAATGGACATTTAAGGTGTTTATGGACTGATGTTATGAATAAGATTGTCAGGAATATTTTTGTGGAAGATGTTTTATTATATCAAATTTAGAAACATTTCAACCATTACATCTTCAAGTATTTTATGTCTCATTCTTTCTGACTTCTGAGATTCCAATGGCATGTATGTTGGATTGCCAATATATTCCCACATGGTACTGATGGCCTGTTCATTTTTTTTTCTCTTTGCCCCATTTGGAATAATTTCTATGAATCTGTTTTCAAGATTATTGATTTTTGTTCCGCAATACTCACTCTGCTGTTAAACTCATTAGTGAATTTTTATCTCAAATATCCCATTTTTTCAGATCTAGAATTTTCCTTTCATTCTTTCTTAGGAGTTACATTTATCTCAGAAAATATCCCATATTAATCTATTATATCCATTTTTCTCCTTCTATTTTTTTTTTTTTTTTTTTTTTTTTGAGACAGAGTCTCGCTCTTTCACCCAGGCTGGAGTGCAGTGGCATGATCTTGGCTCACTGCAACTTCTGCCTCCCAGGTTCAAGCAATTCTTGTGTCTCAGCCTCCCAAGTAGCTGGGATTACAGACATGCACCACCATGCCTGGCTAATTTTTGTATTTTTAGTAGAGACAGGGTTTCACTATGTTGGCCAGGCTGGTCTCGAACTCCCGGCTTCAAGCAATCCACCCGCCTCAGCTTCCCAAAGTGTGGAATTACAAGCATGAGCCACCGTGCCTGGCCTTCTCCTTGTAAATTCTTGAACACATTTATAATAGTTGTTTTTAAATCTTTGTCCATTAATTCCGGTAACTGGTCATCTCTAAGTCGGCTACTGATTGTGCTTTCTTTAGATTTGGGGTCACATTTTCCTGCTTCTTTGCAGGTCTAATAACTTATTATTGTACTTCAAACATTGTCTATAACAGATTTTACTTTCTTTTGTTTATTTTCCTTTCTTTTGTCTGGTGGTTAGGGTCAGGGTCTAGTCATTAAGATTCCTCCTAGAGTCAGGTTGAGCAGGAGCTGCTTTACTTAGACTGAGTTCACTGTGCTTAGTCCACCCACCCCATCACACTACCGTCTTTATTCTTTCAGAGTTTGAGCTGTGAAAATGGTGAACTACAGTTTCAGATATCTTTGATTCACCTTTGGGTTGAACTCCAGCGCAGCTCCAAAGTCTATGCACCACAAGGATACATGGGACCATGCAAATTTCCTCTGCTTTTCAGTTTCCATGAACTGCTGCTTTCATAGCAAAATTCTGGGTTGAGGGTAAGAATCGCTAGGCCAAGTGTTTGTTTCTGTGCTAGGAGTTCTTCCCAATTCCAGTCCATCTGGCCATTTTTCTCATCCCTTCAAAGTCTCTCCATCTCTGTTAGGCCCAGTCTTCTGTCCACCTGTCCCCAAAACAGGCACCTACCCCATGTGTGGAAGCTTCTGTGGATGTTGGCTTACCAAGAAAGAGCTCATCTCTCTGAAATCACTTCATTAACGTTACTTTCTTATGTATAGTGCTTTTCAGTAGCCCCATAAAACATCTGATTTTTACTTTGTTCAGATTCTTCAGTTTGTAACCATGGAGCAAAATTCTCTTGAATCTATCTACATTTTAACTAGGAGCCCTCCCAGTTGATTTTCAGATCATTTGGGACAATGAAGTTGAATATTCCAGGACCCACTTACACAGAATTTCTCCATAATAACTTTGGACTCTTATTGTATTTTTAGTTTTGGCAGTTTGTGGGGATTTTGCCTCTTGAAAATTTTTGACTGAAGATTATTCCTTCTTGAGTATGTTTGCATTTCTTTGGGTTTGTACTTACAAAACTAAACTATCAGTTGATTAAGTTTTTTTAATTTATTTTATTTATTTATTTTTTTTAAACAGGATCTCACTCTGTCACCCAGGTTGGAGTGCAGTGGCATGATCTTGGCTTTCTGCAACCTCCACCTCCTGGGCTCAAGCAATCCACCCACGTCAGCCTCCCGCATAGCTAGGACTATAGGCATGAGCCACCACTCTCGGCTAATTTTTGTATTTTTTGTAGAGATGGGGTTTCACCATGTTGCCCAGACTTGTCTGGAACTCCTGAGCTCAAGCAATCCACCCACCTCGGCCTCCCAAAATGCTGAAATTACAGGCATGAGCCACTGTGATGCCATATTTTTTATATGAGAAGTGTGCAGCTAATACTCCAGCTTTATTACAACTACCTAATTGAATATTCTTTCTTGTTTCATGTAAATGCCTTTGTCTGTAGAAAATGCTACTATGAGCAGCATTGTGGTTACTTTAATCCCATTGCCAAAACATTTATATGGTTTCCTGTATTCTAAAGGGAAAGGTATATGCACTTGTCTTCTTTTTAAACTTTTCCTCTTATGAATCAGTAGCAGTATGAATAAATGTCAGAAGTTCTTATTAAGTGGTTAATGTTGATGCCTCTGTCTCAGCATTCTTGTTTTAGGTAATGATGATTAAGCAAACTTTGTCATGGAAATACCAGAGTTAGAAAGAAATTGTATTTATTACTAACTAGAGAACCCATGATAATAACAATAATATTTATAAATAATCAACCTGCGCCAAGTTTACTAAATCCTTCCATCTTAGAGATAAGGAAGGTAGTATGGCTTGGAAGTGGCAATGTCAGAGTTCAAAGCCCTTTTTCTCTACCAAAGTGGACATTGTCAAAATACTTAGTAAACAGCCAAATTGTGTACTCTTTAGTTGAAGAAAATTGCAGTAGAAAGGACATTTTAAAGGTAAATTTTCTTCAAGTTTAATTATTTAGTGAGGGTAAACAAAAGTGATTTTGTTGTTGTTTGGTAAGGAAGGCAATTTCTCTATTCTAACATTTCAGATTATGCTAAATATTGTTTATCAACTGAAGGAACAAATCAACATAAAATATAATTTAAATTGATTCAGAGAAAATATTAGCTGGAGTCCTGATTATTTAATAGACCTGTGGAATGTCATTTTATGCTAATGAAACTTGGTTGCAGAGAAAACCAATGAGAATGTATGTGTTCCTGGGACCAGGAGACGCACCAAGCTAAGGTCTGACCCTCCCTGGAGGAGCCAGCCAGTGGGCAATGAAAACAGGAATGGAGCTCCCCTTTCTAGTAGTTGTTGGGTAAATTGAGAGAAGTAGAATCACAGCACACGCTATGAGATTATGCCTCGTGTGAGTGTTTCAGGTTTATTTTTCTTTCATTGACTGCTTAGTCAGGCATAAGGACTAAGATGGGAAATTAGCTGCCACAGACCTACCATCTGATCCTTTACAGAATGTTTGTCTAAAGGGAAAGCAATTCTTCAGGATAAGTGAGCGAGGAGGAGATAAGCCAGGCCAAGGCCTCTGTGCATTCAGCGAGTTTGGAAGTCTGCAAAAAGTGAGAATAGGTGCAGGTTAACTACTTGATTGTGCCCATTTTCACCAGTCACGATTTGCCAGTCCATGTGCTGCTCTTTTGAAGGCACTTGAATTGTGTTTGACTTAAGGTGGTGATCCAAAGCAGCAGGGAGGGGCCTGTTGACCAGTGTGGAAGGGCACTCCCAATTTACTGAAGGAGAATCTGCAGAACAGAGTTGAAGCCTTGTCCTTCTGCAGGTAAAGGTCCTTCTAGGTCATCAAGCTGGACTTTTCACATGGTAGCTGGCTCTGAAGCCGATATCCTTGGCACCTTCCTCCGGTGGCAACATCATAGAGTACTCCTGGGCACCATTACTGCCCTGGTCCTCTCAGAGAATCTGAGCCAGTGTGGCTGGGCAGATCCATGTTCTCCACACTAGGCACACACAGAATACAGATTCTGACTTAGGAAGAACGTCAAGGGTCACACGTCTGCCACAGTGGTGGAGGCATTTGTCAGTGCAGCACCACATATCCTCCAGCAACTGGAAGCAGTGAGGCACTGGGGGAAAAGATGAAGGCAAAAGGGTAGACAAGGCTTTAGAAAAAAAAAGCCCTGGATTAAAACTCTAGTTGCATCAGTTACAAGTTATGTGACTTAAATTCTTTAAGCCTTGGTTTTCTCATCTGTAAAATGGGTTGATACCTGATAGAGTTGTTATGAGTACTGAATAAGACAGTGAACCTAAAGCCCTCCTCTGTAATCTGGCACACAGTAGTTGTCCAGGAAATGTCAGCATGGGGCAGAACACCGAAGACCTTGGTTACATATGTAAAGTGCCATATGTTGCCACATAGCATTGTTATAAAGATGCTGGAGATAGAGCAGACTAAGTCAAAGACAGCTAAGTAGCTCCCTTCTGTACTTCATGCCTTTACCTGCCTGGCCCTCCGGGATGGAATGTGGAAAGCATAGATACTGCACAGCAGAGATGGATCCTTGGCAAAGGCTGGAGTAACAAGCTATGAATTGTTGATTGGGGACTAGGGTTGCACGAGACAAGCATGGAATAAAGGTGGCCAGAGGCACCTGCCAGAATGCCAGTTATGTGTCACAGCAGAAGCAAAGGTGATAAATGACAGCCACAAGTAGCACAGAACCTCATTTTACCAACCACTTTAATCTTATTCCCTCATCACATCTTTTAGATTAAAAGATGTTTGTTCATTAATTAAGGTTCCCCTTCCTGTAAAGTTTCTAGCTCAAAATCTAGTTAACCTAAAATGAAGTCAACTGAAAAATAATGGACAGGAAATTACATTAATGGCTCACCAATATCTAACAATCCCTTAGAAAGTAAGAGTTGGCTGCATAGAGATTCTTTTTGGAAAGGAGGTGGAATTGATTCCTTATAGCAAGTAAGTTTATTTGTTGTTTTGCTTAGTCAGGTTAAAAATTTCTATTTCTGTGCATTAACCGGTGATAATGACTGATACTTATTCTGTGGGCAGGCAGCCTGGACAGTTCTTTGGCTAGTCTTACCTGGGATCACTCCTGTGGCTGCAGTCATCTGAGTTCAACAGGACTAGGATGTCCAAGATGGCCTCTCTCTCATATCTGGCAGTGGGTGCTGGCTGTTGGCCAAGGCACCTTGGTCCATCTCTACGTGGCCTTTTGTCCTCCAGCAGGCTAGACTGGGCTTCTGCACAGCAGGTATTCTCACGGTTATAGGAGAGTGATAATGGGGGATTCAAAGCTTCTTAAGGCCTAAACTCTGGAAATCACACAGTGACATGTTCCCCATATTCTACTGGCAAAGCAAGTCATAACTCAGCCCAGATTAAAGGGATGGAGAAAAAGACTCTACCAAGGTAGCCAGACGAAAGGGGCTAATGAAGGGACATTTCAAGTTTGGGTAAGGGATTTTTCACAAAAAACAGCATGTGGTCATCTTATGCTGAGAACAGGGGTGAGACATATGGGAAGAGGCAGGAAAACCTTCTGCATGGAGTCCTAGGAATAGCTGGGGTGTCCCTCCAAGTGTACTGGGCACTTCCCACCCTGAACATCTATTATAGGACTAACACCATGCCATGCTGGGAAAATATGGTTTGTTCAGAGGACTGCAAAGCTTAGTCACTGCCCATCCTTGGCCATCCTACTCTCCCAACTGAAATAAGGAAACTGTAGGGAGAGTCAAAAAGAGCAGAAAAATAAATTGAGTACTGCAACTAGATGGAGGTGGGAAGCCAAACTGATGTTACAATTTTTCCCTCACTCCCAAATATACATATTAATATAGTCAAACACAGTGTCATCCCTTGAGGGCTGAGTGCTTCTGCTTTCTTTAAAGCAGATATTCTCAAATTCCACTCACTGGCTATTTCCAGTGGACTGTACATTCTTATTGCTTGTAGAGCAATAGTGCCCATGTTTAGGTTTGACCTTAAAAAATGTTTTTGCAAGAACCTATAACTTGTTCATACTTTTTTATTTTTAAAGTATACCTATTCATTTGTCTTTTTCAAAAGCTGGTGAATTTTCTTTGTAAAGATATGGGTAAGCTTGAAGTACTTTGTCCAGCATAAATGGGTCATAAACTGGCAGGGCAGAGGACCCCTACACTATGTGCAATTTTTATGCTTATAGTATGGAAGCATGTTTGGTAACAAAACTAAACTTTAATAATACACTGCTTAGCCCCATATAAAAATACCCCCTGGTAATAAAAATACTGTAACTGTGTAATAATCAATGCTATATTATCTTCTCAAGTTTATTTTGTATTAAAGAGATCATATATTTTTAAAAATTTTTAAAACGCCTCAACAGCTTCACGATGTGAGACCTGTTCCTGTAGTGTGTACCATTAAACCTCTAAAGTCCAGAATTGTACCTAACACTGGGTAGGAATCCAGCATACCATTTGTGAGTGAAAGGATGGTAATTATTATTATCATCTTGACAGCCAGGAACAGAGGTGGGTGGGTACCTGGAATCAGAGTCAAACAATAACTAAGAGTCAAACAATAACTAACAGGAATGATGCCGGATCCGTCCATTGAGACAATAATCATTCTGAGGTTTCTGTTGCAGTCTAGGAAAAATGGAGAAGGCTAGAAGGAGTATTTTAAACTGCTCCAGAACTTTAGATTTAGAAAGAATCTTGGCAGTCAACTCCTCTTCACAGCCAGTTCATTTTTCTTCTCTAGGGTGCCATTGGAGGGCACACTCCCTGAACACTTATGAGTGAAGAAACCCTCCTTTTCACCAGCCATTGGGTTCCTTTTCAAGTTTATTTTTTTAAAATTTTCTTTATATTGAAATCTGCCTCATTTAATTCCTACCTCTGGCCCTACGTTCTGTTTTTGGCACCAGATAGATAAAACCCATACTCTATTTTACACTCATTCAAATCATTGTATTTCCCCCACCGGTGAATATATTACCAAAGTTGGTTGAGTTTCATAATGCAAACCCAAAGGGAAAATTATCTTGAATAATCATATGACAATATGTGGAAAGTTTAGGGGCTGTGTACGCCACCTCATGGTTTTGAACTGTGTGGTTAAAGACGTTGAGAGTTGACAGATTAGTCAGGGATTTTTCAAGAGTATTAATTACAAACTTTGAAATCTTGGTCAGTGAAAGTTCATTTTAGTGCATCTTGCAAATACGATCAAAGGTCTTTTCAGTACTGATTTGATGATGCTTAACCACAGTGTGTGAAGAATGAAGTTTTTCATTAGAAATTACTGGTGTAATAGAGCACATTTTCAGGGAAGATGTATTGTTGGACTATTACAATTCATGCTCTTCCCCCACCATATCCCTACCCTCTATATTCCCCATCCCCTATTTCCTCCACCTTCCTCCTTGGGACCTCACTGAAAACCTGAAATGCTCTGAAAACCTGAAATGGCGTTTTGGACTGCTGCAAGGGAAACTGTGATCTTAACAACATCAGTGCGGCTCAGACATGACCACCATGTGAGGGCAAAGGTGGGGCTGGTGTAAGTGATGTTGTTAAACCTGTAAAAATAAACCATGAAAACCTGGGGATTTACTGTGATTTGGGGAGTGAAACAAATTTACCACTGGCCGAAAACTTGAAAAATGGAGTACAATGTGTAGATCAGAAGAAAAGAAAGCCGTCCCTCTGCCCTTGTGTAGTTTTAGAAAAACAATCTTATTAGTTTGGTAGCTTTTTTTCCTGAAAATAAAAAAAAAAATACATTGGCACCTAAGCCATGGAAAATGAAATAAAAATACACCAGTGCAGCTTCCAAAACACTGACTTGCATCTCCCTCTCCTATCCGCCGGGAATGTCTTATCCCTGCCTTCCAGTGGCTGCCAGAACCAAGGGCATCCGCGGCGTTCCTTGGCATTGGCGTTAACAGCAGATGGATTTTCCGCAGCGGCCAGGCGGAAGATGCCTAGCATTGGTCCGCCGTCTCACTGTACTGAATTTCAAGAATCATGGCCTACTGCCAGCCAGGTCAGGACCGAAGGCGCTAGTCTGGGGAGACTGGAGCAGGTCTCTAGTGGTTCACCTGTTCGGAGGCTCTTCCTGTTCAGTTCCCTCTGCGCGCCAGAGGGTGGCACCCCAGGCACTCCAGAGGTGGAGAGGAGGGGACGACAGGGGAGGCAAAGAGAGAGGAGCGGAGGGAAGGACCAGGGAGGAAGGACCAAGGAGGGAGCTTTAATAAATTCTCAGACCTTGGTCTCGAGTTCCCGGCTAATTTGGGGGCAAAGCCGACCGACCCCACGTCCACGCCCACCCCCTTACGGGAAAAGCCGGGGTTTCCACTGGGCTAGGTGTCAGAGTTGGGAATGTCTAAAACAAAAAAGGCTTCCGAGGGTTATTCATGGCCAACAGTTTCCACAGGAGAATCCAAAGGGAAACTAGTTTCCGGGGCCGCTGTGTGTGCGGGTGCTTGGTGGGCTGAAAGCTGCTGTCACTAGATGGCTGTAAGTGTGCCAACATCTGACCTGTCCCATTGTGTTGTGTTTTGCAGTTGCTGGATTTGTGCGACTCGGTGAAGGATGATGCCCGGAGGGTGATCTCGACCTTTAACATTCCACACACCTACCTCCACGCACCAATCGCCGGAATCTCCAACCCGCGGGCCGCGTGGGCTTTCTACCCTGCACCGCTGCAGCCGCGGCCACGGGAAGAGGCGCGCTCCCGGCGGCCCAAGCTGGGAGCCAAGCTCTAACGGGTGTGGCGGGAAGTGTGGTGGCCCGCCAGCAGCTGCCACGACGCTCGCTCCACCGACGCCCAGAGCTGTGGCCGAGGCCGGGGGCTGGCACCCGCTGGGCCGCCACTCTCGGGGATTTTGGTGGCAAAGCGGAGGTCCCGCCGAGGCTGGCGAGGTGCGCGGCTGGCTGCTAGGAAAGAGATCCAGACGGTCGCCTGGTGCGCTGGATCCCTGTGCCCTTTCCCTGAAACCCAGCCTGGCCTGACTGCAACCTCTCCCAACTTCAGTGCCGGATCCCCTAGACAATCAGGGTGGGCTCCCCGCTGCGAGCGCGCCCCACAGCCGGGTGCCGCCAAAGGTCTCCTGCTGTTAGCGGTGACTCACATTCCCAGTGATTTAGAAAAACTGTGGTGCCGAGTGAAAGAAAAAAAAAAAAGCAAACACCCTTAGACAAAAGAAAAAAGCTCCACTCTTTCCGCGAGCGGGAAAAAAGGTTTGGTTCAGCAAGTGATGCTATTTCAGTGAATCAGACGCTCTGGGGCTCTGCAAGGAAACGCACGGACTGGGAGAAGGAAGTGGGAGCCTAGAGTTTTGCTCTCGGCAAAACAAGAACTCGGCTTGTCCTCCCAGGCCGGCGGTTTCCGTACGGCAAGACAAGGCGCGGAAAACATTTTTACCATCTGACGCTGTAGTCTGTCCTTTAGAAGAGAATAGGTGAAAAGTTTAATAAAGAAATTAAGCGATGTGGAAGTCGTTCCCGCTGCTTGCAGAGGGTGGGGAGGCGGGCCTGGGCAATTTCGGAACTAGGAGAGACCACGTCGGCAAAGCCTGTGGTCCCGAACAAGGGCCATGGATTTCCCATTTCTCAGATCCCGGCTGCCCGACTTCATTCTTGTTTCTTTCAGCACAAGCCATCCTCCCTTCTCCCTCCCTCCACGTCTCTTGGCAGAGACAGAAAGGGACACCGCTCTGCCCGCGTCCAGCGCGAAGGAGGTGACCTAAAACCCATGGGCCCTTCTCACACTGCGTTCTCTGCGCTCCGGCCCAGTTCCGGGAGGACCTCCCGACGGCGCGGGAGAAGGCTGTAAGGGCTCTTGGCCCCCGACGCGGCCTGGGTCTCGGGGGACGCATGAACCCGCCACCTCTGGCCGGCTTCCTTTTAGTGCCCCAAATAGCAGCGCTTAGCCCGTTGCTTCCCCCGACTCTTGTTTTTCAAAGTGTTCACAGGGTCGCGAGAGCGAGCGACGCGGGGGCGGCGAGGCTGCAAGGCTGCACAGGAACAGACGACAAGAAATAGGGCTTTCTTCTGCGTGGTTCTTTTCCGGTCCCTGTCTGAGTCGCCCGACCCCGCGGGGAGCGCGGAGCATTGCGGCGTGCGGCGGGCTTCGGGCTCTCAGCCCGCGCAGCAAGTTGTGTTGCTTTTCCCCGGGTGCGACGCGGGACGGCCGCGAAGAGCAAAGTTCGTCCGCGGTAGGAACTTCGAGGCCCGGTTAGGACCGATCTCCGGCCTCCGAGTCTACTTAGCCGTGTCCACGCTCGTGCCTTTTCCCTCTTGCAGCGAAATAACTGGGCGGGGCCCGACGCGCGTCCTCCAGCGACTCCGGGAACCCAAGGCCTCCTTCACCTCGCTCAAAATTCACCCGAAAATGCGCTGAGACTTTGGCATGGGGCTGCGCTGTGTCCCACTGACGTTACAGAAGCGCTTATGAATTTAAAAACTGCTCCAGGCGGCCGGACGGCGGGACAACGCCTCCTCACTTGCTCCTCTACGGCAAGGCCCCTTCCTTCTCCCTGCCGGCTGCGGTGGTGTGTAGGGTGGTCCCTTTACAGAGTTTCCTTAATCCATCTAGCCTGACCTCACCTGCGGGATGTTCCATTTCCCGATCCACCTCCCACACCCCCGCTGCAGTTGTCTAGAAGCTGGGGCTGGGGAACTGAGGCGCGGGAGGAGCAGACAGGAGGGCCGGGGTTGGGGCGCCAGCCACGCGTTGGGAGAGCAGACCCGGGTGC
The DNA here is from genome assembly GCF_000001405.40 of Homo sapiens. NCBI lineage: Eukaryota > Metazoa > Chordata > Mammalia > Primates > Hominidae > Homo > Homo sapiens. The sequence goes on from NC_000002.12 coordinate 111,119,809, forward strand.
AGACTCAGAGGACTGGAGAGGCGGCATGGAGTTTGGTCTCCTGGGAGGTAGAGTGAGGTGCTGCGGACTCCAGGGAGGAAAGGGATGGGTGGGGAGGCGGGAGGGGAGGAGGGACGGGGTATTTTGCGCTCCCGCACCGCGGCCCGAACTCAGCTGTTCTGCCTTCACTGGCCTCAGCCAGTCGAGGGAGCTCCTACGAGGTTATCTGCGAGCCCAGCAAATCTTGGGGGTCCTAGCCAAATGCAGTGCGCAACGTTCTCTCTCACTTGGAGGCCGCCATTCACCTCGTTTTTTTTTTTCCTAAAAGGATTTTTTTTTCTGAGTGCTTTTTTCATTTCCCTATTTTACCTGCTTTGCACATGCCTCCCGCCCTCACCCGGGAGGCGGCGAAGACGCCCACTGGGACCGCGCCTGGCCGTTTTCTGGGCGCGTCCTGCCCCCACGGCCTCTGTCTCTTAGGGCGACTGGGCGCGGAAGAAAAGCTGGAGAGCCCCTGCGGGGTGGCAGGAGGAGGGTGCCTGAGTCCCGCGAGAGGCCCGGGCGAGGAAGATGCGCAGCCTGCTGATCCGCGTCCCGCCCGGCGCCAGGGACCCTCAGAGGGAGGAGAGCTCAAAGACCTCGCCCCGCGCCTTCGCGAGGACCAACCCAGTCCCCGCGCCTGCCCCAGAGCGGCTTAGAAACTCAGGGCACAGTGAGAGCGCAGGGCGCCTCCCGAGGCTTCACACCGCCGGCCGGGCCAGCGGAGGCTGTGACCGGAGCGCCCCCTCTGTGCCGCGCACGCCGCGGCCGCCGCCGGGTTGGGGTAGGTGAGCGGGAGGCTAGGGTACACTTCGGGGTGGGGGATGGGCGCGCACATGGCCGCCAGCAGGCAGAGTTACTCCGGTAAACACGCCAGGGACGGCGGCGCGCGCGGGAGGCAACCCAGCGGGGCAACCCCCGCCTTTACCTGTCCGAGCCTGCACGCGCCGGCGGCCGCGGCGCCGAGGGGGGCGGAGCTTGCCAGCCCGCGCGCCGGGGCGGGACCTAGCGGGGGCGGGGTCCGCAGTGATTGGGCGTAGGAGCGGGGCCGCCAGCCAGAGCTGGGCTGCAGGGCCGCGCAGGTTTCACTTCGCTCCGCGCAGCCGCCTGGTCTGCAGTTTGTTGGAGCTCTGCGTCCAGCGCCGCTGCCGCTGCCGCCGCCGCCGCCGCCGCCGCCGCCGCCGCCGCCGCCGCCACTACCACCACTTGATTCTTGCAGCCACCCTGCGAACCCTGCCACACTGCGATCGCATCATCGCGGTATTCGGTTCGCTGCGTTCCCGCCGCCACCGCCTCGGCGCCCTTTCTTGGCCCTTGTTCCCCCAAATGTCTGACTCTGACTCTCGGACTGAGAAACGCAAGGTAAATACCTCCAAATCCCGGGGCGCGGGCCTGGCACCGAAGGAAGACTAGCGCTGGAGCCCGAACGGCACCACCTACTGCCCGCTTCCCGTGCACGTGCGAGCGGAGACGCTTGCATCGGCGCCGCTTGTCGCCGGCGGGAGGTGGGGATCCGTGTGGATCGGGTTCCCTCTCGGGCAGGTTCTCTTTAAAGAAAAGTCGTTCACGCGGAACCTGCAGGCTCTTGGCCGAAGTGCGGCTTGGGACGGGATGCTGCGCGCGGGCCTGGTGAAGGGTCGTAGGTCCGGGCAGGAGGAGAGGCAGCGCGTGCCTTTCGGCGCCGGCCCGGGAGCTGAGGACCTGCTCGTAGTATCGGGCTGTGCGCCCAGCTGGAAAGTCTCGCCGCCGGCTCCGGCGCCCTCAGAGTAGCGGCCGCGCAGTGTGAGGGTGTTTCGTGTCTTGGTTTTTTGGGGCGCGTGGGCCTGTTGCGGAGGATTTGCGGAACTGCGGTGGTGATTTAACTGACGAGACACGGCTTTTCCTTTTACTCATTCAGGCCAAGGTTTCGGGGCCACTGCTGCGTTCGCTTTCTCAAGCGTACCTGGGGCCCCTGCTTGCTCTGCAGGAGTCCTGCGGCCTGTGCCATCCGCACGATTCCCTGGCAGCGAGAAATCTAGGTCCTCCCCTGACCACCTGGACCGCGCAGGGGACTAGTCGCGGCCGGCAGAACCTGCTCGGTCCCTGGGCCGGGCTATCTTAGCGGCTCACGCATGCCCGAGCACACCCGACCCGGTTCGCGGTGCAGGCTGGCGGCGCCGTGCCCTCTGGGACCTGTTGCCCCAGGGTTGGCGCTGCTGGTGGAGGGCCCGACGGACGCCAGGGCGGAGGGTGTGAATTTACTCGATGGTCGCGGACGTGCGCGTCCGCGGCCAGGGGTGGCTCTTCGGCTTTGACTCGTGTCTGCGGCGCACCAGGAGAGAGAGGAAGTTGTTGGAGGAGAATAGTTGCCACAGCCAGGGCGGTGACGGCCGTTAGGGTCTGCCCCCGACGGGCCAAAACAAGGACAAGTGGCGAGGACTGGGCCTGGGGATGGCCCTGCGGGTCCGGGCGCGGCGCAAGTCCTGCTTTGTCTCCAGGTGACTGGCTGTCCAGGACGGCGGGAGCTGCTAAGGCTTGTGTCCGGAAGGAGCACAGGGATGGGCAGGGTGGCCGGGCCAGCCGGCCCTCAAATCCTCCGACGAAGCGGCAGCCGCCACGACCACGGCCAGAGCAGCGCTCGGAGGCGAGTTTGTCAACAATCGCCTCGCCTTTGGCGGCCTGACCCGTAGGCGCCGCCCCCACCGCGGCTGCCGATTGGCTGCGGCGCGGAGCGACCGCGCGCGGACCAATTGGGAACGCGGGCACCCGGCGCCAGCGGCGCGGGGAGGTCGGCGGTGCCGGCGGCGGCGGGCGCAGAGCGCGAGGGGAGGAGCGGGAGGAGGCGGAGGATGTTCCCGGCGGCTGCGGCCGGGGCAGCGCGGGCCAGAGGCGCGGCGTGCGGAGCCCTCGGCTGCCCGGCGGAGCGCGGCGGCGGGCTGGCGGGAAGGCGCGGGCTTTGCGCTGCGCCGGGGACTCTGAACCCGAGTCCCGGGCTTTGTCTCCTGCGCTGCTTTCGTGGTGACGGTCAGGGGGCGCCCGGTCGGCGAAGGGCGCGGGCCGGACGCCGCGGGGCTTGGTCCCTGGCCCGGACGCTGCGCTCTGAAGGGAAGGCGCGGACGTGAGTTTCGGTGTGATTGCCTTCTGAGGGGAGGGTCTGTGGGATGAAGGCGGCGCGGCGCGCACCGGTGTCGCCTAGCCTGCGGACCTAGTTGTAGACCTTGCAGGCGTTCGCTTCGTCGCCCTCCGCCGCCCCCTCCCCATTTAGAGATGTGCACCTCACGGTGTGCACCTCAGAGAAGTTCTGTCTGATTCGGTGCGGCGTGCGGTACGGGAGCGGGAGGGAGGGAGCACGGGCGGAGAGAGCGCCAGAGCCGGGCCGAGCCGCGCTGGAGTTACAAACTCTATTGTGACGCACTTACTACGACTGACGGCCGCTGCCAGACCTTCCCCAGACTTGCTGCCCTCAGCATTTTCGGCAAACAATGGGGCCGGAGCAGGGAACGCGGCCAGCCGCCTGCAATCGCTGCATCTGCGCCCGCTCCTGTGCTCCGGCGTCCTACCTAACCCCGGGAAGTCAGAGCCGCTGGGAGTTTCTGACTTACTCGAAGAAGTCTGTCCTGGGCAAAGAGCACACACGAATAGACTTCAGATTAGCTGCTTCTCTGGAAACGCATGTGTGTGTGCACCAGTTCCGCAAGCTGTTGACATTGTTACTGTATTTTGTTTGGGGGTACCCTCTACCAAAAAAAAATTACACCTTTATTATTTTAGGTGCAATTTTTTTATTTGGGAGATTGTCAGAAAAGTATAGAACAAAGTATTTGGGATTAACCCTAAGAATTTTTAATCGCTAGGTGAGAGCTAATTTGTTTATTCATCGATTTTTTTTTTTGCTTAAAATAATCTTAGTTTTTATTTTACTTGCAGAAAAAAAGACCAAATGGCAAAGCAACCTTCTGATGTAAGTTCTGAGTGTGACCGAGAAGGTAGACAATTGCAGCCTGCGGAGAGGCCTCCCCAGCTCAGACCTGGGGCCCCTACCTCCCTACAGACAGAGCCACAAGGTAATCCTGAAGGCAATCACGGAGGTGAAGGGGACAGCTGCCCCCACGGCAGCCCTCAGGGCCCGCTGGCCCCACCTGCCAGCCCTGGCCCTTTTGCTACCAGATCCCCGCTTTTCATCTTTATGAGAAGATCCTCCCTGCTGTCTCGATCCTCCAGTGGGTATTTCTCTTTTGACACAGACAGGAGCCCAGCACCCATGAGTTGTGACAAATCAACACAAACCCCAAGTCCTCCTTGCCAGGCCTTCAACCACTATCTCAGTGCAATGGGTAAGCAATGCCTGGGTAAGAGGCAGTTGACGTGTGGATGGTTGAATCTGCTTGAAGGCTGTGTGTGGCATTTAAAATCCCCTTTTAAAACCCCGTAACTGATTTATTCCATCTTTAGATGGGAATGGAGGATGTGTCAAACTATCAAACCAACTTTTTTTTTTTTTTTTGAGATGAGTCTTGCTCTGTCGCCCAGGCTGGAGTGCAGTGGTGCAATCTCAGCTCACCGCAAGCTCCACCTCCCGGGTTCAAGCAATTCTCCTACCTCAGCCTCCAGAGTAGCTGGGACTACAGGCGCGTGCCACCACGCCCAGCTAATTTTTTCTATTTTTGGTAGAGATGGGGTTTCACCGTGTTAGCCAGGATGGTCTCAATCTCCTGACCTTGTAATCTGCCTGTCTCAGCCTCCCAAAGTGCTGGGATTACAGGCGTGAGCCACCGCGCATGGCCCACATCAACATTTTTACAAAGTTACTAACTTTTGTGGCAGTGATGAGTTGAGGTCCAAACATTAGCTTTCAGGTCTGTCTTCATTAAGCTAAAGTGTGTTTTAACCACCAGGCTTTACATAGTAATGACATTTTGCTTGAAAGGGAACTGATCATTTACAGAAAATAGCTTAATAATCAAAAGTGTAAAGAAAGATGACAATCATTTTTGAAAATAACACTTTTAAAAAAATGAACTAGTTCATGAAAGCAGTACCAACATAGAACCATGAAAATGGTTTGTTTTCTGCCTAAATTCCTCTTTGTGCTTATTGCTCAGAGGGTTTGGACATAGTACTAATCAGATTAGGTTGTAGGTTTTTATTTCAGGGATTAAAGGCAGTAGTAGGGTTTGAACCAAGAGTGGCTAACATAAATACCACAGAGGCCCACAGCAAAATCATGGAAGGAACTGACCTGGTGGAGACTGGTAAATTGGAGAGTATTTGCCCCTTCTATGTTTGGGCCACACCTAATTGTGGCTGTGAGGGCATGTGGTCTCAGGGTGGGTTTTCCTATATTGCAAGATAACCTAGGAATGCAAAATTGATGCCAGATACCCTGTTTCAACATTGACAGCTGATTCAGATTTTGAAAACATTGTACAAGCTGAAAAGAAACATCTGCAGACTTGATTTGGCCCTTGAACCTACAGCATGTGACTTTGGGTACATACTTTGGGTAACCTTGGTGAGGGGCTGAGTCTGTGTTGATCGACTTGCTGTTCCCCACCAATGGAAAAGGTTCATGTCTTGATCAGTAGTCAATCACATTGACCATTTGTCCAGATTAGCTTGCCATACATGAACAAGATAGAAGTAAGTTGGTAGAGTTATCAATTAGGAAACCCAGTACAGAGTCTATTATAATTTAGATTGTACCTCATGATGAAGGCTAACTCAACAAACCCATCAGAACAGACACTGGAACAAAATGACATTTCTAAATACCATCCAGCTCTGTCTTCATAGGCTTCAGTGAGGTAAATCAGGCAGGCCTTTGCCCATGTTATAGAATTGGAAAGAACCTCAGAGTGGTGGTCACTTGTCAGAGGTTGGGCACACCTGTGAGGTGGTGGGGAGAAATGACAGACATCCCAGCAGCTACACATGCTGGCTGCACGTCTCTTGCCAAATGCCAGGAGGTAATTTTTTAGGGTCCCTCCTTAGGGAAAGGGGCTGGAAGTTTTATTATTGCTGTTACTACTGCTCGTGAACTCATTTCAGCCTTAGAAGTTCTTGGCTTGTAGTTTTTGTTGTACTCATGAAAATGCTCCCCCATATATATGATCATTCTCGCTTACTATAACATCCTTGCTTACTAAATGAGTTAACAGGGCTTTATGGTGTGTATC